>NC_000023.11:149021060-149324090 GCF_000001405.40 Homo sapiens
AAGTGACTGTCAAGAGGGTCCTAAGTATTAACTCTGGGATTTCCAGCCACAGCAATCATGCCTTAGAAAACAATAGAAATCATAGTTCATTTTTAGCTGTTTTAATACAGGAACTCATCCCAATAGGAAATGTCTTGGTTTTACTCCAAACCTGGGAGTTTTTAGCAAGTATGATCTCTTCTTTTGTGGTTACCCTGCTATCAAAGCCCAAGAAACACTGCATAGCTAAGTGATAGAGTTATATGAGCGAGACAGAGAGATAAAAACAGAGTGAAAAGCAACATCTCAATCATCAACCGGTTGTCAGCTTCTAAATATATCACTAGTCCCTTGAGGGTTGAAACATTGTCAGTTACTCATCTTTGTAAATTCTTCCAAGCAATCACAAAGTAAATCTAATTCAATAATATGCACATAGTAGGAATCAAAGGTCACTTATCTATTGACTTATTTATTCATTAAATGTATATTTCCTGAAGCCTACTCTATGCTGAGCCATCGGGATGCAGAAAGAGATAAACAAGTCTTAACCTTAGGCCTTCAGTTTCACATACAATGGCAGAGACAAACCACATCTAGTAGATTACCACAATCTAATTTGATCAGCATGAACAGAAATGTACTGTCGTAGAATATTTAATGGTGTGAAGAGTGTTCAAAATATAGCAGACTACAAAAAGAGAGATAACAGTATCTTATCTAAATAATAATTTATATAACCTTACCTAAATAATAATAGATAATCATTATTTTTGTATAACACTGAAACAGTGTTATAATAATAATGTAAGCATATTTTTGCAAAGAAAAAATTGGAGACCTCTAATTAAGATGGTATTCTCAGTTCATATTCTGAACCATGTCCTACCACATCACCCTTTCTCCCTCCCTTTTCCCTTCCCATTCTTTAGACATACATCACTGTTAGATAAAATGTACAGAGAAAATTTTAAAAGAAAACAGCCACACTCCAAGACAGAATGATAACCCTTAATACAGAAAAGCAAAGTAGCACATAGGATGAAGTGTCCAGGATGGTGTACAAGGCATGGTTTTTAAAACAACCAGAAGTGCGTAGAAGTTTCTGATGTTTGATGAGGCACAGAAATACACTACACAACATGGAAAAGGATGCAAGGCTTGTAGCTTGAAATGAGGACTTGGGATGGTGCTCCACTCAGACATTTAAGCTGAGAGCCAAATCAAGAATGCAATCCCATTCACAATAGCCACAAAAAGAATAAAAATACATAGAAATACAGATAGCTAAGGATAAAGAAGTGGAATATATCTACAAGAAGAACTACAAAACACTGCTCAAAGAAATCAGAGATGACACAAACAAATGGAAAAACACTCCATGAACATGTATAGGAAGAATCAATGTTGTTAAAATGGCCATACTGCCCAAAGCAACTTACAGATTCAATGCTATTCCTCTCAAAATACTGCTGACATTCTTTACAGAATTAGAAAAAAACTATCTTAAAATACACATGGAACAAATAAAAGAGCCCAAATTGCCAAGGCAATCCTAAGCTAAAAGAATAAAACTGGGGGCACCATATAACCCGACTTTAAACTATATTACAAAGCTACAGTAATCAAAACAGTACGGTACTGGCACAGAAACAGACACATAGACCAATGGAACAAGCTAGAGAGCCCAGAAACAATGCTGCACATGTAAAACCATCTGATCTTCAACAAAATTGACAAAAACAAGCAATGGAGAAAAGACTCCTTATTCAATAAATGGGAATGAAATAGTTATGGTTATGGTTATAATAGAATGGTTATGGTCATAATAGAAAGGCTATGAAATAACTGGCTAGGCATATGCAGAAGATTAAAACCGGACACCTTCCTTACACCATATACTAAAATAAGTTCAAGATGCATCAAAGACTTAAATGTAAGCTCAAAAACTATAAAAACCATGGAAAATAACCTAGGAAATATTATTCTGGACATAGGACCTGGCAAGGATTTCATGACGCAGATGCCAAAACCAATTGCAGCAAAACCAAAAATCGACAAATAGGACCTAATTAAACTAAACATCTTCTGCACAGCCAAAGAAGCTGTCAGAAGAGTAAATAGACAATGTACAAATGGGAGAAAGTATTTGCAAGCTATGCATCCAAAAATGGTCTAGTATCCAGTATCTACAAAGAACTTAAATCAACAAGCAAACAACAAATAACCCTATGAGAAAAGGGTAAGGGACATGAACAGACACTTCTCAAAAGAAGATATACAAGCAGCCAAGAAACATGAAAAAATGCTCAATATAACTAATCATCAGAGAAATGCAAATCAAAAACACAATGAGATACCATCTTACACCAATCAGAATGGCTATTAATAAAAAGTCAAAAATAACAGATGCTGGCAAAGTTGTGGAGAAAAAGGCATATTTATATGCAGCTGGAGGGAGTGCAAATTAGTTCAGCCATTGTAGAAAGCAGTGTGGTGATTTCTCAAAGAACTTAAAATAAAACTACCATTTGACCCAGCAATTCCATTATTGGGTATATACCCAAAGGAATATAAACTGTTCTACCATCAAGACACATGCATGCATATGTTCCTCGCAGCTCTATTCACAATAGCAAAGACACAGAATCAATGGTAGACTGCACAAAGAAGATGTGGCACATATACACCATGGAATACTATGCAGCCATAAAAAAGAATGCAGTCATTTGCAGCAATATGGATGGAGCTGGAGGCCATGATCCTACGTGAACTAACACAAGAAGAGAAAACCAAATACTGCATGTTCTTACTTATAAGTTGGTGCTAAACAATGAGAACACATGGACACAAAGAAGAAAACAATAGACATCATGGTCTACTGGGTGGTGGAGGGTGGGAGGACAGTGAGGATGGAAAAACTACCTTTTGGGTAGCAAGCTTATTACCTAATGAAGCACATCAGATCAATTTCATCTGGATTATTTCTTCTTTTGAGAAATGTCTATTCAGGTCTTTTGCCCATTTTTAAATATATATATACATACAAATGGGAGAAAGTATTTGCAAGCTATGCATCCAAAAATATACCAAATATATATATATATTTTTCCTATTGAGTTGTTTGAGCTTCTTTTATATTTTGATTATTAGTCTCTTGTCAGATGGGTAGTTTGCAAATTTTTTTTCCCATTCTGTGGGTTGTCTCTTCACTTTGTTGATTGTTTCATTTGCTGTGCAGAAACTTTTTAGATTGATGTGATCCCATTTGTCCATTTTTGCTTTGGTCATCTGTGCTTTTGAGGTCATACTCAAGAAATCTTTGCCCAGACCAATGTTCTGGAGATTTTCCTCAATGTTTTCTTCTAGAAGTTTCATAGTTTCAGGTCTTAAATTTAAGTGTTTAATCCGTTTTGATTTGATTTTTGTGTATGGTTAGAGATAAGGGTCTAGGTACATTAATTTGTATATAATTGTTCAGTTTTCCCAGCACCATTTTTTGAAGAAACTGCCCTTTCCCTGCGTATGTTTTTGATGACTTTGTCAAAAATGAGTTGACTGTAAATGTGTGGATTTATTTCTGTGTCCTCTTTTCTGTTCCATTGGTCTATGTGTCTGTTTTTATGCCAGGACCATGCTGTTTTGATTACTATAGCTCTGTAGTATAGTTTGAAGTCAGGTAATGTGATTCCTCCAGCTTTGTTCTTTTGCTCAGGATTGCTTTGGCTACTCTGGTTTTTTTTTTTTTTTGCCAATAAATTGGAAAACCTAGAAGAAATGGATATATTCCTGGACATGTACAACCTACCAAGACTGAACCATAAAAAAATCCAAAACCTGAATATACCAATAACAAGTACCAAGATAGAAGCCATAATAAAAGGTCTCCGATCAAAGAAAAGCCGAGGACCTGATGGCTTCACCACTGAATTCTAGTAAATATTTAAAGAACTAATATAAGTCCTACTCAAACTATTCCAAAGAAGCAGCACAATTTCTGAAAGCCCCAAACTGGAAAAACCCAAATGTGTATTAACAATACAGATAAATAAATTATGCTGTAATTATATAATAGACTACTATACAGCAATAAGAATGAATGGTCTACTTCTACACACAACAACATGGATGAATTTCACAAACAGAAGTGAATAGAAGCATCCAGATGCAAATCGGTAGAAAATGTATGATTCTATGTGTTTAAACTTTGAAAAACAGGCATATTAATCTAAGGCAATAGAAGTTAAAAATCATGGTTATCTTTGAAGAGGTGGGTGTGGAAAATGATTGGGAGGGTACAGGAGAAGGGCTTCTGGATGTTAGTAATGTATTTCTTGATCTAAATGGTACTGACATAGATGTATTCACTTGGTGAAAATTTTTCAAACCATACCCTTATAGTTTATGGACTTTTATGTGTACAGACAATTTATAATGGACAAAAGACATCTAAAATTGCTAAGTGAAAAAATTAGAATAGAAAAAATATTTATATATTCTCATTTATCTAAAAAGGGGAGGAAGTGAATGCACGCAAACATACATACACACACACACATATCTGTGTGTCTTTGTTGTACCCCTACTCCCTCCTCGCAAAAAGCATGGAAGGATAGCCATAATATTTTTAAAATGGCAGCTTACAGGAAAAAGTAAGTCACAAGATGGGAGTATAGAGATGAAAGCCATGTCTCCTGGGGATACTTGGATTGTATATTATACTTTGGAATGATATGAATGTTTTACATAATTTTCAAGGATAATTGAATGAAAATGAAAACAAATCTACTCCTATAAACTGGAAACTAAATGAATGAAACTGCATATTGAGTTTGTGGCAGAGCCACACAGAAAGAGATTATTTCAACTGTCACTAATTGGACCATTCATCCCTAGCAGGATACACCCTAGGACAAAAAAAATGCCAATCAAACAATGACAAAAAATCAACCAAAGCAAAGTCAAAACCCCACAACAACAAAGCAAAACAAACAAGCAAAAGAGAACTGGAAAAAAAATAAACAGTTTTCAGTAACATTGGTAATAAAAATTATTATTGTTCTTTGAAACAATCACATATGTATAATTTATATATATAATTATACATATATAATTAACCTAATTAAGGAATTAGGTGAATCATGTCTTTAACAATGAGGTTTTCCTCTCCACAAAAAAAGAAATAGAAACATAAAATTAAAGAAACTGACTATAAAGTTTATGAACCTGATTTTGATTTAGAAGTATTATTATAAATTGAATATGTATTTGGACTCTGATTTGAATAAACTAAGTGTAAAAAATTAAGAAAACTTGAAAATAAATTTGTACTATTACTGAATATTTGATAATATTAAGGAATTAATCACCATTTCAATTGTGAAATATTCTGTAATAAAAGTTTTTTAAAGTGTGTTTAAAATTCCAAGCAGTATAAATAAAATGAAACCCTCACCATCTACATCTAGACACATCATAATAAACTTCATGTTCTGATATGAAGGAAAAAGAAAAAATCTTAAACACTATGGTAAAGGCAGTGTATTAGTTAGCTATTGCTGCATAATAGATTATCCCAAAGCTTAGGGGCTTAAAATAACAAACATTTATTATCTCACAGTTTTGGTGGCCCAGAAATCTGGATGAAGCTTACCTAGTTGACTCAGCCTTAATTTCTCATACAAGACTGCAATTAAGATGTTAAATGGGGCAGCAGTGGCATCTGAAGGCTGAACTATGAGAGACTTTGCTTCCATGTTTACTTATGTGAGCTTAGCAATATTCAGTTTCTCACCGGTTATTGGATTGAGGGTCTCAGCCTTTTCTAGCTGTTGGCTAAAGGACTCCTTCAGTTCCTTGCTACATATAACTCTCATAAAAAGTTCACAACAAGGCAGCTGACTTCATCAGAACAACCAAGTGCGGGAGGAGTAGAGGGCATCTGAGATTTTCTCTAATTTAATCTTCAAAGTGACATCTCATCATTGTTGTCATATTCTATTCATTAGAAGAAAGTCACTAGGCTCAGCCCATACTCACGGGCAGGGGGAATACACAAGGGCACACATAATAGCAAGTTGAGATTCTTAGGCATCATTCATTTTAGACGTTGCCTACTACTGGCAGATGAAGAAGTAAAAATTAGACTCACAGTAGATTTTTCAACAGCAATAATGGATTCTAATGATTCTAAGATAATGAGAGAATATCTTCAAAGTACTGAAGGAAAATAGCAACCAACCTAAAATTTTATTCCAAGCTAAATTAGGTATAATAAAAGAGATGTTTCTTCAAGAGTCAATTTTTTAAAAAGAAAAGTATTTTTTAAAAAAAGATAATAGCTCTGGAGTAAGCACAATCATTCAACACACCCAGGATTCTATGTCAAGATTAATTTGGTATAGAATTCAATAATAAATGTACAATAAAAGATGATTTTTCATACAAAAAATAAGAGAGTTTCCCACAACTACAAAGGATATATTTCAGCAGAATGAAGAAAAATGATGGAAGAAGGAAATAGTAGGATCCAAGAATCAGCAGAAATGATAGGAACTAAAACCTGTCACATCAGGGTGAAAAGGAAGCCAAATGCAGTCACAAAGAGATGAATTTTTTGAGACCAAGGAGAATCATAAATTTGATCCAGCACCTTGGGCAGCAATTTCCATGTCAACTTATCGAGGAAGAAATCAAAGTCCTTGGTAGGTTACATGACCAGCACATGATGCAAGATAGAGCTTCACCCTTCCACATACCCCTCCCCAAAAAAAACTTTGGGTAAGTCCCAGGAAATAGTTGGAGACATTGATATAAAATATTACTGAAATTTTTCCATAAAAGATGGAATTTCAGCCAGAGACCCTTTTTCTTGACCCATAAATATTTCACTGTGAGCTTCCCTTCTTGCTCCAAAATGAAAACAGGAAGGAATCAACATTTTCTGAGTATGAGAGGCCTATGAAGCTACCAGAAGGAAAAAGACTAAGGGGTGCAAATAAAGAAGAAGGCCAGAAAGAAGGGACTCTCAGATTCCCATTCAAGATAATATATTTTTAGACTTAGGAAAATTTATAAAAAATAGGGCAAAACAAAATAAGATAAGATTGTAAAGATATACTTTCAAATGTTTACAATGATCATGTCTGGGAAATACATATATGGAAGTACAGATGTGGAAGTATAGTAGTCCCTTCTTATGGAGGGATAAGTTCCAAGACTGCCAACAGATGCCTGAAACCGCATATCATACTGAACCCAATATATACTATGGTTTTTCCTTATACACATGTACATATGATAAAGTTTAATTCATAAATTAGGCACAGTACTCTTGCACTTTGTGGTCATTATGAAGTAAAATAAGGGTTAGTTAAACGCAGGGACTGCAGTACCAAAATAGTGAATCTGATCACCAAGATGGCTGCTAAATGACTGACTGGCTACAGGTAGTGTCTACAGTGTGGAGACACTGAACAAAGAGAGGATTGCCTTCCAGACAGAATGGAGCCAGACAATGCGAGATTTCATAACACTATTCAGAAAGGTGCACAATTTAAAATGTATGAATCGTGTATTTCTGGAGTTTTCTATTTAATACTTTTGAACTGTGGTTTACTCTGTGTAACTGAAACCATGGATGAGAAGAGGCTGGTTTCAATTACCCACTGGATATGGGGACTACTGTATTGGTGATTTTAATTTTCTTTCTTTTTTATGCATTTTTGTAAGTTACTACTATAATAACATATATTTATTATAATAATAAAAACACCTCTCTCAAAAATGAATGAAGAGTAAGTTTTACAAAAATATTTTTATATTTTCTGTGTCCTGAGGGTTTGTCAGAGCATGTTAGAGATGGAGGAGTTGAACATGGTACAGGAAAATATTGTAAACGTGTCTCATCCCAGCCCTCCACCAGCATCAGTTAAGTATTGCACCAAATTGCATATAACTTCTTGTGAGAGTCATTAGTGCTAATCACCCAATATTTCTGGCTCTCTGTCTTCTAGGCACATGGTAGGATTGTACCTCCCCACCCTTCTTTGAAGTTAGGTTGGGACATGTGACTTGATTTGCCCACAAAATACGAGTACAAGTGACACTGTCACTTCTGGATGCAATTTGCTGCATAGTATTCCACTTTCTGAGGTAATCATGAGCTCACATACTGAGGTGGAGCCTCCAGAAGTTTGGGTTTCTGAATGGCTGCAATGAGCAGAGCCCCTTCACTGACTCATGTTGGATATATAGCATGAGTGAGAAACAGACCTTTATTGTTACTCCACTCAGATTTGAGAGTTGTTTGTTACTGCAGCACCTTCTAGTCTATCCTCGCTGATATATTTTCCTTTGGGGATATGAGAGAATCATATTAAAAGCCAGCTGTGTACCTCTCACAGCTCTATTACTGAGCACCTTTTGCAAAATTAATCATGCTTATCTTAGAACAGTCTATGAAACCTAAACCTTAACAATTCTTCTTAGGTATTTCTCATAGGATAGCCATCGTGCAATCAACAAAGGAGAAAGATATTAACCCCCTTCCCCACAATTTGTGGCTCAGGATTTAGCCTTCTATCTGTATTAATCTGTTCTTGCAGAGCTATAAATAACTACTTGAGGCTGAGCACAGTGGTTCGCGCCGGTAATCCCAGCACTTTGGGAGGCCGAGGTGGGTGGCTCACTTGAGGCCAGGAGTTCAAGACCAGCCTGGCCAACATTGGCCAACATGGTGAAACCCCGTCTCTACTAAAAATACAAAAATTAGCCAGGTGTGGTGGCATGCGCCTGTAGTCCCAGCTACTCAGGAGGCTGAGACAGGAGAATCACTTAAACCCGGGAGGCAGAGGCTGCAGTAAGCTGAGATCACACCACTGCACTCCAGCCTGGGCAAGACAGGGAGACCCCAACTCGAAAAAAAAAAAAAAAAAGAACTACCTGAAACTGGGTAATTCATAAAGAAAAGAGGTTTAATTGGCTCATGGTTCTACAAGCTCTACAGGAAACATGGTTCAGGAGGCCTCAAGAAACTTACAATCATGACGAAAGGTGAAGGCCTTCACATAGCCAGAGCAGGAGGAAGACAGCAATGAGACATGGGTGCTACACACTTTTAAACAACCAGATCTCATGAGAAATCTATTATGGGACAGAACTAGGCAGATGTTGCTAAACCATTATAAACCACCCCCGTGATCCAATCACCTCCAACCAGGCCCCACCTCCAACACTGGAAATTATAATTCAACATGAGATTTGGGTGGAGACACAAGGCCAAACCATATCATATCATAGGCCAGATGTCAGTTGAAACCAGCATTCTCCTAAACAAATTAACTTGGGAACTAAAGTGGCTGAAATCCATCAAAATGGCCTGTAGTAGATAAAATGTAGAATATGGCATGTGGCAATAACAACCTACATGAGGTGAGGGAGACAGAGATGATGGAGCATAAATCAACCAGCCATTTCTTCATGGAGGTACAGGGCCAGTGCCTGCACCAGAGAAAAGTGACATGGATCTTCCCAGTGTTGACAATAGAGGCTTCTTGGAGTAACACAAAGAGTATTGACTCAGAAACTAGGAGACCAAGGCTATAGTCTCAGATCTGCCACTAATTCACAGTGTAACCTTGGGCAAGTCTCTTGGCTTCTCTGTCTCCCCATTTGTAAGATGAATGTGTTGGGTGGCCTCTGGGCTGTAACACTCAAGTGCCTTCTGGAACTAGGCAGATAACACAAATAGGTTATGTGCTTCAACTGAGCCTACTGCAGTAGGCAGTGGTAGGAACTTAGATGAACACATGCCCTGCCTAAAGGAATAAAATTCAAGTTTTTAAAACATTTCAGAAGAAAGAGGAAAGTCATGTGTGGGTCTCATTTGACTAGTACATCTCTAGTCTATGATTGACCCCTGGTTAGTCTTGAAATATCTATCTATGCGATATTGTATTGTTAGGGCTTCTCATTTTTTCTGCTGACAAATTTTAGAACACAATGGACCCAGTATAGGCCTCCCACAATGTCTTCCAAATGATAGGCTTAAAGTCACCTGATGACTTCACCTTTAACTTTTAACACTTTATGCTTAGAAGATTTGCCCTAGTAGCCAGGGCTTCAGAAGGATCTATTCCTATTACTTACTCATGAAACATCTCTAGTACTCACTCAGAAAAAAATCTCAGGATTGCTGTCCATTATGGCCTTCCTTTCCCCACACAAATGGCTAACTGCCTTGGAATCCCAGAGGCAGTGCAAGACAGAGGGGAGAGGGAGAATAAAAGAAAATTGCTTTAAATGGGCTAAATATACCTATGAAGCAAAAAAGCAAATTTTCCTATGAGGCAAATGCATCAATTAAACCTTTCAATGGAAAGATGTTACTTATGCTCTCAGCAGTAGTCTGTAATATATATTACAGAACTCTATTTACTCCTCTAATTAATATAAATGAGTGGTTACTATAGCAATTATTGCATTATATGATGCACATAAAACTCTGGCTATGCTTAGAGCTAGGGTCAATATTTTAAATCACGCTTGACTCATCATGAATCAAATATCCCTTTCTGGATATTCCAATGCACGAAGGTTGAGCCTTTATTAGTAATAATGGAATGTGGAATTAATGTAGCACATTTTATCTTCAAAGTGTTTTAACTATATTAACTAGCTAAATTCCACAGCATTCTCTCTGTGAGCATCTGTCTCTCCCACCTTTCAGATCGGGAACCACCATAACCACAACAGAGGTCTGTTGAAGGGCATTCCTCTTTGCTATGGTTTGGAAATCCAGGGTACAGAGTTTTATTATCCGTCTTAGAAATGACATAAGAAAGAAGAATTTACATCAAATCAGAATTCACAGATGCCTTTTGGTATGTGCCTGAGGAAAAGTGTCTGAGGAAATGTGAGAAGCCTGGAGTAGCCAGGTAGGGAGAAATGGGGAGGGGGTGGAGAAAGGGAGTGGATAAATTTGGCCTGACAGCCTGATGGCCTGAGACATACCAGGGAGGGGGATGGATGTGTAGCTCTCCTCTCTCATGCTTCTGTCTCTCAGCATCCTTTTCTGTGGCAAATCAGTTCCCCAGGCCCCTGATGCCACGTGGCACTTACCATAGCCTGGAACTATGCTCTCTCCATTGCTTGACTGTCTGCTCCTCTGGGGCAGAGGTAGGCCTGATTCCTCTCTGCTCTCAGCAATGAGTACAAAATCTGGCACAGAACAGGTGCCCGATCAGGGTCAGCTTCATGAGCATGCAGTCAGGGTAGCTCCCCAGGGCTCCAAGCTCAGAGCTCATAAGGGTTTTGTGCTTCGCTTAATGCTCAGTGGTCACTGTCTTGAAATTCTTAATAATTTCATTTGAATTTGTGTTTTATAAATGAAATCTGGTGAGACAATAAGGCCTCAGTTCACCTCCCACCAACCCCCTACCTCTCTGGAATAGGTGCTTGGCTACCTGCTCCTCTGACCCCGGTATTCTAGGGACCACCAGTCTTCTCCCTCCACATCACCTCCCAGAGACTATAGTTGCCCTCTGCCCCTGGCAAGGGCCTGAGCATGGAAACCAGGCACACAGGCACTGTGGAGTGTCAGGGTGAGTCATGGCTTCACAGCACATTCAGCAACTAGGCAGGGATGAGCCTTGCATCTACCCCTGATCCGGGTACTGTAGATGCCCTGGAGGAGAGGTTGCAATCTCCAGCAGTCTCCTGTATGCTGTGGGTTGGGGTGGCCATCCAATGGGAAGGAGAAATGCTTGGCTTGGCTTCTCTGCTCTCAAGCACTCAGCCAGGGCTGTGTGTGTGTATATGTCTAGGAACTGGCAGGAGGGAGAATCTGGCTGCTGGTGGACCTCGTAGGGTCCCCTGGGTATCTCTGAGGTTTGTACTCTCCTTGCAAGTATCTCTGTGGCCAACTGAATGTAGCATTAAATAGCAAATACAAATCACCAGGACAGGTCAGAGAGAAAAGGTAGAAGAAAGAAAAGAAAGTTTTATATTTTTGGAACTTTAACAGCATTTCCCCTGAATTTTGAACAAGGGAACCATATTTTAATTTTCTACTGGGTCCTGAAAATTGTGTAGCCAACTCGTCTTCAATAAAGACTCATTAATAATAATAGGTATTTTATGTCAGGCAATTGTTCTGACTAGGCACTATGCTAGGTTTGCATGCATCATTTCATCTAATCCCTATGACAGCCTTATGAGGCAAGTCAATTTCTTACTACTTCCATCACTTAAGAGATTGTGTTCATAGGCATGTTAATCATCTTTTATGTGCCTCAGTTTTCTCATCTGTAAAATGGGCCATAATAGGTTAAAATACATGAAATTGTCATTTCGTACATCAGAAATGGTTAAATATTGGCAATTGTGTATGATTCAATTCCTCCTAGGAGTGCAGGGAAGATATAATGACATAACATAAAAGTATTGAGAAAAGTGCCCAGCCCATAATAATCAATTAATGGTAACTATAGTCGACTTTTATTAATAGTAATGATATTTTTAGTAGTACATGATTCTTCTTTTTATACATAAGGAAACAGGGGCTCCTAGAAGTTGGGTGACACAGCCAGAAACAGGTAAGTCTGAGATGGGAACTCAGGCCTTCACTGCTTGAGCTGGATTGCCCTGCTTCCATGGGTATCTGGAGAAAGCACCAGGCTCCTCCCATCTTGGTACAACCTTGGCCCAAGAAGTGTGCCCTGAGCTGCAGCCCTGACAGGTTCTGTGAATCCACCCTTAACACTGTCAAAGCCCTTACTAGCATTGCTTTTTCTCCATCTCTAAAATGAGAGAAATTTCCTCAACCTGAAAACACAGTGCATATATGTGTGTTGACAGTAAGAGGGCAGCTTGCCAGCAAGGTATTGTCTAAAGAAAATGAGTGTTTTCCTCTATTTAAATCCAGTTTTCCAAGGACAGACACGTCTCAAGATTTGTCCTCTCTGATATCTTCTTTCTTGGAGGACTCATCAGGATTATAACCGCGATTGATTTCTTTTTATTAGCTGAAGATGAACTGTAAAAGGGTAAAGGTTAATTTTGGATAAATCCTCAAAAGTTCGGAAAGCTCCCAAGACTCCTGCTGAACTTTCTTAATCTCTCCACAGCTTTACATTCTGTGTAATTATCCATATTTGTGAAGGGTAAACTGCTCTTGGCTTCTTCATCTCTGTCACTTCCGATTGCTTGCTGGTCCCAGAAGCACCACTGCTCTTCGTAAGAGTCCCACGGTGCTTTCTTCAGAGCCCACACAAGGTCAGCATTGCCTGGGAAGGCAGAGGCAGTTCTTCCCTAAGGATCCCAGGCCTAACAAAGTGGATTCCATTTAAAAAAGAAAGCCAATAGTCAGGGGCCAGTGGGGAGAAAGTCCTGAAATTAAGAATGTTTAAAAAATGAAAGGCCCTTTGAAAATGAATGTGTTACTAAATCTTCCTGGGAAGTAAGACCTTAGTAATGGTTCCCATTTCTCTTACTCACTGAAGAGTGAACAAAAACATCTCTTCCACTCTCATTTCCAAGAATTTCCTGACAAAGTCATTCCAACAGTCTTTCTGAGGAATTTTGAGAAGCATTTTTTAACCCCAGCCCAGTCTTAAGACAACACTGCCCCCGACCAGTGAGAGGAGAAGGCAGGTAAAGTGACCTGGAAATGCTTCACATCCAATCCTGTCCTTCCACAGGAGACAGTCCCAGAGGTTGTAAAGCTCACAGCACCATCTGAGAGTTAGGAGCCCTCAGTTCATGACCTGGCTTTGCCACTCACACCCAGGGATACCTTGCCTCAGCCATTCTCCCTTTTGGCTTTTGGTTTCATCACCAGGAAAATAAAGGTTTGGATGCAATCTCTAAAGAACTCTTCAGTTTCAACACCCTACTTTAAAAATTTAGTTATGATAATATTAATGGCAATTACATAATAATACTACCTATTATTAAAAATCTATTATGTGCAATGCCACTTAGTAGCTAAGTGAACTTAGGGCAAGTTACTTAAACTCTTTGAGCCTCTGTTTCCTCATTTGCAAAATGAGGATGATAATAAGACTCACCTCCCACATAGGATTCTTGTGAAAATGAAATGAGTTAATTAATCTACATAAAATTCTCTATGCTTGGCACATTGGAAGGCCTCAAGAAATGTTATCTGTGACATTATTACTATCTGCTGGGCATTATGTTAGGTGCTTTGTACAAATTAGGTGGTCTGTGCACCTCCTTCAGTGCTAAACTAGCTACTCAAATTAGCTCATCTGGAGGTGGGGTTATAGGTTACCTGAAGAGTGATAGAAGTAACAGAATTAGTGAGAAAAGGGGTAGATTAGTTTCATGAAAAAAATTATGATTTTAACTATATGTTTTAAATGTCTTTATTATTTAGTCTATACTCAAATATAAGTGTCCTTGTGAACTGATGGAGTCCTCACAATAATTCCAGGGATCCACAACCACTGAGGTCCACGTTTCCCCCAACAGGAACAGCTTACCAAGACCATGTCAATTAACTTCCCACTCTAGCTTCTTTGAAGGGCCTGGTCCAGGCCTGGGTAGTGAAGAAAGCACACAAGTGTCCTTTGTCTTCATCCTAGTTCTGCTAGTCTCTAGTTCTGGACCTGAGAATGAGGTTAATCTCTGGACATTGTTTTCCCTGGCTAGAAAAGGAGGGGTAGACCAGCCAGATGGTCTTACAGGCCAGTTCTACCACCCTAGTATTAAACAGTGCTAAATGAAATTTTATCCACAACTTATATTGATGCCTCTGTCTACTTGAAGAAAATTACTACCTTCCTAAGTAAGATAAAGTTTATATACTTCAAGGCTAGCAATCTCATGCCAGAGGGAGATTCTTGAAGTGAGAAGGTCTACTTTGTAAGCTGTATCTTGCACCCTTACCTAAAACCAGCCTCATTCGTTGTATGACCTCTCTGATTCCAGATGTGGCTCATGCACTGGCATTATTGGAAGTAGAGAGAGGGTATGGTGGTAGAGGTAGCCCCATCCTGTTACTCATCATTCTGGCTAGAGTATGGACATAGGACTTTGCACTTTACTACTTCACAGCTTAACGGAGACATGGCTGGAGCATTTAAGTAAGACTTTACTAAAGGCTTGAGAAAAACAACTAGAAAATTAACCAAAGTGAGCTAAGAATCTATATAATCTGTCTTGCAAGCTTAGTTTTACTCTCTAGGGAGCCCCTAGTTCCTGTTCCATTCTAGCTCATGGTCTACTTACAAGCTCAGCAAAAGCAATCTTGGCAAGCACCCAGAGGTACTAGCTCAGAGATCTGTACTCCCTAAATAGTAGACTGCAAAATATCCACTTAAAGAGTATTCAGGTCCCCTTCCCCTCTCCTGGCTTCCTCAAGGCCACCTACCTAGTTTTAGTTGTCTAAGAATCCACCTTCTTTAATTATAGACCCTGGGAATCAGAACAGAGCACTACCATGGACCACCCAGACAACTTGAATTTGATTGAAATGTAACATAGTAATAGCAATTCTTATAGCTGCACCAAGAACTAACATGTTTGAGTGTCTATTCAGGCACTGTTCTAAGCAATTTACATGGGCTAATTTACTTCTCACAACAAGGTTATGAGGTTGATACTATTATCCTCATTAACAGATGAGGAAACTGAGGGCCATAGAGGGGAAATAACCCGCCCAAGGCCACAAAGCAAATTCCAGCAGAGTTGGGAATCCAGCCCAGGCAGGCTGACTCCAGAGTCTCCATGTTTAACTGATGCACTATGTGTGTGATACATCCAGAAACAGCCCAGGACTAAGCGAGTCCTGAAATGAATTGGAGAGGACAGTTCTCAACATTAAGCAATATGCTCAGGTCTAGTAGGTGTTAGATAAATGACCATCTTTTGAATGAGTACATAAGGAATTGCCTCGAACTGCTGACAGGCTAGAGGAGAGAGACAGGCACACAGACAAATAATGATATAATCCCATGCAAGCAAAGAGGAAAGTTACTGTCTTTTCTTCTCTTGAGTTTGGTATAAAGTATGAAAGAAGCAACTAGGTCCTTCTTCCAGGGCAAGCTTGCCAAGTCTCTCAGAGTGTACTGCTTCTATGAATACAGAGAGTATGTTGCTCCTCATTGTTTTGGTAGGCCACACTTGATATGTAAAGTATGTAAGAAATTATTACAGAGCAAAGGCAGAATTTTAGAATATATAAATGTCTTCTCATCCATTAGGATGGCTACTATCAATATAACAGGAAACAGCAAGTGTTAGATGTGGAGAAATTGGAACCTCTCGGCACTGTTGGTGAGAATGTAAAATGGCACAGCTGCTGTAGATGACAGTATGGCTGTTCCTCAAAAAATTAAAAATAGAACTACCATATGATCCAGCAGTTTCAATTCTGGGAATATACCCAAAAGAATTGAAAGCAAGATCTCAAAGAGATATTCGCATACCCATGTTCATAGCAGCATTATTCACAATAGCTAAGAGGTGGAAGCAACCCAAATGTCTATCAACGGAAGAATTGATAAACAAAACATGGTTCATACATACAGTGTAATAGTATTTAGCCTTCAAAAAGAAGGAAATTACATCATATGCCACAGCATGAATCAACTCTGAGGATATTATGCTTAGTGAAATAAGCCAGTCACAAAAGACCAATATTGCATGATTCCCCTTATGTGAAGTCCCTAGAGTAGTCAAAGTCATAGAGACAGATAGTAGAATGATGGTTTCCAGGCATTGTGGGGAGGGAGAAATGGGGATTATTGTTTAATGGGTATAGAGTTTCAGTTCTACAAGATGAAAATGTTCTGGAGATTGGTTGCAAACAATGTGAACAGAGTTAACACTACTGAACTATATACTTATAAGTAGTTAAGATGATAAACTTGATGGTATGTGTATTTTACCACAAATGTTAAAAAAGCATAAACATAAATCACGGCAGTTGTGCTATAATCCTGATCAAATATAAAGGCATAATTTTGTGGTGATGCCCAAAGTATTGCTGACGTGTAAGGATCTTTGTTCACACTGATGCAACCTCGATTTCTAAGCATAACATGAAATGGCAGCCAGATGCACCTGGAATCCACACATGAAATCCACTTTGCCCTTTTTTTCTGTTTCTGCAAGTCTTTTTTCCATATTAGCACATTATTAGCAACATAACATGCCAACTGCCTAACTAGGAAGACATAGCCACAGTGTAATGATCAATGTGTTCAATAACCATGACAGTATATATTCTGCAAGGGATAAAGACCATCAGAGTCTTGTAACAGGGCCCTAACATGGAAGCTATTGTATTCCCATTTAAACTGAAAAGAGGAATCTACAATCTGTGCTACATGTTAAACAACAAAAGCCCATGAAAGGCAATTAATGGCCCAGTGCAGTAAAGACTGGGATACCTCAGTGCCTGGCTACAGCAAGCCTTGTTCTCCACCAGTGTCTGGTCAAGGGGTCTTTGGGATAAATGGAGCCCAAGAGGCTTCTGAAGCACTCACTCAGCAAAGTCAGGCTTTATCTAATCTTTCCATTTGACAAGTTTGTCAATCACCATGTACTCACTTGGGTGGACTCCTGAGAGAATCTCTGATTGAGCTCATTTTTAAGAACTGTTTAGTCCCACTGGGGAAGACATAACATGAAGTTTTTGAGTCCAAAAATTCTGGATTCAAATTGTAGCTCTTCCACTTAGCGGCAGTGTGATTAAAAAACTTGTTTTCCTCTGAGTTTCAGTTTCTTCTGTAAAATAAGAATAATAACACTATTGGGCGCATAGAGTTGTTGTAAGGATTAGTGGGATAATACATGTAAAGCACAACAACAGTACTTGGAATTTATTATTAATAATTCCATAATACATTATTGCTATTGTTATTATTGCTATTTTAATATTGTGCTCAGAAAATGAAGTGTCTAATGACCTTCCTGAAGTATTTCTGTGACTTAGAGTTCCTGGAAAAGAGAAAGGTGAATATCTTCAGTAACTGCTACATTGGGACATGGTTCAGTCAGTTAACAAGTAACTCCTGAGGACTCAAGGGGCTATAGCATAGTATTGTCCTGGAACACTGCTGAATCTTTACCTTGGTCTTCTCATTAGCTATATGGCTGTGCATTTAGTAGCTTCAATAAATGTGGCTGCAAGGAGATGTCAGAGCATGCACTGCCATGGCTCAGTTCAGAGATTTCTGCTGTGTCAGCACAGCAGAGCCCTCAACCACTACACTTCCCTATCACCAACACAGCATTTGCTAAGTAGCTTGGCTCAGAACCATTAGTAGAAAAACCTGAAAGCCCAAGTCTTCCTCCTAGAGCTAGTGCAGGTATTTCTTGATCAGCCTTGAATGGCCTGACCACCAGAGATGCCTGCCTTACCTCATAGAGATTAGCCTCCCTTCAGAGAATTACTAGAGTTTCCCCATACAAGTTAGGTGGTTGTTTGAGGCCCTGTGAAGGAAGGACGTTGCCAATCAGCACACCCACTGGCTAACATAGACTCCAGACTGCACCTGGTGTAGACCAAGTCTTAATTATTTCTAATAATTTTAAATAGAATATCTCATTCTGAGAATATTTATCATGTGCTTAGACATGGTTCTAAACACTTTACATGTATTCCTTTATTTAATGCTCACAAGAAGCCTATGAAGTAGATGCTCAAAGAGGTCAAGTCTTCTGGCTACTTTCCATAGACCTCAGCTGGAATGAGGCTCCTGCAGCTGATTAGTGTCCATCTCAGTTCATTTTGTGCTGCAACAACCGAATACCTGAGATTGGGTAATTTATAAGGAACAGAAATGTATTTCCTCACAGCTATAGAGGTTGGCATGTCCAAGATCAAGGCACCAGCATCTGGTGAGAACCTTACTGCTGTATCACTCCATGGCAGAAGGCAGAAGGGCATGAGAAAGAGAGAAAAAGGGGCCAAATTTGCCCTTTTATAACAAACCCACTCCTGCAATAATGACATTAATCCATTAAAGAGGGTGGAGTCCTCATGGCCTAATCCACCTCTTAAAGGTTTCACTTCTTAATACTGTTACAATGGCAATTAAATCTCAACATGAGTCTTAGGACAAACATTCAAACCATAGCAGTCCCTCAAAGACTCAAATTACACTATATAGGAAATTCTGGTGTAAAGCCATATTCCCTATCCAAACAAACTTCTGTCTACCTATGAACTGAGGGCAACTAAGGTTAAGGTACAAAAAAGGAATCAGAAGTGGTTTTTTTTGTTTGTTTGCTTGTTTCTTTGTTTTTGAGATGGAGTCTCACTCTGTTGCCTAGGCTGGAGTGCAGTGGTGCTATCTTGGCTCACTGCAACCTCCACCTCCTGGGTTTCAAGTGATTCTCCTGCCTCAGCCTCCCAAGTGGCTGGGACTACAGACGTGTGCCACCACGCCCGGCTACCTTTTTGTATTTTTAGTAGGGGCGGGGTTTCACTGTGTTAGCCAGGATGGTCTCGATCTGCTGACCTCGTGATCTGCCCACCTCAGCCTCCCAAAGTGCTGGGATTACAGGTGTGAGCCACTGTGCCCGGCCAGAAGTGTTACTTTTGAAGTGAGTAATGGAAATGATTTAGAGTTTCAGCACTGGCACTATAATACTGAGATAATACGTGTGGAGTATATTAATAAATGAATAAATCATATTAATGGTTTTTCAGCAAAGATTTATGTTAAATGACCCAATACCTAAACAAACAAAAAAGCACATTGGTAAGAAGAGATTTTCACTTTCATTTTGTGGGACCCAGAGCTCAGGAAACAGAGAATAATTATATTGTTTTCCAAACCTCTGCTATGCCCTGAAATGGAAGTTGGAGAAGAACGGAGAACTCAGTAATAGGGAAGCATGATGCTTTGGGCACCTGGATAGTGTGTATCCAATGCAGTAAAGGTGGAAATTGGCTTTTGTCTGTCAAACCAGAAGAGGCCCTTGCAGACTCTTTCTTCCCCACTGGGCCATTGAACATGAAGTTATGAAATGACTGCAGCCCTCCCAGGATCTTGCATCTGGCCAGAAACCCACTGAAAGCCTTGTCTTAATGCTATTTCCTAGGGAAGTACCTTTACAGGCAACTCAGCCCAGCCCTACACTATTAGCTTCAGATGATCTGGGCAACGCAGATTTATCATCCTTAATCTAGTGGTTTAGTCTGATTCCCAGGAAAGAGCTTTGAATCCTGGTTTCAGTAAACATCTTCTCTCTAATCTGTAAGCTATTTATCAAATATGAATGCGCTTTTTGAAATGAGTAACTCATTTCCCTAGCGGTTTTGTTCCGAAAATAATTGAAAGTGACAATACAAAGAATTACACATAGAGTTGAATCATCATAAAGTAAATATAAAGTTGGAACTGCCCTTGGAGGCTCACTGTCTTGTGCATCTTCCTCTCTGAGGAGGCACAGACACTTCCATAGGCAGATCTATGTTCCATTATTGATTAGCTTTTAGACTCTTGTTACATATTATATTAGAATGGTTCTGTGAATAAAGAATGAATAGTCCACCCATACGTATAAACATTTTATGAAAGAGCTTCTAACTTTTTTAAAAGAAACCTCATTTGGGCAAAATTTGAGAAAATAACAGAAGCCATTAAACCCATCTTCTAGGTGACTTCTTACATTTCTATTCTGTTCTTTTCAGAAGGAAGCCAAAGATCACATTTACCCAATTTGGCCTGTAGGTGCACGAGTGTGTGTGTGTGTGTGTGTGTGTGTGTGTGTGTGTGTGTGTGTCTGTGTGCATGTCTGTGTATATGTACCCACCACTTTGAGCAACAATTTGAAACTAAGGCATTAGATGACATTCTAAAGGAGAAAAAATGATGTATGAGACTATTCTTTCTTTAAGATTAGCCATTAAAAGTATAAGGTTGATGTTTAAAGGGGGATTCAAGTTCAAATATTCTCGAGTTTAGCCAAAAACATCTGGCAGCACACTCTTACTACTGCTTCCTCTCCCTCTCCTGCTCTCCCTGAATTTTCCTTTCTTTTTTATGTAAGTGCAACTGCCTCAAAAACTGTATGGGTAAGGGACCAGTGAACCTTGGAAAGTTATGTTGGTTGCCAAAAACAAACCACTGAATGTGGGTCAGTTTATCCAGAGCACTATTTTGGCATTACCCCAACTACAAAATCCTGGTTGCTACACTTACCTCCACTTTACTCATTCTAGAATTTATTCCCACTGGTTATAGCGGCACAGAATATAGCCCTTCAGGCTGCCATTGTTGTCCTCCAATAGAGAAAATAACCTTCCTGACCAGGCACTTGTTGATCAATATCTGAGCTTGTATATGTTTTATATTGTTACTGTAACAAACTACTACACACTTAGAGGCTTAAAACAACAGAAATTTATTGTCTTACAGTTGTGGGGATCAAAAGTGAGACATGGGTATAACAAGTCTAAAGTCATTGTGTTAGTTAGCAGGGCTGTTTCCTTTCTGGAGGGAGACTCTGCTTCCTTACCATTTCCAGCTTCTAGAGACATTCCTTGACTCATGGCCTCTTTTTCCATCTTCAAAGTCAATAGTGTCACCTTTCTCTTACCCTTCTTCCATTGTGACCTTGCTTTCTGATTATGGTCAGGAAAGTTTATTCACTTTTAAAGACTCATGTGATTAAAATGAGGGTCCACCTGGATAATCCAGTACAATCTTCCCATTTCAATGTCATTCACTTTAATCCCATTTGCAAAGTTAACATAGCCATGTAAGGTAATAGGTTCTGGATTTAGGACATAGATATCTGTGGGGGCCATTACTCTGCCTTCTGCAGAGCTCCATCATTTTTTTTCCTTGTGATGGTGGTAATACTAGGAGAACCTCCCTACTTCCATTGGATCTGAAGAAAACAAGAGTTTATTCAATCTAAGAAACTAAAGAAAGAGCCTTCAGTGTTTCAGCCATCATGGTGGTCATTGAGATGCTCACTGTCTACAGCCTATCAGCAAAATGAGAAACTCATCTAGTTGGCTCAGATGAATCTGTACACTCAGGCCCTCTGGTGTTTGGGGTTCATGATACAGCCTGGCTACTTAATAGCTCTTCTTTCCTGAAATGAGAAATTGTTTTTTGCAGAGGTGGAAATTTTCGACTTCCATAAAATTGTACTTTTACAGTTGTCTGTTGTTCACAGATATATAAAGTATGTATACTTTTAACATAAAAACCACATTTTCTTCTGCCAAATTAGCACATACCATGCTTTTGCTTTCACTTGATAAATATATATTTTTATTTAAATGCCTACTAAATAGCAATGCAATTGTACACTGAAGGTAATGGAAAACTTAGCTGAGATGCCATAATCACCTTTTAAGTCAAATTGCTAGGCTTTCACTGAATCATGATTCCATGGCAGTTAAAACAACCGTAGGCGGCTGATGCTGAGAAGATCAATTGCATTTTTCAGCCCAGGGAAGTAATGTATTTGCCCCCCTCAAAAGGTGTTTAAGTAATAAAATATTTCACAATGCAAATTGGCTGCTGAGGTAGGGGAGGCAGTAATTTCCAGTGAGGTTTGGTGTGGGAGTTGATTCAGGCGCTACACTCACACAGACAAATCCAGGCTGCCAAGTCTAGAGCATTAGCAATGTCTTATAAATTTGGGCAGTTCAGAATGTATAATTCAGCCTGAAAAAATAAACAATCCCTTTCTCCCCTTCACTTCCTGTGTAAATAAGGAAAATACTGACTTAGTTGCCTGGATAATTACAGTGCTGTAGGCCTGGCCTCAGGCAGTTTACAGAAGCGCCAGTAATACCATCTGAAAAGTGAAAAATATCAGGCAATCAACTGTTGGCTTTGTCAAATAACTGGTTTAAATGATTTCCTTACTCCTGTCCATTTTGAATTGAAGAGAAAATGTTAATTTGCCAGAGGGGTTCACTGCATACACATTTGGGCTATGGAAGATGCTGACAAGGACACTCCTGAATGTCTGCTATTTTATACAGTGAGCTCTCCTATTCACCCAGTGACTCCCAGCCTTAAAACCAGAGACGACACCGATTCCCTCCTGTTATCCTACTTCATCAAGGAAATTGAAGCCAAGGGGCATGAATTCATCTCAATTTTATGCCCTCTTCCCATCTGCTAAAGTATTCTCTAGGCCCATTCTTACTTGTCTCCCTCTTATTAGTTGTATGAACTCGAACAAGCCATTTTACCTCTGTGAGCCTCAGTTTGCTCATCTGTAAACAGGGAAGATTTGAAGGCACACTATAACAGGTGCTCTAGGGAGTAAGAGTGAAGATGATGATGGGAATGTGATAATGGGACTCTGCTGTGTCTCCTGAGGGAAGGAGGAAAATGGGGTGAGACTGGGGAGTTGCCTGCCTCAGAGAATCTCAGCTTGTGCCTTTCTCCACCTCTCACTTCTCTATCTCATCTCAACTCACTCACTTGAGGGCTTAGATGAGAAAAGGGGGAGGGGGAGGATATAATATAACTCTAGAACACACAATGGTGAACAGTTCTGAGAGAGGTCAAGTTGCCTTTCATGCTTCTTCCTCTCTACTGAGACAAGGAACGTGTATCAACAGATAAGTGGAACCGGAAGCACAACCATAAGTTTCCTAATCTAAACATGCAAACAAAACATGGTTTGTAATCCAGAAGCATTTCTCTACTACCTGGATTCCTTTCAGATTAGTGGATTAGGTGTTCAAATAGAGGCAGGAAAGTCATAGGCTATGGAATCAGTGAGATGTGGTTTGAAGTTCTAGTTCTTCATGTACAAGCCTTTATAATACTGGGCTACTCACTTTACCTTTCAAAGTCTTGGTCATCTTACTTTTACAACGAGAATGAGAATTATAGGGGTCTTAGTCACTTTTAAACATATGGAACTATTATAATAGCTATTGTTGTGTTTTTAAAATAAGCTTTCTTAGAATAGTTTTAGATTTAGAGAAAAATTACAAAGATAGTAAAAAGAGCAATCATGTATTCCACATCAATTTTCCCCTATTGTTAACATCTTACACTAGTATGACATATTTGTTACAACTATTGATCTAATATCAATACATTATTATTACTAAGGTCCATATTAATTTTCTTAGGTTTTTTTTTTTTTTTTTTTGAGATGGAGTCTCGCTCTGACACCTAGGCCAGAGTGCAGTGGTGCAATCTTGGCTCACCGCAATCCCCGCCTCCTGGGTTCAAGCAATTCACCTGCCTCAGCCTCCCAAGTCTTAGTTTTTACCTAATGTTATTTTTCTGTTCCAGGATCCCATCCGGGGTTACATTTCATTGTCATGTCTCCTTAGGTTCCTCTTGGCTGTGGCAGTGTCTCAGGCTTGACTTATTTTTGATAACCTTGATGGTTTTATGGAATACAGATAGTCCCCAACACAATGGTTTGACTTAAGATTTTTTATATTTATGATGGTGCAAAAATGATATAGAGTCAATAGAAACTGTACTTTAGTACAGTATTCAATGAATTACATGAGTTATTTGATACTTTATTATAAAATAGATCTTGTGTTATATGATTTTACCTAACTGTTGGCTAGGATAAGCTATGATGTTCCATAGGTTAGGTGTGTTAAATACATTTCAACTTAATATTTTCAACTTATGATGGGTTTATTGGAATATAACCCCATCATAAATTGAGGAGCATCTGTATTGGTGAGGTATTTTGTTGAATGACCATAAACTGGGAATTGTCTGATTTTTTTTCATAACTAGATTGGTATTATGGGTTTTGGGGAGGAAAGCCACAGAAGTAAAGTGCCATTTTCATTACATCATCTCAAAAGAACATGACATCACCATCTGCCATCCATTTACTTATTTTTTTCAATCCCATTCTACATGTACAATGGTTTCAGAATTTTTCATCCATACAGTAAAAAACAACTTCGCCAGTACAGTTCTTTTTGTCTTTAGACTTAACATCTCTACTTATTTCCAAAGTTGCTTAAGTCAGCAAATTTTCCCCTACCCCTTTTAGTGTGGTTATGTCACACATTTCTAATACAACTAGATTATTTTGTCACAGTCTGCCAATTTGGGTTCATAATCTCCCAAATGATTTTCTAAATGTACATACATTAAGATTCATACTTTGTACTTGTGTGGTGATTGACAAATACAGTGTCATGTGCCCACAACTACAATATAATACAGAGTAGTTGCACCACCCTAAGAAATCCCATAGGCTTCACCTATTCAATCGTACCCCCATCCCAAACCTCTGGCAACTATTGACCTGTTTTCTGACTTTATTTTGTCTTTTCCAGAATGTCATATAAGTGGAATCATATTGTGCATATTCATTTTAAACTGGCTTCTTTTACTTAGCAAGATGTATTTAAGATTCATCTATGATTTTGTGTGGCCTGACAGCTCATTCCTTTTCGTGATTATATAGTATTCTATTATATGGATGTACTACAATTTGTTAATTCATTTGATAATTGAAGATATCTTGGCTGCTCCCAGTTTTTGCTGATTATGGTTAAAACTGCTATAAATATTCATATGCAGGTTTTCTGTGTAAACATAACTTTTCAAGTCAGTTGGGTAAATACCTAGAAGCACAATTGGATTTTATGGTAAGACTATATTCAGCTCTGTAAGAAACTGCCAAGCTGCCTATCAACGTGGCTGTACCAGTTTGCATTCCTACCATCAATGAATGAGAGTACATGTTGCTCCACATCCTCACCAGAAATTGGTAATATCTGTTTTTTGGATTTGGGTCTTCTAATATGCATGTAGTGGTATCTCATTGTTGTTGTAATTGGCAATTCCCTAACAACAAAAGATGCTGAACCTCCTTTCACGTGTTTATTTGTTATGTGTACATCATCTTTGGTGAGATATTTGTTCAGATGCTTTGTACATTTTTAAGTTGGGTGGTTTGATTTCTTATTGTTGAATTTTAAGTGTTCTTTATGTATTTTGTATACAAGTCCTTTATAATTCTGTGACTTGTCTTTTGATTCCCCAAACAGTGTCTTTTATGGAGTAAATTTTAAAAATTTCAGTAAAGTCTAACTAATGCATGTTTTATTTCATAGACCATGTTTTTGGTGTTATACGAAAAAATTATCACCAAACCCAAGGCCATGCTGATTTTCTCCTGTATTCTTCTAGAAGCTTAAAGGTTTTGCATTATGAACTTATCTTCTCATTTTTAAAATGTTTTGCATTTCACATTTATGTCCTTGATCCATTTTAATTTTTTTTTTAATTTAGGGTGTAAGGTCTGTGTCCAAGTTCTTTTATTTCTTTTTGCTTATGAATCCCAAGTTGTCCCAGCTCCATTTGTATTCTTTTAAACTGGCTTCTTTTACTTAGAAAGATATATTTAAGATTCATCCATGATCTGTATTCTTTCTCTGTTTGTATTCTTTCTTTATCAAACTGCCTTTGTGCTTTGGAAAAAATCAGTTGACTATAATTGTGTGTTTCCATTTCTGATCTCTCTACTTGGCTTTATGGATCCATATGCCTATTTTACACCAATACCACACTGCCTTGATTGAAGTTGTTCTGTAGAAAGTTTTGAAATTGGGTAATATGAGTCATCCATCTATATTTTTCTTTTTCAGAATTGTGATGGTTATTATAGGTCATTTGCTTTACATATAAGTTTTATAATCAGTTTGCCAATATGGTTTCTTTTTTCTTTTTTTTTTTAAAAAAGAAGCCCTTCTAAGAGTTTAAATGGGATTGTGTTGAATTTGCAAATCAAATAGGGAAGAACTGATATCTTTACAATAGTGAGTCTTCTATTCATGGATTATCTCTCAATTTTTTTGTATATTTGATTTATTTCATCAGTGTTTTGTAGTTTCCTGAGCTCAGATATCAAACGTATTTTGTTAAATTAATACCTTAGTATTTCATTTTTGCTATTATTATAAGTAATATATTTTAAAATTCAAATTCCAATTGTCCATTGCTGATATATAGGAAAGCATTTGACTTTTGTATATAGACTTGTACCCTGCAATCTTGATATACTCACATTAGTTCCAGGAACATTTTTTAATTTGTTTGGGCTTTCTACATAGAAAATCATGTATCTTCAAAGAAAGACACTTTCCTTTCCAATCTGTACACATTTTATTCCTTTTACTTATCTTATTGCACTAGCTAGGACTTCCAGTTGTCTTAGGACTTCCTATTCCTATGTTGAATTGGAGTGGTGAAAAAGGATACCGTTGCCTTGTTTCTTATCTTAAGAAGAAAATATTCAGTCTCTCTCTATTATGATGTTAGCTGTAAGTTTTTCACATATACTCTTTATTAGCATAAGGAAATTCCCTTCTTTTCCTAGCTTTTGAGAGTTTTTATTATGAATATGTATAGAACTTCGTCAGATGCTTTGTCTGCATCTATAGTTATAGCCTCATTGTTTTTCCTATTAATGCTGTTAATATGTTGAATTGCATTGACTGATTTATTAATGTTGAACCAGCATGTATTTCTGGAATGAACCCCACTTGTTTATAATGCATTATCCTTTTTATATATTGCTGGATTTTATTTGCTAGTATTTTGTTTGGAATTTTTTGCATCTGTGTTCAGGAGAAATAGTATGTAATTTTCTTTTCCTAAAATGGCTCTGCATAATTTTCATATTAGAGTAATTCTGGCCTCAGAAGATGAGTTGGGTAGTGTTCCTTCTGCTATTTTCTGGAGGAGATTGCGTAAAATTGATATTAAGTCTTCCTTAAGTTTTTTGTAGCATTCATGAAAAAAGACATCTGGGCTAGATGGTTTACTTGTTTGCTATGGAATGTTTTAAACTACTAATTCAATTTATTTTCATAGATTTAGCACATCCAGGTTATCCACTTCTCATTGAGTGAATATTCTTGGTTTGTGTCTTCCAAAAGATTGGTTCATTTTATCTAAATTATCAGCTTTATGTGGACATAGAGTTGTTCATAGTGTTCTCATATTATCTTATTTAATATTCATAAAATCATTAGTGATGAAACTTTTTTCATTCTTGATGTTGGTAATTTGTGTCTTCTCTCTTTTGTCTTCATTGGCCTAGCTAGAGGCTTGTCAATTTTATTGATCTTTTCAAAGAACCACCTTTTGGTTTTGCTGATTTTCTCTCTTGTTTTTCTGTTTTTTTATTTCATTGGTTTCTGGCTTAATATTTATTATTTTCTTTCTTCTGCTTACTTTAGTTTATTTTTTAATTCACTCTCTATTTTCTATAGTAGGATCTTGGGATTATTAATTTTAGATCATTTTTATTTTCTAATATTTGCAAGTAATTCTATAAATATCTCTCTAAGCACTGTTTTAGCTGTATCACACAAATTTGATAAGATATATTTTCATTTTCATTCTGTTTAATAAATCTTTAACTTTCTCCAGACACTTCTTTTTTGACCGATGATTTATTTAGAAATGTGTAGTTTACCAAACATTTCAGACTTTTCCAGCTGTCTTTTTGTTATTACTTTCTAATTTAGTTACATTTTTGTCAGAGGACATATTTTATATAATTTCTATTTATTTAGATTTGTTAATGTGTGCTTTATGACCAATAATGTTATCTATCTTGGTGAATGTTTCATGTATACTTCAGAAGAATGTGTATTCTTTTATTGGATGGATTCTGCTATAAATGTAATTTAGATCAAGTTGATTGATTGATAGTACCGTTCGGGTCATATTTATCATTACTGATTTTCTGCTTCCTAGATCTTGCAATTAATGACAGAGAGGTGTTGAAGTCTCTAATTGTAATGGTGGACTGATTATCTATTTCTTCTTTTAGGTCTATCAGATTTTACCTCATGTATTTTGATACTCTGTTACTAGGTGCATACATGTTAGGAATTGTTACGTGTCTTTGGAAAATTTACCTTTTAACGTTATGTAATGTTCCTCTTAATCCCTGTTAATCTTCATTATTCTAAAGTTTGCTTGTCTAAAATTAAGAGAGCTACTCCAGCTTTCTTTTGATTAGTGTTC
Source organism: Homo sapiens (assembly GCF_000001405.40). Taxonomy (NCBI): domain Eukaryota; kingdom Metazoa; phylum Chordata; class Mammalia; order Primates; family Hominidae; genus Homo; species Homo sapiens. Next base: position 149,050,034 of record NC_000023.11, read on the forward strand.
ACATAAGGTAACTTTCTTCATCTTTACTTTTAACCTATTTGAATCTTCATAATTAATTTTATAAACAATATGCACTTTACCTTTCTATTTAAAATTTATTCTGACAACTTCTGCTCTTAACTGGCATATTTAGAGAATTCATATTGGCAGTGGTTATTGATCTACCATTTTTGCAAATATTTTCTTTTTATTTATTTCTTTTTCTCCCTCTCTTTCTGTTTTCTCTAGTTTTAGGTGAGCATTTTATATGATTCCAATTTATTCATTTTATTTGCATATAATTTATACATGATTTGTAAAAAATTTTAGTGTTGTCCTATGGTTTATAATATATATTATTAAATAAATAATCTATGCCCTCAAACAACACTATACCAGTTCACATAGAATACAGGTATTTTAGGCTGGGCATGGTGGCTCACGCCTGTAATCCCAGCACTTTGGGAGGCCAAGATGGGCGGATCACGAGGTCAGGAGATCGAGACCATCCTAGCTAACACGGTGAAACCCCGTCCCTACTAAAAAAATACAAAAAATTAGCCGGGCGTGGTGGCAGGTGCCTATAGTCCCAGCTACTAAGGAGGCTGAGGCAGGAGAATGGCATGAACCTGGGAGGCGGAGCTTGCAGTGAGCTGAGATTGCGCCACTGCACTCCAGCCTGGGTGACAGAGCAAGACTCTGTCTCAAAAAAAAAAAGAATACAGGTATTTTATAGCAGAGTAGTCTCGTGTTCTTTGTTCTATCTCTTATGACATCGCAGTAATTCGCTTAACTTATCCATTTGCTATAAACATTCAATAAATTGTTATTATTATTGCTTTAAATGAGCATTTATCTTTTACCAATTAAGAATAAGAAAGATATTGCAGTGAGAAAAGGATAGTCTCTTCAATAAATGGTTTTGGGAAAACTGGATAACCACATGCAAAAGAATGAAATTAGACACTCATCTCACGCCATACAAAAATCAACTGAAAATTGATTAAATACTTAAGCATAAGACAAGAAACAGTAAATCTACTAGAAAACACTAAAAAAACTACATGACATTGGTCTGGGAAGCTATTTTTCAGATTTGATCCCCCAAGTTGAAGCAATAAAAGCAAAAATAGACAAACAGAATCACATCAAATTGCTGGACATGGTGGCTCATGAATGTAATCCCAGCACTTTGGGAAGCCAAGGTGGGAGGACTGCTTGGGGCCAGAACTTTGAGACCAGTCTAGGCAACACAGTGAGACCTTGCCTCTATAAAAAATTTAAAAACTAGCCGGGCGTGGTTGTGCATGCCTGTAGTCCCAGCTACTTGGGAGGCTGAGGCAAAATGATTGCTTGAGCCCAGGAAGTCAAGGCTGCAGTGAGCCATAATTACCCCACTGCACTCCAACCTGAGCAACAGAGTGAGACGCTGTCTCAAAAAATATATATATATATATATCAAACCAAAAGGCTTCTGCAAAGGAAACAATTAGGAATGAGGAGAGACAGCCTATGAATTGGGAGAATATATTTGCAAGCCATACATCTGATAAGAAGTTGTATGAGAAATTCCAACAACTGAATAGCAAGAATACAAAAAATCCAATTAAAAAATGAGCAAGAGACTTGAATAGACATTTCTCAAAAGAAGACATACAAAGAAACAACAGATGCCGAAGAGGTTATGGAGAAAAAGGAACGCTTTTACACTGTTGGTAGAAATGCATTAGTTCAACCAATGTGGAACACATTGTGAATGTGGTGATTCCCCAAAGATCTAGAAGCAGAAATACCATTTGATCCAGCAAACCCATTACTGGGTATATACCCAAAAGAATATAAATCATTCTGTTATAAAGATACGTGCACATGTATATTTATTGCAGCACTATTCACAATAGTGAAGACATGGAATCAACCCAAATGCCCATCAATGATAGACTGGATAAAGAAAATGTGGTACATTTACACCATGGAATATTATGCTTCCATAAAAAGGAATGAGATCATGTCCTTTGCTGGGACATGGATGGAGCTGGAAGCCATTATCGTCAGCAAACTAACGTAGGAACAGAAAACCAAACACCATGTTCTCACTTATAAGTGAGAGCTGAACAATGAAAACACATGGACACATGGTGGGGTACAACACACACTGGGGCCTGTCCTGAGGGTGGGGGGAGGGAGAGCATCAGAAAGAATAGCTAATGGATGCAGGGCTTAATACCAGGAGAGGGGTTGATCTGTGCAGCAAACCACCATAGCACATGTTTACCTATGTAAAGAACCTGCATATCCTGCACATTTACCCTGGAACTTAAAATAAAAGTTAATGAAAAAAGAAGAAGACATACAATGAGCAATAGATATTTTTTAAAATGCTCAACATCACTAATATTAGGAATATGCAAATTAAAACCACAATGAGATATTATCTTACACCTGTCAGACGGCAATTATCAAAAAGACAAAAGATAACAAGTGTTGGCAAGGATGTAAAAAAGGGAACTCTGTACATTGTTGATGGGAATGTAAATTAGTACATCCATTATGGAAAACTGTATGGAAGTTCCTCAAAAAACTGAAAATAAAACTTCCATATGATCCAGCAACTCCACTGCTGAGTATATATTCAAATGGTATATCAAAGAGATAGCTGCATTCCCTTGCTTATTGCAGCACTATTCACAACACTAAATTACAGAATCAACCAAAGTGCCCACCAACAGATGAATGGATAAAGAAAATGAGGTATTATATGCAATGGAATACTATTCAGCCTTAAAAAGAAGGAAATTCTGTCATTTGTGACAACATGGATAAAATTGGAGAACATTATGCTAAGTGAAATAAGCCAGGCACAGAAAGACAAAATACACATGTTCTCACTCATATGTGGAATCCAAAACAAACTTACAGAATCAGAGAGTAAAATGGTGGTTACAGAGACTGGTAGGGAGAACTGGGAGATGATCGCCAAAGAGTACAAAATCTCAGAGAAGAATGAAGTATTTTTTGAGATCTATTGCACAGCGTGGTGAATATAGTTAATAATAGTGTATTTTACATTTCAAAATTGCTAAGAGTAAATCTAAAATATTCTCACTATAAAAAGTAAGTACTCTAGGTGATTGATATGTTAATTAGCTTGATTTAATTATGCCATATTTTAAAAATAAATTATAATATCACTTTGTACCCCATAAATATATACAATTATAAATTATCAATTCATAACAAAAAAATAAGAAAAATGAAAGATTTTATTTTACCTTCATGTATTCATTTTATGACACTCTTCCTTCCTTTATGTAGAATCTAGATTCTGTCCAATATCATTTGGCTTCTGTGTGAATAACTTTTAATATTTCTTGCATAACAGGTCTGCCAAGAGTGAATTCCCTGAATTTTTGTTTATATAAGAATGTCTATTTCTCTTTCAGTTTTAAAGGATAATTTTGCTGAACATAGAATTCTATGTTGGTGGTTTGGGAGAAAATTCATCATTTAAAGTGTACAATTTAGTGGTTTTTAGTATATGCATAGCTTTTGCAACCATCATCACTGCCTAATTCTAGAAAATTTTCATTACCTTAAGAAGAGACACAATAAGACTACTGGTTAGCAGTCACCTTCCTTCCACCTCCCCCTGTCCTAGGCCCTGGCATCCACTAATGTATTTTCTGTCTCTATAGAATTGCCTAGTATGGATATTTCATATGAGTGTAATCACACAATATATAGCTTTTTGTGTCTGTCTTCTTTAAATTAACATAATTATTTCAGAACTGTAGCATGTTGTAGCATGCATCAAAACTCCAGTCCTTTTATGGCCAGATAATATTTTATTGTACGGATATACCAAGTTTCGTTTATTCAGTTGATGGATCTTTGGGTTGCTTTCACTTGTTGGTTATTAGAAATAATGCTGCTATGAACATTTGTGTTCAAGTCTTTGTGTATGCATACGTTTTCAGTTTTCTTTGGTAGACGCCTAGGAGTGGAATTTCTGGATCATATGATATCCCTATGTTAACTTCCTAAGGAAATTCCAAAATATTTTCCACAGAGATTGCACCATTTTACTTTCCCACCAGCAATGTATGAAAGTTTCAATTTCTCAACATCCTTGTCACACTTGATGTTTTCTGTTTCTTCATCATAGCCATCCATGCAGGTGTGTAGTGCTTACTTACATTCCTATATCTTTTTCAATGAATTGGCTGTACAAATCTGTTGTCTATTTTTTTATGTTGTTGTCTTCCACATATTTTGTGAGATATATCCCTAAGTATTTCATACGTTAATGCTAGTGGAAATGCCTTTACTTTTTAAAAATATTTTGATTATTTGTCCTAGTATATTTAAAAATGAATTTATATATTGATTTTTATCTTGCAACTTTGCTAAAATCACTTACCAGTTTTAGTAGTTTTTTTGTAGATTTCATTGGATATTCTACATAAATGATCAAGCCATCTGCAAATAAACACAGTTTTAGTTCTTTTCCAAACTTGATGCTTCTGATACTGTTTTATAGTCTAATTTCATGGCCAGAACTTCAGTAAAACGGAAGTGAACAGCTTTTTCTTGATCCTTACATTGGAATTAAAACATTCAGTCTTCTACCATAAAGTATGATGTTACCTACTGGGTTTTTTAGATGCTCTTCATCAGTTTGAGGAAATTTTCCTTCTATCTCTAATTTGATGAGAGTATTTTTAAAGTAAAGAATATGTATTGGATCTTATCAAATTATTCCTCTGCATTTATTGAGATGATCATAAAGCTTTTCATTTTTAGTTTTTTAATAATATGAATTACATTGATTTTCAAATGTTTAACCAACCCTTCTGGTCTCACTTGATCATGGTACATTGATTTTTTATGTACTGATGGACTCTGTACTTCATTCTAGGTATTTTCTATATGTCATCAACAACACAAATTTCTCCTTCTGCCATGCCTAATTTGCTGTTAATTCCATCCACTGTGTTTGTCACCTCAGACACTATAGTTTTCATCTCCATAAGATCATTTGGGGTCTATTTTATGATTTCCATGTCTCTACCTATTTTTTGGACATATGAAATACAGTTGTTGTAACTATTTTGATGCCCTGTCTGATAATTCTGAAATGTGTGCTAGTTCTGGGTCAGATTTGATTTCTCAAGGTAATTTTCATTTGATTTTTCTTAACTTAGTGAGGTTAAACATCTTTTAATATGGTTAAGACTGGTTCTATATCTTTTTTGTAAATTGTCTGCTCATGTCTTTTTTCATATTTTTCTATAAGGTTTTTGGTATTTTATTTCAACAATTTTTAAAGTTTTTACATGTTAGTGATATTAATGATCTAGGTTATAAATTTTCTCCAGTTTTTCAGTTGGCTTTTGAATTTGTTATGGTGGTTTTGTTCTGCTTTTTAAAATTTTAAGCAGTGTGATGCATCTTGGGTGAGTATACAACCAGCAGACACCAGAAAGTAAGTGCTGCAAAGGAAATCATGGGAAGCCCCGCTAACCCCAAAGGTTGTATGCTCAGGGGACTTCAGGCAGGCCGAATCCGCTAGTTGATCAGAAATATAAGACCTATGGATAACTTCACAATCTCTTTTCCCTTTCCTTCAGGGCCAAAAATTTGAGTTGGAGACCCTCTAACTAGGGAGCTACATGGATATAAATTAATCACACAGTGCCCCATCCAAGAAACTGGAAGCTTGTTAGAGCTATTCATAAAAATGAATTCTACCAGTATATCAACTTGCCTCCTGTGAGGCAAGATCCCAGGAAGGTAGGATGCTAACAGTGACAGCAATAAAATAAGGTGAGAAAAGCATCTGGCTTGTGAGGACACATTTTCAGAAGACCTTTGCACCTAAAGGTCACACACCTCTGCTAAGGCAAGCTCCTCCATGGGAATACTCATCAGTCTTAGGTGGGAGTTTTCTGCATGCAATCTCCCAACATAACTTCTGGCATATGAATATCTGCCTCATCTCTCCTACGCTGTTAAAACCCAAGTCCAGTACTACATCTGCTGAGATGACCATGACCCCAAGGTTTGAGATGAGATAAGGATACCCAGTGAAGCAAGTCTGTTTACTGAACACAGACTAAGGTCAGTGATTTCAGAATGGATTATGAAAAACTGAGGAGAGTTGCATGGATGTTGGGAAAAGGAGATGGGATGGAAAAGTTTTCTGGTGGTAGCCATGAAGTGAGAAGTCTTCCATGTGCATAAGATAAAATTTTAGTAGGAAAATGGATGATTTATGTCTCCACAGACACTTAAATATGGCCACATCACCATGGGTGGATTGTAAGTAAGACATACAAAAACTAGGTAATGGTGAAGAATGGTAGAAAACAGAATGTAACACTGAATGGGGTGGCTGTGGAGAAAGGCTCAAAAGAGACATCCTCTCCTTGCCACGTGGTCCACCAGAAATAACATGGGAAGATAAGGACTGTGACAGGTAAGTCTGGAAGCTCTTTTGGGGGTACGAAAGAAGTGCTCCGTTTCTCCAACTAGAACATTATGACTTCCCTCACATTACCCCTTCCACATTACCCCTTCCCGTAATAAGTTGTCAGGATAGTGCATTTGATATCTAAGCCTCTCTCCCTCGACCACCCAGGACTACCATTGGCTGGGCTGGGTAGTGGCTTACTGACCAATCAAAGCTCAGGGGTGAGGCTTGTCACTGTCCCGGGAGGGGTATATATAGGAAGAGCAGGCAGGCTGAGGTAGACCATTGAGACACACAGACATGGTGAAGATGACCAGGACACCATGAGCTTCCAGCCCAGTTGTGGAACAACCACCTGCGGACACCAAAGAGCCAAGGAAGAGGGAGGCCCATTCTCAACCAAAGTCCAAAAGTCCTATCAAGGTGAGGAACCCACCCAAGCTCCTCCTTGTCTTCCCCTTGACTCCTCCCTCCCAAGACTCCTACCCTGTTCTCGCCTGACACAACCCCCGCCCCAGACTGTACCGCTTCTCATGAAGCCCCTGTTCCCACCCCTCCTCCATCTACTTCCTTAAAACAGATGCCCTTCTGTGATCTCCTTGTTGTCCTTCCAGGTTCCCAAGACTACCCGAAGGAAAAAGGAACCCTTTGAGGAAGTTCCAAGAAAAAGGCCACTCCCTAAAAGACCACCTCTTTAAGAAAACATGAGAAAGAGAGCAGGCCAACAGTATCTGGCCACTGTGACCAGCTGAATGAGGAGCTCAGTTAAAATGAGCCACAGCAGGACCAAAAAAGTGAGGAGACCTCCACCATCTGCAGTGTCTCCCTGGACAGCTAGTAATTTCAGGGCAAGGCCAGAGACCTCAGATCTATCTGAAAAGTCTCCAGAGGTCTGACCCCAGATAAATAGCCAACAGGGTCTAGAGTACATTCTATACCCCACTGGGTACGCCCCATGGTGATGAAAATAAAATAAACCTGTTGTAAAATGATTTGTGTGTCTGCATGTTCTAGGATGGTGGAGAGGGAGGAAGGAGGGAAGAGGTGCTGTATGGGAAGGGAGGGAAGTGGATTCTGTGGGGTTGGGGTCAGACCGACAGGTCCACAGTTAACCAGACACGGCAGATAATGATTAGGTAAGTGCTGAACACTGAAGACAAATTTCCTACTGAACATTTTCACCTATGGGTAAGGTGGAAAAGGACTTGGTATCTTTGCCTGTGGGGTTGGGGGGCAGACCCAGATGAGATGTGATGTGTGGGGTGACAATGACACTCCCCCAAAAAAGGCAGACAACAAAATAAACTGCAGGCCACCTACCTGATAATGGTGCTTGTTGCACTCTACCCTATGATGTAAGCACCTAAAGGCCTTCAAAAAACCCCAAATATCTTACCCTTCTAAAAGTTAGTCCAAAGAATTAAAATAGTGGTGTTTCTGGAGATGTCATACATAACACTGATTATGCAACTTTCTTGCTAAGAAAAGGGGCGGAGTAGTGGATGAACAAGGGAGTAGCAGTTGGGGGTAGTGGTGTGCGTTCCACGCAGGCAATAAAATAAAGCACTATCTGCAGAGGTTTTGTTTTCTTTTCTTTTGTTTTGTTTTTTCTGTAAACATAAACCCCAAAAAAGTTATTGCTGTTTTTAATTATCACCTTCATACTCCAAAATTTTTGAATAATGTCAGATGTCAGTGACGAAATACTCTCCACTCCCCACAAAGTCTTTTGGTGGTCTAAGTTCTAGAAGTTTGGTGTGATTTATGTTGTATGTATATGTGTATGTGTATGTGTGTTTGTGTGTGTATATATATGAATGAAATTATTTCATGTTACCACATTCTTAGCACTTATCCCTTAAAAACCAATGTATTCTTCAAGCGAGTTAATTTGGAGAGCTCCCTGTTATACAGATTGGCCCCCAACCCTGGCTGACAGTTACCACTGCTCCTTTCTGTAGCAAGTTTCTAATGGTTTGAAATGGCTTTAGGTCACTTTCAGTGCAATCCCTGTCTTCAATTCCTGTGTTGATGTGTGGAATACCTATATCTTATGTTGAAACAGTAGATTATAAACAAACAATGATAGCACAAAGATTGTAAGGGTTTACACTACCACATTAACTTGTTTTTATTTATGTTTAAATCAGCAAAACGGTGTGAACTCTTAGGTGCAAAGTTTTGCTTGAGAAGTCCAAGATTTTCCTGTATTCGAGCATAAAATATTTTATACTTATTTTGAAAAAGTCTTCATTTTTCAAAAATAAAAAAATAAAAATAAAGCAGAATTTATTCTTCTTTAATTGTTAGTTACTTATTTTAAGACTATAGAACAAAGCAGGAAAATAAAGCATTACATTACCTGTGGTTACTTAAATTGTACCCTTTGCAGATGTTTTGGTTGCCTTAAAATATTTTTACTGCCTTAATTATAAATAAAAGTCAATAAAATAAATTTTAAAATATGTATATATTTGAAGCATTATTATTATTTTCCTTATATTATTGAAAATTTGTTCAATTAAGGAGAGAGTGTTAAAAAAATACTACTTTCTGGTATGGAATGCATTGTGTATGCTACTGGTGGGAGACTTTTTTTGCCAAAACGTTTTTTAATTCACCTGTAGTGTCCAGGCTTTATTTTGTATTTTTGCTGAGACCTTTCCCTTCAATTCCTGCTTTACTAAGAGTTTCTATAAGGAATGATTGTTGGATTTTGTTAAATGTTCATTCTGCATCTATTGTTTTCTTTTTTAGTTTGTTAATAAGGTAAATTACATTGACTGATTTTCAAATGCTTAAGCAACCCTACATTCCTGGGAAACGCTTCACTTGATCATGGTGTATTATCCATTTTATATATGGATGAGCTCTGTGTCTCATTCTAGGTGGCTTCTACTGCTATGTCTTCAAGGTCCACAAGCCTTTCCTTCTGCTACATCTGCTATGTCTAATTTACTGTTAATGTTATCAAATGTATTTTTCATCACAAATGCTAGTTTTTATTTCTATAAGCACAAGCTAGGTGATATTTATGTCTCCCATAATTCTACTATACTGTTTGAACATATAGAATTCAGTTTTAATAACCATTTTAATGTCTTTGTCTAATTCTAAAATCTGTCAGTTTGGAGACAGTTTCCATTTCTCAGGATAGGTTTTTAAAATTTAAATTCAATGTTTCTTTCATTTTAAATTAGTCGTAGTCTTCTAAGGCTACTATAAGAAAATGCCATAAATTGGATGGCTTATAAAGATGGATAGTTATTTCTCACAGTTCTAGAGGCTGAGAAATCCAATTTCAAGGCAACAGAAGATTTGGTGTCTGTTGAGGGCCTGCTCCCTGATTCATAGTCAACTGTCTTCTTGATGTGACTTCAGATGATAGAAAGAGCAAGGAGGGTCTCTCTCTCGGACCTCTTTTATAAAAACACTAATCCCATTCATAATGGCTCCACTCTCAGGACCTAAACACCTCCCAAATGCTCCACTTCCTAATACCATCACCTTAGGTGTTAAGATTTCAACTTATGAATTTTAGGGGGACACGCATATTCAGTGTATTGCACTTAACTTAGTAAGGTTAACCAGCCTTAAATGTGGTTAAGGACTATTTCTATACCTACTTATGAATTGCCTGCTCATGTCTTTTTCATATTTTTCTATTAGATTTGGGTCCATTGTCCAAAAATTTGTCAGTCTTTAAAATTAAGGATATTAGCCCTCTAAGCTACACATATTTGCAGACCTCTACATTACAATTTTCCCCCAATTTGTCAGTTGTCTTCTGATTTATTTCATGTTGTGTTTTGCTTTTCCTTCTAAAATTTTAAGAAATGTAATGCATTTTGAGTGAGAAGGCAATCAGTGGACACCAGGAAGTAAGTGCTTCACAGGACACCCTGGGAAGCCCCACTATGCCAAATAGGTGTGTGCTCAGGTGAGGACCACAAACTGGCTCAATTTGCTAGTCAATTAGGAACCTAAGGGCTGGGGTAAACCCCACCATGCCTTTCCTCCAGGTCCATAAACCCAAATGAGAGATCCTACTTGGGGAGCTATATGGACAGGACTTGATCACATAGTGTCTCCTTCAGGAAGCTGGAAGCTTGTTATAACTAGAGCCAACTTCGTAAGCATGCAACCTATATACTCGCACAGGGCCTGAAGCTTAGAAGGGCTCCGTGTACTTGATTTAATGCTCTACTGTAGGAGTCTTGAATTTTGTAATAATTTTTGAACAGAAGTCATATTTTCATTTTACACTTGCCTTGAAAATTATGTAATTGGTTTCTTCCCCACCCTCAGGCTTCTAGAATCGGTATTTCTGTGGTGAGTGCTAGACCTAGAAGTAAAAAGGCTTCAGTCTCATTGCTCTACTACTTCCCAGCTGCAAATAATTCTGTGACTTTTTCCTCCTATTTCACATGGGAAACACATAAAGACATAGAAAACAAATATGTTCCTCAGGATACTCCCCCCAGGAGGTCCTCATGCTGGCCTGTTGCGACTTCCAATCTGGCATGCATGCAAAACCAAGACACCAGCTGTTGGAGTCTCCTGTCTCCATCAGGAAAACTCATATGGAACTTGTTCTTTCACTTTCCAGTTGAACTTATACCTTGAAACCACAGGCAGCCTGGCAAGTAGGCAATATGGACTGACTCCCGGGAGTTGAAATCCTTGAATACTTTTCACTTCTAAGTTCTGAAATGAGGCCATGATCTGCTGGAGTATTGTGGTATCCTTTGCCTCTGAGTCAGAAGAAAGGAACTGGCAAAGGCTTTGTAGGTTGTCAGGACATCAAAAGTTCCTTATGACCTTTTTGTAATTGTAAAGGATTCAGCAAGATTTGGATGAGATTTTGCCTCAAGCACTTACAGATTCTACCATGAGGAAAAAGTGATCAGCAAAATATGTTGGTCAGATATCAAAAGCAGCAGCATATAGATGACCCCAGATGAAACCTCACTTTTCTTTCCCAGGTATGGATCAAGCCAAATGAAAGTGCTTTATCTGTTTTGGAAACCTGGATTTTCACCATCTGGTCCAACAGTCATGGAAATCTGAGAAAGCAGATTTCAAACACTAGTGACCACATATTCTGGAGAATGAAACATTCAGGGCACCACAGGCAGCTTTTTTCATACCTTCGTTTTCTAACTTGTTAGCTAAAAGAGTTCTTACCTGCCATAAAAGCCATGTCATCTATGTATTTCATAGATGTTTCAAGTTAATAGTGACCCAAGTACAGCAAAAGGGCATTTTGTACCTTTTAGGAATTGCCTAAAGGTGTTCCTTTCTGCATTGCCTCTTGTGCTAAGCTTCTTCCAGGGCTGAAGATGAGCATGAGGGTCCCACTTCCTACGTGTCTTGTGGCATGACAGCTCCAAACCATACCAGCATTCCCATGTCCCCTTACATTCAGGCAACTTTTAAAAATGGGATGACCAGGAACTGCTGAAATTTGGAGGGAGATTGATTGTATTCATTCTGTGTGTTTAGAGGTGAAGCATTAGGACAAATTGGCTTGGCAGTTGTGGGACAGGTACCTACCATTGCCAAGACACTTCAATTCTGACCTGTGACAGAGTTCTTGGGAGAGCTAGCTGAATCAATCTCCCAGGCCTTTATTTGTGACATGTAGTGATAGAGGCTCATTCACAGGTGACAAAGATCTAAGCATGCTTGGCGAATGGAGTACTGGCTGGTCTGCCATGTGAAACAATGGAAGCAATCACTTTAGGGGTGCTTTAACTCTTTAGGCCCCTATGATATAATTTGGTGGTTACCTGATTCGTGAGCCACTAATGTCCTGATTTTTCACCAATAGAAGCAGACCCCTTATTTTGAAAAGACTGCTAAACACCGATTATCAGGCAATGATCTCTGAGGCAGGCTGCACCAGTAGCAGTTCCCAGCCCTCGTCCCAGCTTTCTCTCATTGGAGAGATCAGTATCCAGAAGTATACGACTCTCTGAAGTGAAACAGGTTCTAATCCGAAATAAGTAAACATATTTCCTCTTAACAAATAAAAATGCTTCAAACTGAGAAGGCAGAAAGGCAAACACAATTCCCTTTCAAAGACAAACAAAGCCTTCAAATTATGTGGTTCAACACGGTGTCTTTAAAGATCTTACACCACTTCTGCAATGTGCAAAATTGCTGTATATAAAAAACGTAACATGCAAAAAAAGTTTTAAATTATAATCCAACTCACACCCATTAGGATGGCCTTCAAAAAAACAAAACAAAACAAAAGAGAAAATAACAAGTGTTGGCAAGGATGAAGAGCAAAGGGAATACCTGTGCACTGCTGGTGGGAAGACAAATTGATACAGTCACTACGAACAACAATATGGAGTTTCCTCAAAAGCTAAAAATAGGACTACCCATGATTCAGCAATCCTACTACTGAATATCTATCCAAAGAATATAAAATCATTATATTGAAGAGATATTAACACTCCCACGTTCATTTCAGTATTATTTACAATAGCCAAGAGGTGAAAATAATGTAAATGTTCAACAACTAATGAATAAAGGAAATGTGTTATATTCATACAATGGAACATTCAGCCTTTTTCAAAAAAAGCAAAAGTCCTATCATGCTACTATATGGATGAAACCTGAGTACATTAGATTAAGTGAAATAAGCCAATCACAGAAGGGCAAATACTGTATGAATACACATATATGAAGTATTTAAAGTAGTCAACCTATAGAAACAAAAAGTACAATGGTGGTTGCCAGGGGCCGGGGTTAGGAGGAAAAGGGAAGTTGCTGATCAACGGGTATACAGTTCTGGTTATGCAAGATGAAAATAAATTCTATAAATCTGGCACATAACAATGTGCATACAGTTATCTACACTGTACTGTACATTTCAAATTTATTAGGAGAATATATTTGATGTTATATGTGTTTTTTTAACCAAAGTATAAAAAAGTAATTTACTTGCAGAAGCATCAATAGTAGCTGCAAGTGGTTGGCTGCAGTACGCTTGTGATGGGCCCAAATGATGCTTTCCAACTCTGAAAAACTCAGGGGATATAGAGGATCCAGGGCCACTCTAGGCACCCATCTTACTACCCTTCCAACTTCACCCCTTTTCTCGTTATTTGTTAGGCTATATCACTCCTCTTCTTAAATGAGAAAACTAAGACTATATGTCTAGCAACATCTTGAAAGGCCACTTAAATCACCTATGTCTTTAAACAAAGCTCAAGTATAACATGGCCATGAAGAGTGGAACTGGCAAGATAAAGACTGGGGATGAAGTGGGTAGCCAGGTGTCTTAGTCTATTGAAGTAGTTATAACATAATACTATAAGCAATAGAAATTGATTTCTCACAGTTCCAGAGTCTGGCAGTCTGAGATCAGGGTGCCAGCATGGTTGAATTCTGGTGAGGACCCTCTTCTTGGTCACAGAATGCTGTCTTCTTGTGTCCTCACAAAGCAGAAAGATAGCAAGCAAGCTCTCTGTGGCCTCTTTTATAAGGGCACTAATCCAGTTCAGGAGGGCTTTACCCTTATGACAATCACATGACTCCCACAGGCTCCATCTTTAAATACCATCAAATTGAGAGCAGAGATAGCACCATATAAATTTTGTGGGGGCACAAATATTCAGTCCACAGCACAGGGCTTTGAGCTTCACCAGTGAGCCTCATAGGTCATCGATTCTGCTGAGTCTGGGGCCAGTGATTCTCAGGATGGTTTCTAGCTGCAATTGATAATGTTCGATAAGGAGAGCCCCAGCATTTCAGAGCCAGAAAGCATACTTTACTGATTTTATTTATCTGCCATTCATGATTGTATTACTCCATTCTCACACTGCTATAAACAACTACCTGAGACTGGGTAATTTATAAAGAAAAGAGGTTTAATTGACTCACAGTTACACAGGCTATACAGGAAGTATGGCTGGGAAGGCCTCAGGAAAGTTACAATCGTGGCAGAAGGCGAATGGGAAGCAAGCACATCTTACCATGGCAGAACAGGAGAGAGAGAGCTAAGGTGGAAGTGCTACACACTTTCAAAACAACCAGATCTCGTGAGAACTCTATCACAAGAACAGCTAGGGGAAAGTACACTCCCATGATTCAATCACCTCCTGTCAAGCTCCCCCTTCAATACATAGGGATTACAATTCAACATGAGATTTGGGTGGGGACACAGAGCCAAACCCTATCAATGATTCCGTCCCCTCATGCACTTGCTCAGTCATTCATAACACACACATTTTCATGCCTTCTGTGTTTCTGACACTGTGCCAGGCCCAGAGGGAATAGTAGAGAAAGGTGGCCAGAGGAGCACAAGAGAAAATCTTTTGACCTGGGCTCTAGACCAATATTTCTCTACCCAGAAAACCACAGATTTTTGAGGGGCTTTGGAATTAATGAAGAAGATTCAGCATGGAAAGCAAGCACCAACTCCGGACTGAATAAAGAGTATAGGTGATTCATAGAGGTACTATAGCATAGTGGTCAAGAGCTGGGGCCCCAGAGCCAGACTGCTTGAGTTCAAATCCCAGTTCTGACATGTGGGTAGTTTCTTCATTTTGTCATGCCCCATGTTTCCTCATCTATATAATTGAAATAAATAACAATATTTACCCGAGTTAGCATATGTGAAGCATATAAATATTTGATTATTACATGTGTGCCACATTTTTTCAAATGTCTCTAGATGCTATTATAATAAATTAAATATAAACTTGTTTTAAAATGTAACCTAATGTAGCTTATGGTTATTCTGCATTTCCTCAATCAACTGATGCCAAAAAATATAAATATTTTCAAGAGAGGATATTGCTATTTATTTGTATGTACGAAACCAAAGATGGCACACCTCCTTGATGCCGTTGCCCCATGATTCTGGTGCTTTCCAGCCATTTCCTTACATAGACAGAGTCTAAGATTAGGAACTGACTGGGTCCAGTTTCTCATCCCAGCTCTGCTCTGTCAAGCATTCAAAAACATTTATTAAGAAACTAATTATACAAGGCCCAGGGTGAAATACTACCTCTTACCTGCAAGCCCTGCAACAAATTATTTCATCTGCCTAAATATCATTTTTAACCTGTAAAGTTGACATCTAACTTCTAGTTCGTTTTGAAAATTAGAGGAGTAATACATGTAAAATCATCTAGCACAGTGCCTGGCACAGAAACTATGCCCAATAAATGTACATTTTCTTTCTAACTCATGATATGACAGTTGAGAAATGGCTGCATAACCTGCCTAATCCTTTAAATATGAGAAATCATATTTGGTTTCATGATAGTCACAGAGGTGAAATGTACCCTGCTCTATTCAAGCACAGGTTGGGGATGGTATAAAAATGAGATTCCATAAAGCATATCCTGGCTATGGGCTGCTGCTGCCCTTTACAGAAAAGAATCCAGCACACAAACACTGGTTAGGAGAGACTCTAGCCTAGAAATGCTCAGTGGCTCAGAACTTAATCGGTTGGGTGTCAACATTCAGTTATGAATATGGCTCCTAAGGGTTTCTAATCTATATCAATGTCCTTTAGATAAACATGCAGCCCCCAAGGCCAAAGGGAGGAGGAGCATGGCTCTGAATTCTAGGATGAAGGATAGGAGGATGGATGGAGGCAGACCAGGAACATCAATTAACCCCAAACGTGTAACACTCATTTGTAATTTCATCCCTGTGGTTTACACGGCATTAGAGTCTATGCATGAAGAACATTGCAGTAATGATGATAAATCCCTACCACATCAGAGATCAGGGTGACATGTGCTATGAGCTTCCTGGAAAAAGGTTACACATCCCCCAACCTGGCATAGAGGATACAGGAATGAACAATGGATAGTGACCCTTCCCTCATGGAGCTTATAATCTAGTAGAGGGACAGATAACAAACACATGAATATACAATATCAGGTGGTGCTAAGCACTATGACGCAAACTGAATCAGGGCAAGAGGTCCATGACTGACATATTAAGTGAGGCTGGGGGTAAAGGTGCTCTTTTAAGATAGAGGGGTGAAGGAAACTGTCTCTGGGGAGGTAGCTTTGAACAGAGGGAAGTATGTGGTAAGGAAGGAAGCCTTGTGAGGATTTGGGGAAAGTGTCTCAGTCCGATGGCAAGGCAAGTGCAAAGGTTTTGAGGCATGAATGACCTTGGTGAGTGCAGGAGTAGCATGAAGAGCAGCATGGAGGTTGTGAGTAAGAAAAAGTGCAGGAGAAGAGGTCAAAATGGTAGTCAAGATATGACCACTTCTAGCCACCTCTGTCACTACCACCATGGTCTAAGCCACCACCATATCTTGCCTGGATTCCAATATAGCCTACTTAACTGATTTCCCAGGTTCTGCTCTTGATCTCATTCAGTCCATTGTACTGGTTGTCAAATTTTGCTGTGCACTGGAATCACCTGGGGAGTTTTATTTATTTATTGTTAATTCATGTTTTTGAATAATGTCTGTTCACAAGTGGCAAAGCATTTCAAAGGCTAGTAGTGGCAGAATCAGGATTTGAAACTACTCAATTAATTCCTGAGCCTCTTCCACCATAGCTATTATAGTTTACTGCCTACCTGCAAAGTAAAGATACTAAATAGGTCACAATTACACAGCACCTACTATGTGTTGCTAGTCACAATCTTACATATATTAACTCGTTCAATCTTCATGGCAATCCTATGAGGTCAGTTTTACTTTTAACCTATGATAAGGATGAGGAAACTGAGGCTCAGAGATGTTACACTGTTTACCTAAGTTCACACAGCTAGTAGGTGGTGAGTTTGGTATTTGAACCCATGTAATCTGGCTCTAGAGCATTCATTTTCAAGAGAGTTCATATCACTACCAAGAGGACAATAATTTATTTTTTGCAGGATGAAAAATTATTACTCTTATATATAAGACCCAAATATACATACAGTACCTAAATAGTATATTAGTCAATTTCTCCAGAGAAACAGAACTAATAGGATATGTGTATATATTTATACAAAGATATAGATATTATAAGGAATTGGCTCACGTGATTATGGAGACTGGCAAGTCCAAAATCGGCAGGGTGGGCTGGCAGCCTGGAAATCCAGGAGAGTCAATGTTCCAGTTCAAGTCTGAAAGCCATCTGCTATAGAACAAGAAAGCACTGATGTTGCAAATGAAATCTAAAGATAATTTGCTGGGGAATTCTCTCTTGCTTGGAGGAGGCTTGGTCCTTTTGTTTTATTCATCCTTTGAACTGATTCGATGAAGCCTACCCATATCATAAAGGGTAATCTGATTTACTCAAAGTTCACTGATTTTAAATGTTAAATCCATCCAAAAACACCTTACAGAGGCACCTAAAATAATGTTTGACCAAAATATCTGGGAACGTTAGGGCCCAACCACTATAACACGTAAAACTAACCTTCACAAATAGATGTACAGTATATCTGTGGTATTAACATCTCATGGGGAAAGAAAATTGGATTTTTTTTTTAAGTTTGAAAGGCTCCTTGAGTGGAGGGTGTATGGGCAATAATGAAAAAAGAGATTGAGAAACACTGTGCTAGAGTGTGCCTTCAATCATCACAGTTTAGGACAGCCAATCAGCTAAAGAAACCACATAGGTGGACAAGTGGCTTAGCTATTATAACTGGCTAACTAATACTTATTGCCAGCATGTAATGTGCAGATACTATGGTTAGATTTTTACATACATGTGCAGGGAGTATGGGAGTATGGCTAACCACTGTCATGGTTCCAGCTTGCTCTATTTAGCTCCTTCCTCCCCCTCCAGGGGTAGAGGCTCTTACAGGTGTAGGGGCTACCTCTACTACCCAAATTCCCCTTCTTTGAGATCAAGGTGTCATGGGCATTATGGGCTGGTGTCCACTGAGATAATAAGGCAAGGACAGAACAAAGCATGACTGGGCATCTCTCCTGCTGGAGTTCAGAACCCCACCCTTAATGTACAGATAGGGGTGGTGAAGAGGTTATAGGCTCTAGGTGGGAAGTTCATGGGCAAGCAAGACTGTGACTTGTGGGCCCTTTAAGACAACTTCACTGATATCAGATCCCAGGATTTTAGGGCCCACCCCAAAAGCGTTCTCACTTGTGCCTCACTGGGGAGCTGTTAAAATTTCCCATTCCCAGGTCACACACTTAACTAAAGCAGAAGACTTGTGGGTGGGAGTCAGGCATCAGCATTTTGTAACAATCCCCATGTGATTCCACTGTATAGCAAAATTTAACAATCTCTGCCTCATTTTCAACACTGCTCCTAGAGTTATCTTAAAAAAAGAAGTCTAATCACACATTTCTCCCCTGCTTAAAACCCTCCAGTGGTTACCTATTGCACTTGAAGTCCACCTTTTTCATGTGACCTATAAGCCCGTCTCCCCGTTGTTACCTGAGTGCATTCCTCCTCCATTTACTATGCTTTAACCGACCTCTTTTTGTTCCTCAAAGATGCTGAGCTTGTCCTGCCTCAGAGCCCTTGTACCTCAACATTGGAATACTATTCCTAACCCTAACTCTTTTTGTTATTTAGATCTCATCCCAAATCACCTCCCTTAAGATTCCTTCCCTGATTCTTCTAGATGATTTTGTACACAGACAACTTTTATGTAAATGCTGTGATGTGCCACCAAGATTCCCCTTCAGGGACTGAAGAACTTGCCCCAGCTGGTGAGAAAGTTGTCAGTACTTGACTTTGGCTGGAAAGACTGTACCTTTTCAGGTGCAGCCTGCATCCAGTGACTTGCCATTGGTAAGGTTTGTGGGCACAGACACCTTGCTGTAATGTGGGACAACTCTGAAGGTCCATCCCAGCCTCAGCACTCCCCAACAGGTGACAGAAGGCTTGGCTGAGAATACATCACAGCCCAAATTCTCCCTTGTCCAATTCTGCTTCTTCCCCTTCCGTAGCTGTTGATCCCAAGAGCATTTCCCAAAGATATTCTTGTACACTAATTTCCAACTCAGAGTCCAAGGTAACTAAAACTGCAAAGGTTGCTGCCAGGAGTAATCTGAGAAAGGAAACACTAAGACGGCATTCTGGAGCTGGACCACCTGCCAGACAGTTGGCACTGTGGAACCCTTCACTGGAGATAGGTGGCACAGAAATAGCAACAATTTAATTGTTAACAATTTTACCTGTGGGAACTGGGATGTGATGCTTGTGGAAAGAAATTCACTAGCAAGAGTAGAATTGGTTGGCCTGTGTTAAGCATAATTAATGCTTTGGAGAAAGGTAACAAAAGGCTACAAGTGATTATTGTAGAAGGTAAAGAGGTTCTCATATCTTGCATCCAGAGAGCAGAGAAAGCTAAGACCCAGGCTTAAAAATGAATCATCTAAGTAACAAAGCTCCAAAGAAGTTTAAACTCCCAACCACAGACCTGTTAGACCAAAGCCAGGGCCCTGATTGGGAAAGAATGGGACACCAAATCATAGTGTGGTATATCAAACACCTGGTTTGATATACCAGCAATCTGGAATCCTCAGGATTTCTCCCAAACCTTGTGCATATGCAGAAGTGGCCCAGTCTTTCCTAGAAATGCTGTTTCCTTTCCTGACGATGATTCAGAGGCCTCTCCCTTGAAAATGACACACGCATTCTCAGGGTCTGCCTCTGCCTCTTCTTCTGGCAGATAGTCCAATAGGGAGGTTATGTCACAATATAACCTGGCTGGGGGAAATGATGGGCCTGCTAAGGGACTAAAGGAACTTGACCTCAAAGAAGCTGCTGGACCTAGTCAACCTGAACTAACCAGCAGGAGTCAGGAGAATGTGCATGGGACTGAATTCAGAAGGTACTGGATCAAAAGGAAGTCAGAATATTAAACTGGATAAAAGGTATTTATATGAGAGCACCAATAGACACAAGATTTAACACTCTGGCAAGGACCCCGGGAGATGATACGAAAATGCTGCCTAAGATGATGCTTAGAAATATGGAAAAAAACAGTAGTCTGCACCAATTAAGGTAGAAATGCCAGAATTGAGACAGGCAGTAGCAAAAGGAATTAAAGGCCCTGGGAAGTGGGCATGCTACAGTAGCTATCCCATGGAAGTCTGGAATTCCTACTGGATGAATATGTTGTACAGGAGGGCATGGAGGATATATCATTTCCCAAGGCCATTGGGAAAACACAGGAGAGAGGAACACCAGCATCACTATGGTCAGTGGTGGATTTCCCCTGCAGGACAGGGCAGATGGTACTACAGGAGATCATAGAGATGAGTCTACTGATAGCAATAAGAATAGCAATAGAGGGCATATGATAATATTTTACCATCAGAAGCAATGAGTATAATTACTGTAATGAGCAGCAAAATCAGAGTTGCCATGAGGACCTGACCTATAGAGAGCTATGGAGATAGTTAAAAAAACACAGTATCCTTAGGGACAAGCTAGATGGGCAGCCAGCAAGTGTAGCATTCAATCTATACAGTCAGAGGAAATCAAGGACGGGTGAACAAGAGGTTGTGGGCAGTCACACTGACAAAAAGTCAAAATTCCTTGTTTAGTTTCTACACCTGAGCAAATTTTCAGATCTGGAATCCACTGAATGGAGGCTGGGTCCCTGGGAGGAAGGCAAGTATATATGGTAATGATTCCTTTACATGTTCTCAAAAGGGACAAATGGTCATTTACTTGGATAACTGTATAGTTGTGAAAAGAGACTATCCAAACATTTCACAACATACAAGTTTCTACTGATAACTAAGGACTTGAAACATCATGATGACTCTCAATTACAGTAGGGGCATATGAGGACCAGGTAACCAATGTAGCCCTGGCCCAGACCTGGCTCAACAATATGTCCGCAGGATCCATAGACCCAAACGATAATCACTGATTCCTCTAGTTTTCAAACATACAATTGGAATTGACATACTTGGTAGCTGACACATGACCTGAATTAGTTTCTTGGCCTGACAGATAAGAGGTATAATAGTGGATCAGGCCAAACGAAGCCCCTTGTGTCACTTGGGTTTATGGTAATCCGAAATAGGATAATCACAACAAAGACTTCTAGGGTTGAAGAAGAGCAAGGTCATGCCATATATGGTGGAGAATTATATAACTTTTATAAAACAATCTCTGGCATACTACCAGGCACTGATAAAGATGAGGTGTCTGATCATGAGTCATTAAATGACCATGGAGCCAGAGCTGCTCTACATGAGCTGGATGATTTTAGACCCACCAAGTCATAAGGTTAGGTGTACTCAGAAGCAATCCATTGTAAGACCAGCTGATGGAGGAGGGAAAACACAGTTTCTTTCTTAGACTGGCTGAAGAAACAGGAAGCAAGCTGAAGACAGACCATAGCTGCATTGTAGCCCACTGAGGGGTGACCTTAAAAGAAGCAGTGAAGGTAAATCCTCCCAATGGGCAGAGCTTTGGGTGATGCAGTTGTTCATTCACTTTATTTGAAAAGAGATATCCTGAGGTTATAATATGTAAGGCATCACAGGAAATTACCAATAGATTGGTTGGTCAGAGGCCTGCAAATAGAAATATAAGATTGAGGTCAAGGAGGTCTGAGATATGTATGAACTTGCAGAATTGACTACATGGGAACTCTTCCACCTGAGAAGAGTGATACATTTGGCAAGTGCTTCATTTTGACAAGAATAAAACTATGTTCTAGAAATAATCTCAGACAGCACAAGAACATTTGATTTACCTACTGGCATAGGATTACATATAACATCACATCAAACCAAGGAATGTACCTTACAGACAAAGAGGTGCTGAAAAGAGTGCATGACCATGGGATCCACTGGTTATAGCACACCTATACTACTTAGAAGCTGCCATCCTGACAAAATACAGCCTGATGAAGGCACAGCAGAGGTGACAGTTCAAAGGGAGTTACCCTCCAGGATACAGTGTACACTATAAATCAAGACCTTTTTATGGTTTTGTGTCCCCAGTGGGTAAAAAATACATTGAATCGAGATTCAAAGAGTAAAGGCAGGAATGGCCCTTCTTGTAGGATTGGTGTTTACTGTTCACTCTGATCTTTTGGAGAATTTGTGTTTCCTGTCTTCGCAACTCTGGGCTCTATGGGTTTAGAGCTTATAGTTCCTAAAGAGAAAACACTTCTACTAGGGGCACAGGAGGGAGAGATGCTATTGTAGAATAGAACTAGGAAAGACTGAAAAGGTGAACAGGGATTCAGGCACTTCAGAGATAAGATCTCAATCATGCCACCACATAAGCCATCAAGACCAGTCAAAGTACTAACTGAGGAAAAGAAGAATTTGGAGAGGAGACTAGATGAGAGAGATATTGAGTGTCAGTTCTGGCCTCAAAATTAGTTGCAACAACAAGGGCTATAATTTGTCTCATAAACCCTCTTACAAATTTTTCCCCAGGAAAAGAAACTCACCAGAGTTCTGGAGTTGATGCTCCCAGAATTTCTATAAAGAAGGGGGTCCAAGTGGCAGAAGAGATGGACTCTAGTGGTTGTTAAAAATGTACAATCCAAATGTGCCTTCAGGACTGAAGGATTTATTTCCCTAGCTTCCACTGGAGCTGCTGGGCTTATAGTTTTCAGCTGTCAGCTCTCTTTGGAAATTGGCTTTAGCTGAACCTCTCCCAAGTTCATATCACCCTTCCTAAGGGAATTTGCACCCAATGACTGATAAATGTGAGTGTAAAAATGCTTCATCTTTTTGCCATAACGTGGCACAACTCTGAAGGGTTGTCTCAGCTTGGCACCCCCGTTGGAGTCAGGCCTTTGTTGAACAGTGTTACAGTTCAACATTTCCCTCTGCCGATCTTTCTTCCCTTTCTTCTCTACCCTTCCACAGTTGTTGATCCTGAGGTAGCTCTCTAATAAATTTCCTGTATACTAATCTTTGTCTCACAGTCAGCTTTATGGAAAATCCAACGTGCAAAACACACACACACACACACACACCCTTGTAGTAATTCTCTATTATATGACCATTTAATTGCTCCACTAGAGTTACAATACATAAACTTTTCCTATGCATTTTTTGGTTGCCTATTATCTGTTTCTTCTCCTAAACATGCATGCCACACGAGCAGGGGCCGCACATTGTTTATTCACCATGACTGACTGTATCCTTAGTCCCTCCTTTGTACATATATGTAAGGAACATAGTTATGCTACAGACAGGCAGGCATAGGCCGAGGTAAACACACTGCATGACTCAGTGAGATTGGAGTGCAGGCACACAATTCTGTGCATTATATAACCACAGCTATGTAGCCATAATATGGGAAGGCTCATCACCTGGCTCTGAGCCACTATTGTCTGTAGGTGTATAAATGCAGCACTGACACTGTGAAAGAGTTGCTGAATAAAGCCATGTCCCATCTATCTGCTGTCTCTTGAGTGTTCTTCCAGCTCCCTGCCCTCCATCCACCCTCTCCCCTCAGACCTCAACTGGGGCTTGAACCTGACATTTGACATAGTCAGCAGGATAAGGTGAGTGGGCCTTAAGCCCCTGAGGCTCCCGGGTTGGCTATGTGGCTGCAGAATGGGTTGTGGTACCCGGTGGCAGTGGTGCTACTAGGATGGGCCCCAAAGGAAACATGGGAGGTAGTGGAGGGGTCTCCCATGAGTGTGGAGAAAGCACTGAAGGAGCTGGAAGCACATAGCACTGAGAAGAAATGCACCTTCACTGGCAGAGTCGGATGGGTGTTTCTGACTGAACTGTGGGAAGTACATGTTCAGTCCCTGCGGGATGCTGCACAGGTAAGGGACCTTCAAGCACTAGCCACGTGCCTGGGGGCCCAAATACACAGCTTGGAGAAAAACCTGGGGGTAAGGGACATCCAGGCGCAAACAGGGTGCTTAGTGGTCCAGATAAACGGCCTGGAACAGGAGTTAGAGACTGCCGTCAGTGCGACCTTGAGCCTGTCCTCCTGGCCAGAAACTCCTGTTTGGTCTGATGCTGAGGAGGAGGAAGCTCCCTCACTGCGGGCTTACCTCATGATCCATCAGAAGGTAGAATATGAGCAGCCGATGGGGCCTCAGGGACCCCCTACCGTGGTGGAACAGACTTCCTATAGTGCCTATACCCCCACTGAGCTGCGGGAGTTAGGCAAGCAATGTCAGCAGCTTCCGGGGGAGCCCCTCCCTGCTTGGTTACTCTGCCTTTGGGACGAAGGCGCTGACAGCATTTCCTGCTCTGCCTCTGAGATGGAGAAGCTGGTTTCTATTACAACTAACCCCTCCCTTTGTCAGTGGCTGCAGCTGAGCCAACAGTTAGCAAAGGGCAAAATGACCACACTCTGATTGAGTGGCTGATGGGAGCCATACAAACTGTGTGGAACGATGCTGCAGAAATACCAGAAACTGTGAATAAATGGCAATCATATACAGATTTAATGCAGATACTCCAGGAGATGGGTATGTGGCAGGCCATGGTTGATCTGAGTACCCCAGGGCCAGATGATGAATGCTTTACCTCCCACATGAGGGATCTTGTGCTGGGCTCAGCACCCCCAAGTGCTTTTGGCTCTCTGGCCACTGTCCTCACGCTGTATGTGGGATGTCACGTACATGAAGTGACTATGGCAGCCCTCAGGGAGGCAGAAGGCTATTGGCAGGACTGGGGAGTCCACGCCATAAAAAAGGGGAAGATGCTCCCTCCACAGGTAATCACCCCATGAGATAAAAAGGAGCCCCAGCAGGTGACTTGCATGCAGATGTGGATTGATTTAATTTCAGATGGGATTGCTCAAGAGAAAATTGGCAGGCAACCCAATGGAATGCTGTTGGCTCTGTGCAGGCAATTGTCCCCAGAGCAACAATTCCGGAAAATGCCCAAGAGGGGGCAAAACAATGTTGCTCAACCTAATCCCACTGGGACGCTTCAACTCAAGGACTATTTGCAGGCAGGTGAAGATATGGAGACTTTCCTGTTTGATTATGGAACTGACCAAGGTGCCTGGCTCTGGGGGACACCAGATGACCAGAGGCCATATGTAGAGCTGGCAATCCACTGGTCCCCCACGAATGTACAGTGGGTCCTAGCACAGGTAGATACTGGTGCAGACTGCAGTCTTGTTTATGGGAACCTGGGTAAGTTTCCAGGCAGAGCTGCATGTATTAACGGTTATGGGGGCCAGTCAGTGAAGGTAAAACCTGTGTCTCTGCATCTTGGCATTGGTCGCTTGGCGCCCCACCTATACACTACATATGTCTCTCCCATACCTGAATATATTTTGGGGATGGACATTTTGCATGGTCTGAACTTACACCCATGGCTGGAGAATTCAGACTCCAAATCTGTGTAGTAAAGCCGGTACTGCGTGGACATACATCACCGGCCCCAAGTTCTATCACAACACTGACGGGTTACTTCCACTCATCAACACCATTTGCCAGGGGGGCATATGGAGATAACTGAGACTATTAAGAAGTTAAAGGAGGTGCAAATAGTGCATGGCACCCATAGCCCCTACAATTTCCTGGTATGGCCAGTCAGAAAGCCTGATGGGACTTGACAGATGACAGTGGATTATTGGAAACTGAATAAAGTAACACCCCCTCTGCATGCAGCTGTACCTCCCATCATGGATTTGATGCACCGCTTGACAATGGAACTGGGAGAGTACCACTATGTTGTAGACTTGGCTAATGCATTCTTCTCCATTGACATTGCTCCAGAGAGCCAGGAACGGTTTGCCTTCACATGGAAAGAACAATGAACATTCACCATGCTGCCACAGGGTGCCTAGCCCCACCATTTGTCATGGTATTGTTGCCATGGATTTGGCTGCCTGGAAATGTCCAAAAGGGTCCACTTGTTCCATTATATTGATGATATTATGTTAATCTCTGATTCTCTTGCAGATTTAGAAGTGGTGGCACTCTTCTGGCGGCAACATTTAGCAGCATGT
This sequence comes from Homo sapiens, assembly GCF_000001405.40. Classification (NCBI taxonomy): domain Eukaryota; kingdom Metazoa; phylum Chordata; class Mammalia; order Primates; family Hominidae; genus Homo; species Homo sapiens. The sequence goes on from NC_000023.11 coordinate 149,076,356, forward strand.
GGTTGGGCTGTCAATGAATCCAAGGTCCAAGGGCCTGGATTGTCTACCAAATTCTTGGGAGTTATTTGGTCAGGTAAGACAAAGGCCATACCAGAGGCTGTCATTGATAAAATCCAGGCATACCCCCAACCCGCCATGGTGAGGCAGCTGCAGACTTTTGTGGGCCTCTTGGGGGTATTGGCAGGCATTTGTGCCCCATTTGGCTCAAATGATAAAACCATTATACTGGTTAACAAAAAGGGGGGCTACCTGGGATTGGGATGATGAGGCTGAGACAGGCTTTCTGGCCGCCAAGTGGGCTATTCAGCAAGCACAGGGCTTATGAGTGATAGATCGGGGTGCCCATTCAAACTTGAAATACATGTGACTACAGATGGTTTTGGCTGGGCCTTATGGCAGCACACAAAACATTTTAGAATGCCAGTAGGCTTTTGGTCCCAACTTTGGAAGGGAGCAGAGCTCCAGTATTCATTGATAAAGAGGCAATTAGCTGTTGCATATGCTGCCCTTCAGGCGTGTGAGAGCATGATGGGACGGGCTACAGTTGTCATATGGTTGGCTTACTCAATAGCAGGGTGGGTATGCTCCTGAGTAACGACCCTCCACACTGGGATGACACAAACGCCCACTTTAGCAAAGTGGGGTGCCTACTCGGAACAGTGAAGTACACTGAGTACAAGTCCCTTAGTAGCAGAATTACAAGAGGTCTTGGGGCCTATAGTCCTAATGCAAGATAAGGCCATGGGGCCTGAGGCACCCTAGACCTTGAGCCATCACTGTTTAAGGAAGGGTGCATCCCCCCACCCCCATTCCTGATGGTGCAAGGTATATGGATGAATCCAGCCAGGGCGATGCTGCTGTCTGGACTGCTATTACAGTCCAGCTTAGTCCTGACATTATATAGTTTCATACTGGGTGTGGACAAAGCAGCCAATGGGCTGAACTCAGAGCAGTGTGGATGGTGATCACCAAAGAGGAGACATCTATGATAATCTGCACCAATAGTTGGGCAGTCTATTGAGGCTTAACTTATGGTTGACCACCTGGAAGTTACAGAATTGGCTTGCAGGCCATCAGCCCACTTGGGGCCAAACCATGTGGCAAGACCTTTGGGAAACAGGTCATCAGAAAGATGTAACTATCTATCATGTGTCAGGCCATATGCCTTTGGCCGCCCCCAGTAATGATGAGGCAGATGCCTCGGCCAAGATCCAGTGGTTAGAGTCGGCATGAGATGTGGACTTGCGGCTACACAGGAAACTTGGACATGCGGGGGATAAGCTGATGCAACAGGTCAATTGGTGCTGGGATCTGTCTTTGCCCCAGCAGGACATTTGCAAGGCCTACCAGAAGTGACCAGTGTGTGATCAGGCATACCATAGACAGAGACAACTGCCTAGTGTAACACTACAAGTGGACAGTAGAGTGGATGTCCTTGACCAGATGGCAAATAGATTACATTGGACCACTGCCAAAATTGCAGGGCTACACACATGCACCGACTGCTGTAGACATGGCCACCAGCCTGTTGTTCACCTACCCTTGCAGGGTGGCCAACCAGCAACACACTATTCAAGCCCTGCAACACTTATGTGCCTTATACAGCCATCCCCTGACCACTGAAAGTGATAGGGGAACTCATTTCACTGGACAGCAGGCACAATAGTGGGCACAGCAGATGGTCATACAGTTGGGGTTTCATGTTCCTTATAACTCACAAGCCGCTGGCATGATTGAGTGATATAACAGACTCCTGAAGAACAGGTTACATTTGCATGTTACTCCCCTGTCTTTGCGGGCCTGGAGTTCCAGGCTGGACCTAGTGCTCCAAATCTTGAATGGGCGGCCACAGAAAGGTGGCCCAGCCCCAGTGGAGGCACTGTTACACCAGGCCGGCACCCCTATCCAGCTACAGATACACACAAAGGATGACCTGTTACAACCAGATATGGGGACAAACAGTAATCTGTTGTTGCCTGCCCCAATGCCCCTGAAGGCAGGGGGAGAGAAAACCTGATGCTGGCCATGTACCCTCCAAGCCCCCAATTGCAGATGGTTGGCTATCATAGCCCGCTGTGGGGAGGGCTTGCAGTATGACTTACATGTTACTCTTTGGGTATTTAATGTGTGACCTCCACAACTGACCGTTCTTAGGAGAACGGCCAGGGAAGGGACCCTCCTCCAGGGGACATATATGCTGTCTGTGTGGCCTATCATGAGCTCCCCTGCGACATTGGCATGGGTACAGAACCCAAAAGAACCACGGGGAGCTGAGAAGGTGTGGTACCATTGCCCAGTGCAGAAGCCCTTGGTGGCAGCACTGTTATCCAGAGATAAAAAGTTGACCTGTATTTTGCCTGAGGGACATGATTTACCCCTCTTATTACCTGTGCTTGCTTTGTCGTTTCGGCCATAGGTTGGCATGCTCCAACATCATTGTGGACAGGGCCCACACCTATGGCAAAGTGACCAATGTCTCCAACTGTTGGATCTGCACTGTCCTTCCAGCAGCAGCTGTAGATGGCCTGCCGTGGCATGTACATTCAGCTTCTGTGAAAAACTGGATGAGGCTAGAGACTTGGGGTCTCATGGACAATGGTTGGGATGCAACATGGCAAACTTTGGATAGGGGGCATTGCAAAACCTGCATTGCAAAAAATGCCTGCCCCCTGGCTGACCCATAGCATTCATGATGAATGGGGCTGGCTAATGAGAGAACACATGGTGCCCCCATTGCAGGTACCATAATATATAGATCAACACTGGGGTAAAGTCACTGTGGGATGGTTGCCCACCGTGGCCTGTAAAAACATAACACATGTCACCACACCAAGGCTGTGGTGGAACAAGCTGCCTTACCGAGGCTGAGCCCTGATGGACTTTGTATCCCTGGGAGTTTATGGGTCTGAGGGGACACGGGATGGCCATATCTGCCAGCCAATTGGACTGGATGTTTTACTTGGCGGTGCCCTTATGTGCCTGCCACCGTACTTCCCTCATTGCCTAGGTGCCTGCACAACTGGAAGGTGCTACATTCCTGGTTTTCGCCAGTGTGGTGGGCCCCCTGGTGGCTCTACCCCTTAGCAATAACTATCATTGGAGCAGTTTTCATCACTGTAGAAATGCAGATTACAGCCCTTGCATAACACACAGTTCAGGTCCTGAATTACACCCGAGTTGCCCTCCTTCTATTAATTGATGAGGTTGATCAAACCAGGAAGGTAGTACTGCAAAACTGGATGGCCTTAGACATAGTAACAGCTGACCAAGGTGGCACCTGTGCCCTTACAGGGTCACAATGTTGTACATATATCCCTGACAACCACCAGAACATAATAGCAGCTTTACAAGGGGTGTTACAGGAGATTAAGGTGATTGAGTGCCTTATTGATGACCCCCTACAGAGATGGTGGGCGTCTCTGGGCTCTAACCTACATTGGGCCCTAATAATAATGGGTAGTTATAGCAGGAATATTAGTGATAGGCTGTTGCTCCCTGTATTGTTGCTGTGGCCTATGGGTTCAGGGTGCCATCATATGTGCACAGGTCCCCACTAAGAGGACTCCCCCGGCCTAGGGGATGGATTGTAAGGAACATGGCTGTACTGCAGCCAGGCAGGCATAGGCCGAGGTAAACATCCTGCATGACTCAGTGGGATTGGAGTGCAGGTGCACAATTCCATGCATTATATAACCACAGCTATGTAGCCATAACATGGGAAGGCTCATCACCTGGCTCTGAGCCACTATTGTCTGTGAGGTGTATAAATGCAGGACTGACACTGTGAAAGAGCTGCTGAATAAAGCCATGTCCCATCTACCTGCTGTCTCTTGAGTGTTCTTCCAACTCCCTGTTCCCCGTCCACTCAGTCCCTTGGGACCTCGGCTGGGGCTTGAAGATGACAATATAGTTCCTCAATACTTTTTAAAAGAATAAATGAACATATGAATGATGAAAGACAAATAACACTATTTTAGAGGTCTGAGGTATGTCTCTTGCTTGTTTCTAGGGGCTCCTCAGCATTGATTTGGCTGAGGAAATGACAGATGCGAGATAGAAAAAGGGGAGTACCAGCCAGGCTTAATGAGAGACTGATAGCTTCCTCCACCCACTTCTACCAGCACCGTGAGCAGAACAAAGTCAGAGTTTATGACTTAAAATTAGGCCTCAGGAATGCAGGAAGGTATCCAAGTCCCTTGAAGAGCAGGAAATCTGGAACAGCCTGTGTGCTGGTTATTATCCATTAGCCACATCTCCATCTATACTCCACTCCAGAAAATTGATCTCTATGAACTTCAGACACAGGTTCTTTGATTACGGCTAACAGATGGGTGGCTAGTTAGGCAACTGGAGAGAACAATATTGGCATTTTTATGACAAGGTTTGGAGAGGTATGTGCCCATCTCAGAATGGGCACAGGGTGTTAAAATAAATGTGTCTTAGGCAAAATCCAAGAGAGCCAAAAAACTGAGTGCCCAAAGTGTGAGACAGGGAAAGCCCACCCCTGAACACACATCCTCCCTGGGGAACCTGAAAATCCAGATCATGGGAGAAGGATTTAACCTTACCTAGAGCTGAAACAAATTTAGAGAGCTGAGAGAAATATAAAAGTAGAAGAAGCAGCAGGAAGAGCCCTGCAGGCATTCCCAGACCTGAGCGAAGCCAATGAAACCCATTTCTGACTTTATCTCACAGGGATCCTTTGGGAGGCTTCCAGTGGAATTGGGGAAAGACCACAGGGAGAAGGAAACTTCCAGTTGAACTTTATAATAATTTTGACTGGGCGTGAATTTTCCAGGGCAGAATCCGGGGGTTCAGGGCGAATTGGAAGTGCAGGTATGAGCACAGAAGCCATGCCATGGAGGGAGTGAAGCCTGAAAGTCCTGTGGGGAGGCTTATAGCCTGGGGCAAATTCCCAGCCCTGCTCACCAGCTACCTGGATATAAACTCAGTGCTGTTGGGGTAGCACCACAGAAGTGAGATTGGCCTTTCTGGCTGTATGGGAGCTGGGTGAGGCCTGTCACTGCTAGCTTTCCCTCACTTCCCTGGTGGCCTGTATGAGGCAGCAGAGGCAGTCATAATACCCCCGGGAATGTAACTTTATTGGCCTGAGAAACACACCCCATCCCCCACAGCACCTGCAGAAAGCCCAAGGAGACTCTGAGCTCAGGCAGGTCTAACCCTGCCCCTACCTGATTGTCTTTCTCTACCAACCCTGGTAGCCAAAGACAAAAGACATAATCTCAAAAGATGTAAGCTCTATGGCCCCACCCACTGCCTGAGAAACCCAGTATTTATCCAGGAGACCCTAGGGCAAGCTTGTATCCTCCCCATACTATCATAGCTGATGCTCTCTTGAAATCGCCACCTCCTGGCTGGAGGCCAACCAACACTAACCATTACAGCAGCTCATAAAACAACAATCCTGCCCCAAGAAAGGAGAAAACAACAGCTAACCTCAACACCTGTAACATCCTGGCTAGCCAGAGGTCCTGAGTCTGTCCACACGACAACTTTACTGCCAGGACAACCAGCATTTGAGAAAACCAGCACACGAAACAAAACTACAACCAAGGTCCCACGCAAAGTCCACTTCACTCCCCTGCCACCTCCACCGGAGCAGGTGCTGGTATCCACAGCTGAGAGACCTGAAGATGGATCATATCACAGGAGTCTTTGCAGACACTTCTCAGTACCAGCCTGGGGCCCAGGATCTCCACTGGGTGGCTAGACCCAGAAGAGAAATAACAATCACTGCATTCTGGCTCTCTGGAAGCCCCATCCCTAGCGGAAGGGGGAGAGCACTAGGTCAAGTGAGCATCCTCGGGATAAAAGAATCTGAACAGCAGCACTTGAACCTCAGATCTTTCCTCTGACATAGTGTACTCAAATGAGAAGAAACTAGAAAAATAATTCAGTAATATGAAAAAACAGGGTTATTTAACACTCCCCAAAGATCACACTAGCTTACCAGCAATGGATACAAACCTAGAAGAAATCTCTGAATTGCCAGAAAAATAATTCAGAAGGTTGATTATTAAGCTACTCACAGAGGCACTGGAGAAAGGTGAACACCAACTTAAATACATTTTTAAAATATTACAGGATAGGTTGGAGAAATCTCCAGAGAAATAGATAGCATAAATAAAAAAAAAATCACAACTTCTGGAAATAAAAACACACTTATATAAATGCAATATACACTGAAAAGTTGACAATAGAATTGAACAAGTAGGAAAAAGAACTTCAGATCTCAAAGACAAGGCTTTCAAATTAACCCAATCTGACAATGAAAAGAAAAAAGAATTAAAAAAAAAAATGAACAAAGTCTCCAAGAAATTTGGGATTATGTTAAATGACCAAAGCTAAGATTAATTGGTGTTCTCGAGGAAGAAGAGAAATCTAAAAGTTTGGAAAACTTATTTTAGGGAATAATTTAGGAAAACTTCCCTGGCCTTGCTAGAGATTTAGACATCCACATATAAGAAGCTCAAAGAGTACCCAGGTTATCTAAAGTCAAGATGAAGGAAAGAATCTTAAGAGCTGTGATGCAAAAGCATCAGGTAAGCTATAAAGGAAAATCTATCAGATTAACAGCAGATTTATCAGCAGAAGCCCTACAAGCTAGAAGGGATTGGGGTCCTATCTTTAGCCTCCTTAAACAAAACAACCATCAGCCAAGAATTTTGTATCCAACAAAACTAAGCTTCATAAATAAAAGAAAAATACGGTCTTTTCCAGGCAAGCAAATGCTAGGAGAATTTGCCACTACCAAGCCAGAACTATAAGAACTGCTAAAAGGAGCTCTAAATCTTGAAACAAAACCTTGAAATTCGCCTTGAAATTAGAGCATAAATCTTACGGAACCTATAAAATAATAACACAATTAAAAAACAAAAGTATTCAGGCAACAATTAGCATAATGAATAGAATAGTGCCTCACATCTCAATACTAATGCTGAATGCAAATGACCTAAATGCACCACTTAAAATATACGGAATGGCAGAATGGATAATAATTCACCAACCAAGTGTCTACTGTCTTCAAGAGACTCACTTAATACATAAGCACTCACATAAAGTAAAGAGGTGGAAAAAGATATTCCATGCAAATAGACACCACAACCTAGCAGGAGTAGCTATACATATATTTGACAAAACAGACTTTAAAGCAATAACAATTAAAAAGACAAAGAGGGACATTATATAATGATAAAAGGATTAGTCCAACAGGAAAATATCACAGTCCTACATATCTATGCACCTAACACTGGAGCTCCCAAATTTATAAACAATTACTACTAAACCGAAGAAATGAGATAAACAGCAACACAATAATAGTGGGGAACTTTAATACTCCACTGACAGCCTAGACAGGTCATCAAGACAGAAAGTCAACAAAGAAAGAATATAAACTATACCCTAAAACAAATGGACTTAACATATATGTACAGATCATTCCACCCAACAACTGAAGAATGTACATTCTTTTTTTCATCAGCACATAAAACGTTCTTCAAGATAGACCATGTGATAGGCCACAAAACAAGTCTCAATACATTCAAGAAAAATAAAATTATATCAAGTACTCTGTCAGACCACAGACCAGAGCAGAAGTGAATGAAATTGAAACAAAAAAATACCAAAAGATAAATGAAACAAAAAGTTAGTTCTTTGAATAAACAAAATTGATAGACCATTAACAAGATTAATCAATAAGAGAGAAAATCCAAATAAACTCAATTAGAAACAAAATGGGAGATATTACAACTGCTACCACGGAAATAAAAAAGATAATTCAAGGCTACTATGAACACCTTTACACACACAAACTAGAAAAGTTAGAGGAAATGGATAAATTCCTGGAAATATACAGCTCTTCTAGATTAAAACAGGAAGCCATAGAAACTCTGAACAAATACAAAGCAGCAAGATTAAAATGGAAATTTAAAAATTGCCAACAAAAAAGTTCATAACCAGATGGATTCACACCTGAATTCTATCGGATATTCAAAGAAGAATTGTTACCAATCCTGTTGACACCATTCCAAAAGATAGAGAAAGAGGGAATTCTCACTTAATTATTCTATGAAGCCAGTATTATCCTAATACCAAAACCAGGAAAGGACATAACAAAAAAAAAGGAAACTACAGACCAATGTCCCTGATGAACACTGATGCAAAAATCCTCAACAAAATACTAGCTAACCAAATCCAACAGCATATCAAAAAGATAATATACCATGATCAAGTGGGTTTTATACCAGGAATACAGTAATGGTTTAACATACACAAGTCAATAAATGTGATACACCACATAAACAGAATTAAAAACAAAAATCCCACGATCATCTCAACAGATGCAGAAAAAGCATTTGACAAAATCCAGCATCTCTTTATGATTAAAACCCTCAGCAAAATCGGCATAGAAGGGACATATCTTATGGTAATAAAAGCCATCTATGAAAAACCCACAGCCGAAATTATACTGAATGGGGAAAAGTTGAAAGCATTGCCCCTGAGAACTGGAACAAGACAAGGATGCCCACTTTCACCACTTCTATTCAACATACTCCTGGAAGTCCTAGCCAGTACAATCAGACAAGAAAAAGAAATAAAGTGTATCCAAATTAGCAAGAAGAAACCAAACAGTTGCTGTTCATCAATAATATGATCAAATACCTAGAAAACACTAAAGACTCATCCAAAAAAGCTCCTAGAACTGATCAATGAATTCAGTAAAGTTTCAAAATACAAAATCGATATACACAAATCAGAAGCACTGCTATACACCTACAGCGACCCAGCTGAGAATCCAATTAAGAACTCAATCTCTTTTATAATAGCTGCAAAAATAGTAAAATACTTGGGAATATACCTAACCGAAGAGGTGAAAGACCTCTACAAGGAAAAGTACAAAACACTGCTGAAAGAAACAATAGATGACACAAACAAATGGAAACACTTCCCAATATCATGGATGGGTAGAATCAATATTGTGAAAATGACCATACTGCCAAAAGCAATCTACAAATTCAATGCAGTTCCCATCAAAATACCATTACCATTCTCAGAACTAGAAAAAAAAATCCTGAAATTCATATAAAAAATGCCTGCATAGCCAAAGCAAGACTAAGCAAAAAGAACAAATCTGGAGGCATCACGTTACCTGACTTCAAACCATACTACAAGGTCCTCATCTCTCACCTTATACAAAAATCAACTCAAGATGGATCAAAGACTGAAATCTAAGACCTGAAACCCTAAAGATTCTAGAAAATAGCATCGGAAAAAGCTCTTCTAGCCATTGGCCTAGGCAAAGGCTTCATGACCAAGAACCCAAAACCAAATGCAACAGAAACAAAGATAAATAGATGGGACTTAATTAAACTCAAAAGCCTTTGCACAGCAAAAGAAATAATCAGCAGAGTTAACAGACAACCCGCAGAGTAGGAGAAAATCTTTGCAAACTATGCATCTGACAAAGGGCTAATATCCAGAATCTATGAGGAACTCAAACAAATCAGTAAGAGAAAAAACCAAACAGTCCTATCAAAATTGGGATAAGGAAATGAATAGACACTTTCCAAAAGAAGACATACACATGGCCAACAAACATATGGAAAAACATATGAAAAAATGCTCAACATCACTAATGATGGGGAAATGCAAATCAAAACCACAATACGATGCCACCTTTTCCTACAAGAATGGCCATAATAAAAAAAATTAAAAAAAAAAGAGAGATGCTGGTGGAGATGTGGTGAAAAGGGAACACTTTTATACTGCTGGTGGGAATGTAAACTGGTACAATCAATATGGAAAACACTGTGGAGATTCCTTAAAGAACTAAAAGTAGATCTATGATTTGATCCAACAATCCCACTTCTGGGTATCTACCCAAAGAAAAATAAGTCATTACACAAAAAAGATACATGCACATAGATGTTTATAGCAGCACAATTCACAATTGCAAAAATATGGAAGCAGCCCAAATGCCCACCAATCAACAAGTGGATGAAGAAATGCTGGTATATACATACCATAGAATACTACTCAGCCATAAAAAGGAATGAAATTATGGTACTTATACATGTAACCAAACATCACTTGTTCCCCAAGACCTATTGAAATTATACACACACACACACACACACACACACACACACACACACATATATATGTCTTACACGTGTTCTTGCCAAAGAGACTTGCCACTCCAGAGGAGGCCCCTGATAACCTGGTAGGCAAGATGAGACTTTCCCCAGCTACATCAATATTTGTTCAATAAGCTTGTGTACAAAGTGGCCACAGTGGCATGGATGAAGGCTATGAATGGGCTCCATAACATGGCCTTCTGCTCACCAGGCTTGACTTGGATACTGTCACTACAGGGTGACAAGCCTGTCAACAGAAGAGGCCAATGCTGATCTCCAACATGGTACCTCTCACTTGGAATGCTGATGTGTCCAGAGTTCGTTCCTTCCGGTGGGTTCTTGGTCTTGCTGACTTCAAGAATGAAGCCACAGGTCTTCGTAGTGTGTGTTATAACTCTTAAAGGTGGCACAGACCCAAACAGTGAGCAGCAGCAAGATTTACTGTGAAGAGCAAAAAAACAAAGCTTCCACAGCCTGGAAGGGGACCCGAGCAGGTTGCCAGTGTTTATTCCCTTATTTGTCGCCACCCACGTCCTGCTGATTGGTCCATTTTACAGAGCTCTGATTGGTCCACTTTACAAACCTCTAGCTAGCCACAGAGCACTGATTGGTGTGTTTTTACAGAGCACTGATTGGCGCATTTTACAAACCTCTAGCTAGCCACAGAGTGCTGATTGGTGCATTTTAAAATCCTCTTGTAAGACAGAAAAGTTCTCTGGGTCCCCACTCGATGCAGATGTCCAGCTGGCTTCGCCTCTCACTGAGCTAATCACCTCATGTCAGGTTTGTTCTGTACCATCATGAAGGAAGCAGAAATTCGTCTTTGTGGGAACAAATATTTTTCTGAGCACTGATTTGCCTTTCAAATCCACAGCACTTCTTCCACTCCTACCATTTATGGATTTAGGGAATATTTTATTCTCCACCTTGTTATCACCCACAACATTGCCTCTTTTGACCAGAGAATTAATTTTGCAGCAAAAGTGGAGTCATTGTATTTTTCCTGTGGAATTCACTAGTGTTAACATGTGTCCCCTCACTCAGAGGCCTAATAGAAGATGAGACGGCCTACTGGAGACTCAGTGATAATGCCAGCAGGGAGATAACACTCTGCAAAATTGAGGTGCTGATCTATAGGATGCAGTATATGTTTTAAAACAGCATATAAACAGAACCAAAGACAAAAACCACATGATTATCTCAATAGATACAGAAAAGGCCTTTGACAAAGTTCAACAGCCCTTCATGCTAAAAACTCTAAATAAATTCAGTATCGATGGGACATATCTCAAAATAATAAGTGCTATTTATGACAAACCCACAGCCAATATCATACTGAATGGGCAAAAACTGGAAGCATTCCCTTTGAAAACTGGCACAAGACAGGGATGCCCTCTCTCACAAATCCTATTCAACATAGTGTTGGAAGTTCTGGCCAGGGCAATCGGGCAGGAAAAAGAAATAAAGGGTATTCAATTAGGAAAAGAGGAAGTCAAATTGTCCCTATTTGCAGATGACATGATTGTATATTTAGAAAACCCCATCATCTCAGCCCCAAATCTCCTTAAGCTGATAAGCAACTTCAGCAAAGTCTCAGGATACAAAATCAATGTGCAAAAATCACAAGCATTCTTATACACCAATAACAGACAAACAGAGAGCCAAATCATGAGTGAACTCCCATTCACAATTGCTTCAAAGAGAGTAAAATACCTAGGAATCCGACTTACAAGGGATGTGAAGGACCTCTTCAAGGAGAACTACAAGCCACTGCTCAACGAAATAAAAGAAGACACAAACAAATGGAAGAACATTCCATGCTCATGGATAGGAAGAATCAATATCATGAAAATGGCCATACTGCCCAAGGTAATTTATAGATTCAATGCCATCCCCATCAAGCTACCAATGACTTTCTTCTCAGAATTGCAAAAAACTACTTTAAAGTTCATATGGAACCAAAAAAGAGCCCGCGTTTCCAAGACAATCCTAAGCCAAAAGAACAAAACTGGAGGCATCATGCTACCTGACTTCGAACTATACTAAAAGGCTACAGTAACCAAAACAGCATGGTACTGGTACCAAAACAGGATATAGACCAATGGAACAGAACAGAACCCTCAGAAGTAATACCGCACATCTACAACCATCTGATCTTTGACAAACCTGACAAAAACAAGAAATGAGGAAAGGATTCCCTATTTAATAAATGGTGCTGGGAAAACTGGCTAGACATAGAAAGCTGAAACTGGATCCCTTCCTTTCACCTTATACAAAAATTAATTCAAGATGGATTGAAGACTTAAATGTTGGACCTAAACCATAAAAACCCTAGAAGAAAACCTAGGCAATACCATTCAGGACATAGGCATGGGCAAGGACTTCATGTCTAAAACACCAAAAGCAATGGCTACAAAAGCCAAAATTGACAAATGGGATCTAATTCAACTAAAGAGCTTCTTCACAGCAAAAGAAACTACCATCAGAGAGAACAGGCAACCTAGAGAATGGGAAAAATTTTTTGCAATCTACTCATCTGACAAAGGGCTAATATCCAGAATCTACAAAGAACCCAAACAAATTTACAAGAAAAAAACAAACAACCCCATCAAAAAGTGGGCAAAGGATATGAACAGACACTTCTCAAAAGATGACATTTATACAGCCAACAGACACATGAAAAAATGCTCATCATCACTGGCCATCAGATAAATGCAAATCAAAACCACTATGAGATACCATCTCACACCAGTTAGAATGGCGATCATTAAAAAGTCAGGAAATAACAGGTGCTGGAGAGGATGTGGAGAAATAGGAACACTTTTACACTGTTGCTGGGACTGTAAACTAGTTCAACCATTGTGGAAGACAGTGTGGCAATTCCTCAGGGATCTAGAACTAGAAATACCATTTGACCCAGCCATCCCATTACTGGGTATATACCCAAAGGATTATAAATCATGCTGCTATAAAGACACATGTGCACGTATGTTTATTGTGGCACTATTCACAATAGCAAAGACCTGGAACCAACCCAAATGTCCAACAATGATAGACTGGATTAAGAAAATGTGGCACATATACACCATGGAATACTATGCAGCCATAAAAAAGGATGAGTTTCTGTCCTTTTTAGGGACATGGATGAAGCTGGAAACCATCATTCTCAGCAAACTATTGCAAGGACAAAAAGCCAAACACTGCATGTTCTCACTCATAGGTGGGAATTGAACAATGAGAACACTGACACAGGAAGGGGAACATCACACACCAGGGCCTGTCGTGGGGTTTGGGGAGCGGGGAGGGATAGCATTTGGAGATATACCTAATGTAAATGACGAGTTAATGGGTGCAGCACACCAACATGGCACATGTATGCATATGTAACAAACCTGCATGTTGTGCACATGAACTTAAAGTATAATAAAACTTAAAGAACTTAAAGTATAATAAAAAATAAATAAATAAATAAATAAAGCATTAGTCAAGATACGGTGATTTTCCATAGCCAGAATACACAGGTCTGGGAACCAAAGGGAATAAATAAAAATGACCTCAATCACTATTATACATTACATAAGTGTGCTTCCTCTCTCTCAAGCCTTCAGGTTAATGGGTTTGGAAGTGCCAGTACCCAAGGGAAGAATATTTCCACCAGAAAATAGTGGTAATGGTTCTCATTGTCAGGAGATTAGCTGAGTTGGGAGAGCCAGCTGAGCTGCCAGGTGTCATTGTAGCCAATTAAAGTAACAAGTTACAAATGAGTTAAGCCTCTAATCACTTACTAAGATGGTATTAGCAAGAGTCTAAACCAGAGTGCCAACTCCTTATTTTATTTCCTCCTATGGAATGGCACACAAGTTGAGGGTCCAGTGGATCAGTGCAGATGTGGGAGTCATCTCACTATTGAAGGAGCCCTAAATAAAAGGCTCCAGTAGTTTTATGGGCCCTGGAATGGGGAATGGGAGAAAGAAGAGAGCTCAGAGTGAAAAAGTACTAGGTCCTGAGTCAGGGTGTGAAGTGTCTTCAAGGTTTTCCCCTCTTCCTCCTATAAGAAGGTCTCAGCAGAGATGCCTGAGAAAGGCCTCTGCCCAAGGCCTCAGATAGAGAGTCCGGGAGTTAAGCTGTCCAGGCTAGGAAAATAAATACGTAAAGATCATGACTGGCTAGAAGGATCTAAGGCCTTGACTTCAACTCTGTTTCTGTGCACCAAGTCTACAGTGAACAGGGAAGATTTTTATCTGCCAAGTAAACTCTTTGTAATCACCTATGGTCAGGCCTGAAATATCACACGTAGGTTTTTAAGCAAGAGCTGATGAATTAGAAGTTGACACTGCCTGCTGATCATTTCAGGTTCCCCAACATGCTGAACCAAGAGGTAGAGAAACAGATGACCATACTGGGTGGGGTGATTGATCCTGATTGCCAAGATAAAATTGAGTTACTGTTACACACTAGCAGCCAGGAGGACTGAAAATGGACCCAGGTGATTCACTGAGGTCCTTCTAGCATTCCCATTGTCAATAACAAAAGTTAATATAAGACTGAGGCAATTCAATAAGAGTGAACCATTAAGGACTTAGACCCCTGTAGGAATGAAGCTTTGGGTCATCATGCCATGTAAAAATCCTTGCAGATATCAGAGAGTAGAAAGAAGGTGGAATGGGTACGTAAACAAGGCAGATACGATTTATCAATAGAGGCCTGATGATCAGCTACACAAAAGGGAACTATGGTAGCCATGTGTTTTGTATGAATTATTTCCCTCCCTTCATCCTGGTTCATTACAGGAAGAGTATCAGGTCCCCTTAATATTTCTAACTTCGTGAAGTGTGTTCTAGGCAGGAATATGAATAAAGATATATGAACTTGTGATACATTGGCTAATGGGTCTTTGTTTTGAGGATAGGAGTTTCTTCATCTAGGCAAAAGATGAGACTAGGTGCTTCAAGGCAAAGTGGGCATGTAGGGTTTATTTCCAATTTTCCCACACCAAAATCCATCATCCACCCTTCTCTGTTCTTCTCTGTACCCCCATGAGACTGCCTCACCTAGACTCCCTAGCTTCTGGTTGAGTTTGGCCAATTCGAGCAACAGTAAAAGATAAGAGGGTGAGAGGAAAGAGGTTGGGATACTGACTCTCTCCTCACCTAGTCCCCACAGTGCCATGGATTTTCAGGGGCTGCTTTCCTTTACCCATGGCCCAACAGGGTAGCCCCTGTTCTATGGGTTTAACTCTCACTGAGCTGTAGTAATGATGTTATTACTCTTACCCCTTTAGGGCTTAGAGATGTAACAGCTTCTCATTGTTGCTAGCCTCTGAGTGCCCCACTACTCAGGCATTGAAGAGTGTCAGTTCCCTTAACCTTCCCCATACTTTTATACATAGTTCCTTCATTAAATTCCTTTCAGTTAAACCTTTTTGCATATGCACTCTCTTTGCTCTAGAATTCTAGCAAATACACATGAGGATGAGGATTTCTGTGATGTGAGATTTTATGGAGAGATAGGTTTATGGGAAGTTCTAAGATAAGGAAAGTAAAGTTGGAGAGGAATAGATGTCTAGAGAATAATGGCTAAAATCCCTCACAATGTTTCTTTTCTAAACTTCAAAAAGAATGTCACTACTTAGCTTTTTTTCTGGACAGCCATAGGTTAGGCTGGGAATAGTGGCTGGAGAGTCCTAGAACTCTAGGCTTGCAAGCCCCTTTCTTGTTCATGGGTGGAAAAGTTGGAGTAACCTGACCCATCAGAGGGAGACTGTAATACTCTCTTTCTTTATTCTAGCCTCCAATATCTTTCGTGGGCTCATCCTTGTTTGCCTTTCTTTGATTATCTGATGAAAATCAATCTAAATTATTTTACTGACGTCATTGCTATTCCAGTTACAAGAAATTATCCAAGGAAGTTAAATCAGTAAATTTCGAAGGTGAAACTCCAAGTGCTCCTTACATTATAACTCTCTTACTGGGTACAAATTTCAGTTTTTGTGGTGGAAAAGAAACAATGCTTAGTCCTAATGCCCCTTCCCAATAAACTAGTTATACAACTTTGGGAACATTTTCTAATGTATATGAGCTTCATATCGGACTTGTATACCTCTTGCGGTTATTATAGGCTAATGAATATAAATCTTAGATAGGCCAAAAGTGAAAATGCCAAATGCACCCTTAGACTCCTTCTTAGAGGGTGTCAGCTACCACCTACTGTATAGCCAGTTGTTATATGAAATATTCAGTAAATAAATTTATTGAGTACATGTTATATGCCTGGCACTGTGCAGAGCAAGTTATGCACATACCTCTCAAGAAATGAACAAGATATCCAAATGTGAACCCATTTTAAAATTCTTTTGGATGGATTGTTTTGAAGCAATTGCCAGATTCTTGGCCATATTCTTCCTCACTGGGACTCTTGGTCTCACTTTTACATTGAAAAGGCTTAACTACACTTCTAAGCTTATCACAGATGATAACTTATTCCCAGATAACTGGATCTATAATATACCTCCTCCAACATAAATTCATATCATTAAAAGGATTCCAGAAGATCTGATATATACATATCTAGATATGTATATATCATATATATATATACAGGTATATACACCTATATATGTATACAGGTGCCCATTTCACGCACACACACATCTTTCCACTCAGCGATGATTATTATGATTAAAATTTACTGATGACTTATCATGTGTTCAATGTCATTCATTATGCTAGGTGTAGTTTACACATTATTTCATTTAATCCATATAAGCAGCCTATGTAGTAAATTCTGATTCTCATATTTTGCAGATAAGATGTAGTTTAAATGATTCACCCAAGGACACATAGATATAGTAAATGGTGGAGGTGGGATTTGAATTCAGTTTTGTCTGACTCCAAAAGGTGTCCCTGAACACCTTGCTCTACTTCATTTAATAGATGTGGCTGTGTTCCTCATCATATGACCCTCATCCTTCACTGAGCTATGGTTTGGGTAAGGTTTGTTTATCCCTACCAAAAGTTATGTTGAAATTTGATCTTCGGTATGGCGGTGTTGGGAGGTGGGGCCAAGTGGGAGGTGTCTGCATCATGGTGGCAGATCCCTCATGAATGGCTTAGTGCCATTCTCAAAGTAGCGATTAAGTTTTCACTCTGACAGGACAGAATTCGTTCTTGTGGCAATGGATTCGTTTCCTTGAAAGTGCACTGTATTAAAACTAAAATGCCCTTCAGGTTTTGCCTCCTCCCGTGTGTCCACTTCCTCTTTGACTTTCTCTGACATGTTATAATGTAGCACAAAAAGCCCTATCTAGAAACCAAGCAGATGCCAGCACCTCACTTCTTGAACTTCTCAGTTGATAGAACCATGAGTTAAATAGACACGTTTTTTGTATAAACTACCCAATCTCAGGTGTTCTGTTATAGCAACACTAAACAGACTAATGCAGGGTATATGAAAAAATGCTCAACATCACTAATCATCAGAGAAATGCAAATCAAAATCACAATGAAATATTATCTCTTTATCTCTCTCCTGTTAGAATGTTTTTTTATAAAAAGGCAGGCAATAATAGATGCTGGTGAGGATGTGGAGAAAAGGCAATCCTTGTACACTGTTGGTGGGAATGTAAATTAGTACAATCACTATGGAAAATTTTACAGAGGTTCCTAAAGATAAAAATGGAACTACCATATGATCCAGCAATCCCACTACTGGGTATATATCCAAAGGAAAAGAAATCAGTGTATCAGATATGTCTGTACTCCTGTGTTCATTGCAGCATTATTCACAATAGCTAAGACATGGAATTAGCCTGAGTGTCCATCAACAGATTAATGGATAAAGACAATGTGGTATATATACACAATGAAATAATATTTGGCCATAAGAAGAAAATTCTGTCATTCACAATAATATGGAAGAACCTGGAGGACATCATGTTAAGTGAAATTAGGCACAGAAAGACACATACTGCATGATCTCACACATATGTGTAATCTAAATAAGTTGATCTCATAGAAATAGAGAGTAGAATGATGGTTACCAGAGGCTGTGCTGATTGGGAGGGATGGGGAGAGGTTGGTCAAAGGATACAAAATTACAGTTAGGTAGGAGAAATAAATTCAACAGATCTACTTTCAGCATGGTGACTATATTTAAAGATGATGTATTCTTTATTTTTTTAACTTTTATTTTAGATATGGGGGCAGATGAGCAGGTTTGTTAATGGCAGTGAGCATACTACCCAGTAGGTAATTTTTTCAACTCATGCCCCCCGCTCCCTAATTTCCTCCCAACTCCAGCAGCCTGCAGTATCTATTGTTCCTATGCTTATGTCCAGGGGTGCTCAATGTCTAGCCCCCACTTGTACGTTAGAACATGCAGTATTCGATTGTCTAATTGTGCATTACTTTGCTTAAGATTATGTTGTCCAGCTGCGTCCATATTGCTACTAAGGACATGATTTCATTCTTTTATATGGCTGTGTAGTATTCCATTGTGTATATGTACCACATTTTCTTTATACAATCCACCATTGATGGGCACCTAGGTTGAATCCATGTTTTTGCTATCATGAATAGCACAGCAATGAACACATAAGTGCATGTGTCTTTTCAGTATAATGATCTATTTTCATTTGGGTGTATACCCAGTAATGGGATTGTTGAGTCGAATAGTAGCTCTGCTGTAAGCTATTTGAGAAATCTCCAAATTGCTTTCCACAGTGGCTGAACCAATTTACATTTCTGCCAACAGTATATAAGTGTCCGCTTTCTCCACAGCTACACCAGCATCTATTTTTCTGACTTTTTAGCCATTCTGACTGGAGTGAGATGGTATCTCCTTGTGGTTTTGATTTGCATTTCTCTGATGATTATTGATATTGAGCACTTTTTTCATATGTTTTTTGGTCACTTGTATGTCTTCTTTTAAGAAGTGTCTGTCCCTGTTCTTTGCCCATTTTTTTTTCATGATGTTATTTGATTTTGCTTGTTGATTTGTTTAAGTTTCTTATAGATTCTGGATACTAGCCTGTTGTCAGATGCATAGTTTGTGAGTATTTTCTCCCATTCTGTAGGTCATCTGTTAACTCTGTTGATAGTTTCTTTTGCTGAGCAGAAGTTCCTTAGTTTAATTAGGTCCCACTTGTCAATTTTTGCTTCTGTTGTGATTGCTTTTTGGGACTTAGCCAAAAATTCTTTGCCAAGGCTGATGTTGAGAAGAATATTTTCTAGGTTGTCTTCTGTGGTTTTTATAGTTTGAGGCATTACCTTTAAATCTTTAACCCATCTTCAGTTAATTTTGCATATGATGAAAGGTAAAGGTCCAGTTTCATTCTTCTGCATATGGCTAGCCAGTTACCCAGCATCATTTTTTCAATAGCAAGTCCTTTCCCTATTGCTTGGTTTTGTTGGCCTTGTGGAAGAGCTGATGGTTGTAGGTGTGCATCTTTATTTCTGAGTTTTCTATTCTGTTCCATTTGTCTATGTGTCTGTTATTGTACTAGTACCATGCTGTTGTGGTTACTGTAGCCTTATAGTGTATTTTGAAGCTGAGTAGTTCTATTCTTGAAAAAATGCTAAAAGAGGCCGGGCACCGTGGCTCATGCCTGTAATCCCAGCACTTTGGGAGGCCGAGGTGGGTGGATCACTTGAGGTCAGGAGTTTGGGACCAGCTTGACCAACATGGTGAAACCCTGTCTCTACTAAAAATACAAAATTAGCCAAGCATGGTGGCGCACGCCTGTAATCCCAGTTATTCAGGAGGCTGAGGCAGGAAAATCGCTTGAACCCAGGAGGCAGAAGTTGCAGTGAGCCAAGATCACACCATTGCACTCCAGCCTGGGTGACAAGAGAGAAACTCCAACTCAAAAAAAAAGTGCTAAAAGAGTGGATAAGTATTCTTATCACAAAATGATAACTATGTGAGGCAATACGTTAATTAACTAGATTTAACCATTCCACAATATATATATTTCAAAACATCATATTGTTCAAGAAAAATATCTGCACTGCGAAGTTTTTTACAGCACTATATTATCTATCAATTTACAAATAAATACATTTGAACATTCTACCTAAAAGTTCTACTCATCAAAGATTAATTTCTATGAAATGACTAAAACAGATACACATTTGTCACTTTTTCTCAAAAAGTTAAATTTGGTTTGTCATTCTCTGTGACCTGGGAAATGTTATAAAAATTGGATGAGCTAGCTCCAGCATTTTCACAGTTCTCAACTGTGAAAGCATAAATAAAAAAGAGTATTTTCTTCATGTATTGTTGAAATGAAGCATGTAAATGCAGAGAGAGTAAGCAAACTACTTCAAGACCCTTTCAAGCAACCAAAAAAGGACCCAAGTAGTCAATTCCATTCTAAGGAAAAGAGTGAGGCAGTTGCTAACCAGAGACCACAGGCTGACCCAGAGCAGAGACTCCAATGCCTCTGGCTCTGCCAAAAGCAGCAGAGGTAGCACATTGGAAGAGAATATTCCACCTACATTGGAGTGCAGCAAATACAGTGACCTCACAGTGCCATTGTCATGCGTACCAACACACACTCACACCTTTTTACACCTGAACATAGATTTTCAGTAAATTCAACACTAAAAGTATGAAGGAAAGTTCAATGGATAAAGAATGGCCCAGAGACTTCAATTTCCCTTTATGACATACTAGATTATTCAAACAACCTTCCAACACTAAACAACAAAAGATTAATAACAAATATTTTTTAGCTTTTTGAAGATGTGATAACAGAGTAAAGAATTACAAGGTCAAAATCTAAAGGGAAAAAGAAATACACAAGTTTATAAAGAGGTAAACTGAGACCACTTTTGCTAAAGGCATATGCCAGTCTTCTCTATTTTTAACTTGGGTTTTCTGAGGAGGCCAAAGGTCAAAACATAGGGCCCACCCAAAGTGGGAGACATCAGACAGAATAATCTTTTTACTTTAAACTTGGGTTTCAAAGGGCCGCCTCCTCAGTGTAAAGATGAACCATGTGTAAACCTACCACTTTACCCCCCAGATCACTGTAAAGAAAGTTGCCTTAGTACTAAGGGGGAATTCACCCTCAGAAGTAGTAATCATAAGCTAATATTAATAAAGATTCAAAGCCCAACTGGCCAAAGTCTGCATGATCCCAAACACCAAAAGTCATGAATTGAAATTAAAATGGTTCCAGGCTACTAGTGACCCTGGTGCCTGGCAGAAGCAAATGCAATCCTACTCTTGAGAAAAGCTTCACTGCCATAGACATCAAACAATTTCTATAAATAATTTTTAAAGGACAAGAATTAGAACACAACTTAAAAAACTAAAGAAATAAGGAATAATGAGAATGATTAAATAGTAAAAGCAAACAGTAGAAACAGACCTGAAAGACATTAGATATTAGAATTATAGAACAAGACTATAAAACAGCTATATTTTATATGCCTAAAAGTGCAAGTTTGAAAATACATACAGGAAATAGGAAACCATAGAAAAGCAGATGTTTTAAAAGATAAATAAGCTTTCTAAAAATAGACAAAATATGGAAAATAAAAAAAAAAGACTGTAAAAAACACAGAGGCTAGTGGAATAAGTGGGGGAGGGTTGGAAGAAAAAGAAAGAAAGGAAGGCAAGAAGGAGAGAAGGAAGGAGGAAGGAAAGAAGAAAGGAAGGAAGAATATTGAAATAAATGAGAAGATGTACTATGTTCACAGAATAGAAGACTCTCATTGTAATATATTAATTTTCTCAAAGCCAATCTATAGATTATGAGAGGATTTGGTATATTGGATATCAACACTTATTATAAAACTACAGTAATTGAGACAGCATAGCATGAATACACAGAGAAATAAATAGACAAGGTGATCAGAATAGAAAGCCTAGAAATAGACCCACACACATATGGATTCTTTTTTATGTAAAGGTGACATTATACAGCACTGGAGAAAGAATAGCCTTTCCAATAAATGACATTGAATCAATAGGATGTATATCTGCAAAAAAGATGAAATTGGGCCTGTTCCTCATTTTATACATGAAAATAAATTAATTGTATCTTGTAGAGCTAAATATGAATGACAAAACCCTAAACTTTTAGAAATTAATATAGGAGAGTATATTTATAACCTGAAGATAGAAACAAAATTTTAAATAGGACACTAAAATCAATAAGCAATAAAGGAAAATATTATTAAGTTGGAGTACATTAAATAAATAATTTTTATCCAAAGACTTCATTAAAAGAGAGAAAAGGCAAGCAATGCTTTCTTCTTTGCTTTTTATACTTCACTATGCATGTAGTAGAGTGTTTATTAAAAATATAAATCAGATCCCATCACTCCTCACTTACAGCCTTCCAAACTTCTTACGCTAGCCAGCACTTTGTCTAGTATCACTCTCCCTTGTCCATTATAATTCAGCTACACTCCAAATTCCTTTCCTGTCTCTGGAACTTCACACATACTATCTTTCTTCTACTCCTCAAATCCTTCTTTCCTTCAAATTCTTCAGGTATCAGCCTAAATGTCTCCTCCTTAAAAAAACTTTGTTTGACCAACTATTATGAAGTCTATTTCTACATTATTGTATCTTAGAACAACCTTGCTTTTTCTTTCATAGTACTTATAATGTATTTTCATTATATTAATCAGATATTTTACTTGTCCACTGAATTTCTGCCCTATTAGACCTAGATTCCAAAAATGTGTTGAACATGAATGGATAGATGGATGGATGACTGAACAATTCAGAATTTGCTTTTTACATTTGGTGAAAAGTCTCCATTTCCAGACTCCAAATCCAATAATTTTATTTCACCAAGTATCTTTTCTGGTAGGCAAAGGTTTAGTAATTTTTCTGTCCACTCACTGATTCAATCATACATTCAACAAGCGTTTTAGAAGAGGCTATTTGGGTAAGTGGATGGTGGTTAAGCCATTGAATGACCACATTTATGAATGAAAAGAGAAACACAAGGGTATGGTGAGATTCTTATACACTTTAAGGACCCATAGAAATATGATTTGAGGGAGAAGTTTTCTGTATTTCAGTTGTGACTTTCTTTGCAGTTGTAATAGTGAGATAGTAACATGCTGTGTAATGTCAACTACCTTTTGTTCCAAAATTTGCAAATGAGTCATCAGTTATTTCTGTCAAGTTTTCTCAAGTATCATATAACAGCTGTATTTTGGAAATTACATTGTTTACTGAGTTAACTATTATATCTTGTGGTTGTCTGAAAGCGTGAACAATTTTGGCAGCATCTTCCAAATATACTACCTCTTTAGTAGGCATAGGAAACAATTAAGAGAAATTAAAATGTCTGGTGGTTATAAAACATGGCTGCAAATTATTTGACACTCTTCTCATTGAGTGATGGAGTCCATGTCCCCTCCGTTTGATTCTGAGTGGGCTGTGACTTCTTTGATAATTAGAATATGTCAGAAGTGACATTGTGTGACTTCCAAGACCAGTTTATGAAAGGCTAGACCAATCCTTCCTAGTTCTCTTGGAACATTTACTCTCTTTGAAAGCATCATCTCAGGATGCTCTCTTTCAGAAGACAGCTGTCATATTGTAAGAGGCCCCAGTCATATGGCAGGCTACATGTAGGTACTCTGGTCAACAATTTCGGCTGAGTCCAGCCTTCAAGACATCATAGCCTAGGCATTAGATAAATGAGGGAAGAACCCTCCAAGTCATTCCAGTCTTCAGCTATTCAAATTATCCCGGTCATATGTGTTCCCAGCTGAGGCCCCACAACACATGGAACAATCCCCACAGTGTTCTGTCCAAATTCTTGACTCAAGAATCCTTGAGTATAATAAATCAATGGTTGTTGGTTTTGACACTAAATTCAGAGTGTTGTGTAGCAATAATAATTGAAAAAAGGTGATGAAATGAAAATTTTGGCTGAAGCACTGAAAAGTGGCAACATCTTAAATATGGAATTTTAAAAGATAAATAAATAAATAAATGCATTGTAAAAAGATTACAAAGCAGGGTGGGAATGATAGTTTGGAGGCAATAGTCTCATCTTTCAAGGATAAATTATTGGACAATGTCCCTGGGTTATAGGATTGTTCATATTTGATCCATAATTTAGGAAGGATCAAACACTCTATTAGTTTAATTATTTAAAGGTTAGTGTTCTCACATCCTCAGGCATCTCTAACATAGTAATCAGTATAGAAGTAAAAAAAATGTAGCCATAAACAACAACAAAAACAACAAATAAAATAGATTGGTGGATAAATAGAAGAATGAATAGATAGGTAGATACAGCAAGCATGGTGATAAAATAAGTGTAGTAAAAGGTTAATTGTAGAATATGGGCATATGGAGGTATATTATATCTATAGCTGTGTAACAAATAATTCCAAAAGTTAGTGCTTTCAAACAGAAAACTTTCATCACCTCAAAATTTCTGTGGGTCAGAAATCTGAGTATAGTTTAGCTTATCTTCTGGCTCTGTCTCTCACAAGGGCTGCAATCAAGGTGTCACTGCTGCTGCAGTCATTTTAAAGCTTGACAGTAGTAGATCCGTTTCTAAGTTCAAGAGGTTGTTGACAGGGTTCAATGTCTTGCAGAATGTTGGCCAGGGCCTTTCTTGGTTCTTTGTCATATGGGCTTCTCTACAGGTCTACAGGACAGTTTACAACATGGCAGCTGGCTCCCTTCAGAGTGAGTCAGCAAGAGGACAAAATAATGCTAGCAAGATAGAAGTTACAGTCTTCTGTAGCCAAAATGTCACTCTCATATCATCAAGATGAACTTATATTTACTCTTAAAAAGTCAACGAAGCAAGTACAATGGCTTAGAAAGATTTCCAACTGAAAGAGCTCAAAAGTGTTATTGAGCTGAAGGCTATAAACTATAAACTTCAGTTTTCTGAAATATTTCTTTATACGGAAGAGCAGCATTCTGCTGCTTTCCTGAAGAAGACTTCCCTGACCTATGAAGATTCCATCCTTCCTTATTAAACCCCTGCATTTTTGCTTCAGAGTGCTTGCAACCATGGCAATCCACCAAGCCTATGATTCCTACCTAGTGTTACCAGATAAAATATGGACTCTGGTTAAATTGGAATTTCAGATAAATACTTTTTAAAGGGTATGTCCCAAATAATGCATGAGATATATATTTAAAAGTATTCATTGTTTCTCTGAATGTCAACTTTAAGCATCCTATATTTTTATTTTCTAATCTGGCCACCCTGTCCCTCTAGATCTCTCCTGCTGAAGCCCGTGGACCTCCCACGCTCTCTCTCTGATTCCCCTGGGACTTTTCACCTTTCCACCTTGCAAGCCTGAAGGAAAGAGGAGACTGGGGTAGTCCAGGCTCCAGCTGCCAGAGGCTAGACAGGGCTATGGAATTGCTGCTGGCATCCACAATTAGCCCCGGGAGCACATTTTCCCATAGAAACAATAATCTTAATGGCGGCTGGCTTTCTAGTGCTATGGGCCCTATAGTCCAGCCATATTCTTGGTTAAATAGGCCTTTGTGGACTGGCCTGGGAACCTTCTCACCATTTGTAACATTGTTTCCATGGGAAAAATGCTTCTCAAGTTCCAAACAACTGACTTACAAACAAACTTTTGGAACAAAACGCTTTGCTAAATTGGAGAAGGCCTGTAGACTCTCCCAGAGTCATTCAAAGGCTGGTGACTTCACTCCAAGATGTTAGCAAAGTTTGGGCCTGCTTAGCATACCAAAGGGAGGCCACTGGGTTTGCTAAAGAAACTTTAATAAGCAAACAGACGAGATTGACAGATCCATAATAGACAAGCTGACTCTGTCTTTGATTGGCTCCATAGACGAGCATTTACACTGAATGATTTCCTTTAATCAAACACATGCCTTATCTGGACAGGCAGGACACTTATCCAACTAAGTGGGTGGCTATTAAGGAGATGGCAGGTACTCTGTATCTAATTGTACATTTAGCACCCTTTCACATACACCAACGTGCCAGAGGAAAGACAAGCTTATTTTTTCCCTCTATTGTCTGATACTTTCAATGTTTCATTGGTTCGTTCACCTTGATGAAAACAGAGCAATTACGCAGCTTTCATCTGCTTCTTTGAAAGGCATATGGAAAATTCTGCTTTCAAGAAAAAATTATTAATTCCACAAAAGTACTTCAAGGCATTCTGAGATGTGGTCCCCCATATTGCTGAAATTACATGCAGTGCTGCAGCATTTGCATAACAAATGTGACAGAACGGTTACTTAAGAGACTAAAACAGGAGGACTGAAATGTATAGAGATACCTCATTTCTCATTAATTATTATTCGAAATGAAATGTAATGCCACTAGCTGTAGTATGCCAGAAGTATAAGAAGGAAATATATCGTCATGTATTTAAAAATCCTTACAGAGTATAAAAATAATTAAGAAATTATGACACTACTGATCTTTTAGAAGCAATGTAGCCACCTGTTCATTCCTTTATTAATCACCAATTTTCTTCCTCTTTAACACTGCACATTAAAGATTATTAAAGGGAAGAATACAAAAATAGAGGTAGGGAGAGATAATTTATATTATGTAGCAAAAGTATATTAAAACGTATCAGTTTAATTAAGACTTTCACTAGGAGAGAAAGTCATATTTTTGGTCTGGTTTATAACAACATATAATTCGACTTAAAAGAATAGCAATGCATATTAATAATTATTATTGTTGGTATTATTAATTTGCTCTAAAATTAGCTGTAAGTGATTCTTTTTTCTCCTTTGAGCAGCAAGCAATCCCTATCATAAAACTGTGTTTACTGGGTGGTTGAGAGAGATGCATTCAGTCAGGGCTGTAAATAGGAGGACGGTAGTGAGATTCTCAGGGGGAATGATGGGGTAGGGTGCTGCCTGTGCGGGAAAGCTTGGTCCATATGTCCCAATCAGCTGAGTTTCTGCCTTAGAAACTGGTGTGTGACCCTCATAGCTACCGGGCAGACATTGATGCCACAGGGGGCAGCAACAAAGGCCCGTTTAAAGACGCTGGAAAGGAAAGTGGAAGTTAGAGTCACAAATCGCTATTCAAGTTCTAAACGGGCAATTTTTTTTTATCATGTAACCCTGAGCCAGTCAGATTCAATTACTTTTTTTTTTTCTTTCAAAATCTTTCCAGGCTTTATTAAAAATATCCCAAAGGTCTTGATTGTTATTTTTAAAACTATGAATTTGGAAACTGCTTGTTAACAAAATAAAGCAATCAACATAATCATTTATTCTGGTAATAATTATCATATAAACATTAAATTGTTTTATTGGTTGAATTGTGAGAACTCTAGCTATCACTGCTTATTCACAAACTTGATTTTTAATTTTATTTTTAAAGTTAACATAAAGTAAAATTGACTTTTGGGGGTGTATAGTCCTATGAATTTTAACACGTGTATATTTGTGTAACTACCAACACAATAAAGAAACAGAATAAATCCATCACCCCATAAAACTTCCCCCTGCTATTCCTTTATAGTAACAACTCTCCTACCCCTTTACAGTGGCACTCTCTCCCACCCTTCCCTGGCAACCACCGATCTGTTCTCCATCACTATAATTTTGTCTTTTCAAAAATGTCACATAAGTGGAATCGTACAGTATACCACCTTTTGAAACTGTCTTCTTTCACTCAGCATGCCTTTGAGATTCATCCAAGTTACTGTGCTTAGCTAAAGTTCTCCCCTTTAATGGTTGTGTGGTATTCCATTGCATAAATGTACCACAATTTGTTTAACCAATCATTTACCCATTGAAGAACATTTGGGTTGTTTCCAGGTTTTGGTGATTATAAATATATCTGCTATGATCTGTGATTATGCGTAGGCTTTTGTGTGAACACAAGCTTTTATTTCTCTAGGAAAGAGTGATTAACTGAGTCATATAGTAAGGATAAATTTAACTTTATAAGAAATTGACACTCTATTTTCTAGAGCAACTGCACCACTTTGCTTTCCCACCAGCAATGTGTGAGAGTTTCAGTCGCTTTGCGTTCTTGTCAGCACTTCATAGTGTGAATATTTTTTATTTCAGCCATTCCAATAGGTTTGTAATGGTATTTAATTGTAGTTTTCATTCAAATTTCCCTCATGCGCAATTGTATTGAACATCTTCATGTACCTATTTTTCTGTGCTTCATGTGCTTCATCTGTGTATTTTCATCCGTGATGTGTTTGTTGAAGCATTTTGCCCACTTCTTTTCAATTAGGTTATTTCCTTAGTGTTGAGTTTTGAGAATTTCATATGTATTTGCATACATATCTTTTGTCAGCTATGTGGTTTGCAAATATTTTCTCCCAGTCAGTAATTACCTTTTAATTATCCTGACAGTGGCTTTGACAAAGAAAAATGGTTAATTTTGATGGAGTCTGATCTATCATTTTTTTCTTCTTTTATAGATTTTTGTGTGTGTGTTCTGTCTCAGAATTCTTTGCCTAAGTCCAGATTACAAAAATTTTCTGTTTTTCCCAAAAGTTTTGTTGTTTTAGGTTTTACATTTAGATATATGATACATTGTCTGCAAATTTCGGTATAAAGTATGAAGTTTAGGACAAGGTTTATTGTTTTACCGATGGATGTCCAATTAATCACTATCATTTGTTGAACAGGCTATCCTTCCTCCATTGACTTGGTTTTGTATCTTTGTCAAAAATCAATAGGTAACATCTCTTACCTGAAACAGAGATCAACAAACTGTGACCCACAGGCCAAATCTCGGTCACCACTAATTTTTGTAAATACAGTTTTATTGGAACACAGACATATCCACTTGTTTATGTATTGTTTATGGCTGCTTTCATGCTGCAAGAGAAGAGTTAAGTAGTTGTCACAGAGACCATATGGCTTGCAAAGTTGAAACTATTTTCTATCTGTTCCCTTACAGATAAAGCTTGCCCCTTGTCTAGATTACTAAAGCAGCCCCTATAGTACAATGAGCAGGACTATCAGACAATGACTTTGGCTGTACATTTTGGATTGCCTGGAGAATGAACTAGTAGGAGCTGGGGTTCTGACTTCTCCTAGGGGAAGGGGCTGCACCAAAACTCAAGTTCCCATGGGACTGGTGCCTTTTTCACTGTAGCAATGAAGACTGTAACATTCCATGGGTAATTGGCATTCCCAGACAACTCTTGTAAATCACCGCCACCTCAAATCCAAACTGCCTGTTGCTCAGCAGCTTGTATATTCCCCCATTGATATGACTGCTTCTTCACATTTACCCAATAAAAAGGGGGCCTAGCAATGGGGTATGTTCTCCTTACTAAGACCCAGTAGTGCTCTGGCTCTTGGCTTGCCTCTTCATGGGATGACAGGAGGATGGAGAGTCTGTGATTTATTTTTTTTTCTGGCTGTTCTGGACCTGCAAATTTATTTTTCTCAATAAAGCCTATCCCTTAACCTACACTATGTGACTGTGAAGTTTACCCTGAAGGGTTATGCATGACAGGGGATCACCCGGATGAGATCCATCTGGCATGCCAGTTGGGGCACCAGAGAGACCCACCTACCACAACAGTCTCCTAACTCACCTCCCTGCACCCACATTGATTCTCTTTCAATTTCTTATTCACACTGCAGCTAGTGTGGGTCTTTCTAAACAAACCTGTCGAGTTACCCACCTTCCCCCACCAACCCAATTTAAGACATTTCAATGGCTTCCCATTGGTCTTAAAATAGAGCAAAATCGTACACATAGCTTAATATGACAACATGGTCTGGCCTTTACCCTTCTCTCCAGCCTTATCTTCCACTATTCTTTCCTCTCTGATCTCCAGCCAAACAGTATTTTGTCAGTCACTTATAATAAATATGTTCCCTCCTGCTAGTAGGCACATCCTATTCCATCTAGCTGGAATGCTTTACCCTTTGCCTCTCCTATTCTTGAGTATGAATCAAATGTTTCTTCCCCAGTGAGGGCTTTTCTCAACCCCTAGTCACATTCCCATAGCATCAGGAAATCTAGGAAATATTTTACACTCATTTGTATGAGTACGTGGTTAGAGTCTGTTTTCCTCACTAGACTATAAGATTCATGTCTCTTTTTGGTCACAAGGAGCCTAGTTTATAATGCCTGTAATAAAATGGGTGTTCAATAATATTAGTTGAACATACTATTTTAAGTATAACATAGAAAAAGCTAAGCCTCAAAGAGCACATATTGTATGATTCTGCTTATATGAAATGTCCAGAAAAGACAAATCTAAAAAGAAATAACGTAAATTAGTGATTGCCTAGGGCTGGAGGAAGGAATGGTGATTAAATGTAAACTGGCATGAAGAATTTTACTGAGGTAATGGAAATGTTCTAAAACTGCACAACTCGGTAAATTTATGAAAAAATCATTATATTATAAATTTAAATTCCTGTATATAGTTGGGTCCTATAGCTTTTCAAGTTTATTCTGACAATCTCTTTTAATATGTATGTTTAAACCATTTGTATTTAATGTAATGGCTGATAGGTTTGGATTTGAATTCATCATTTATTATTTGTTTTCTTTTGGTTTTCTCTATTTTTCATCCATTGGTTTTCACGCTTCTGTCTTCTTTAGGTTTATTTGAACATAAGATATGCATGTCAATTTATCTACTGTGTTTTTGATTACACATCTGTGATTCTTTTTTAATTCGTTGCTCTAGTAATTACAATATACATTTTAACTTTTTATAGTCTACTTAGAACTAATCAATTGCCCCTTCAAAGGAATATAGAGCTCTCATCATCATATTGGTCCTTTTACCCTCCCCCATTTTATATTATATTAATAGTTGAGTTCTGTATTACACCTTTGTACATTAAAACCCAATCGGTGTTATAAGTTTTGATTTTTTTTTTTAGATGTAGTCTCACCCTGTTGCCCAGGCTGGAGTGCAGTGGCATGATCACAACTGACTGCCACCTCAAACTCCTGGGCTCAAGTGATCCTCCCACCTCAGCCTTCCGAATAGCTGGGACTGCAGGAACACACCACCATGCCCAGGAAAATGTTTTAATTTTGTAGAGACAGAGTCTCACTATGTTGCCCAGGCTGGACTTGAACTCTTGGGCTCAAGTAATCCTCCTGAACCAGCCTCCCAAAGTGCTGGGATTATGGGTGTGAGCCACTGTTCTCAGCAACTCTTGATTTCAACTCTTGAATATATTTTAAGAATCAAGATAAGAATAGTCTAATTATCATTTATGTTGCACTTCTTTCATTCTGGGTGTTTCATATTTCCTTCAGGTATCATATCCCTCTCGGAGTAAAGAACTCTTAGCAAATCTTCAGAGCAGTTATACTAGAAATTAATTCTCTTACTTTTCCTTCATTTGAGAATATCTGTATTTTACGTTTGTTTTTTCTGAAGTATATTTCCACCTACAATTCTGGAATGGCACTCTTTTCTTTTAGAACTTAAAAAAATGTTTTGAACTTTCATTCTAGCCTAAATGGTTTCTGATGAGTGTCAAACATTCCCTGAGCAGTAACATTGTAGCAACTATTATGTTGGGTTGTTACAGTTCCACAGATTCAGCTAGTAAGGAGACAGCAAGTCCAAATAGAGTTAGACAGTTGTACTCACACTGATAGCATAAGCAAGATCAGCATGGTGTCAACTATCTGCATCCCTATTCCCACAGGATGACACTGAACTGGGTGGACCAGATGATCAACAATAT
This sequence comes from Homo sapiens, assembly GCF_000001405.40. NCBI lineage: Eukaryota > Metazoa > Chordata > Mammalia > Primates > Hominidae > Homo > Homo sapiens. The sequence goes on from NC_000023.11 coordinate 149,108,167, forward strand.
AAGCTGAGGATTGCTCTGTCATGTAACAGCCAACTCTAGACTTTAGTTAAAGGGGAGGAGGCAAGGTGAATAGCCCTACACTTCACCAGAATCAGGGAGTTAGGATGAGGACCTTGCTCATGGCAGCCTCTCAAAAAATAGGGAGGCAAGTGAGAAACTTGCAATCACTCCTAATATGTTGCCTATCATACCATGTTTCAGAAAGATCACAGGATTAGGTCAAGGTATGGTTTAGCCTTGCCTGTGGAACCTCTGTGGAAATGTGCAAGATGGTCAGAGTGCCATGGTGGAGCTGTTCCACTGCGATAAGAAATTCACAGACAGGCAAGTCATTGTTTCCTTATAACTCAAGTATTATATTTGTCTGGCTACAGTTGAGAATTTTTTCTTTATCTTTAGTTTTCAGAAGTTTTAATATGATATGCTTGGGCCTGGATTTTTTTTAGACTTAACTTGTTTAGATTTCACTAAGCTTCCTAGATCTGTGGGTTTATGTCTTTTATCAAACGTGGGCATTTTTCAGTCGTTATTTCTTCAAATTTTACCTGCATCACATTCTTTATTCTCTATTTGTGGGAATCCTATAACTTCAATCCCTCTTATCAGAAAAATAGATTTCCCTTTTGAAACCACCTTTGAAAAGTCTATGACAGTGAGAGAAATCCAACATGGCTAGCTCCTTCTTGGTTCTAGCTTCACAGGCTGGCTGTCTTCACTCATTCCTGGGCATTGGCCAAGCTAACTAAGCAAGGAATTTAGATTATGGTTTCACTTGGAAGAAAGAATTATAATAGTCCCTTCCTAAAACTAATCCCCTCTATGTTTGGGGGCTGAAACAATCTTCATAAAACTAATGAAAGACCACAAGATTAGATTATGGGAAGGACGTAATTCTGCTAAAATATAGGCACATTTTCTATAATCTCTTACTGCTCAAGAGTCAATATGGCCAGACGTTATAAGATTTTTGACTTCCTTCCTCAATTGCTTCTATATATAACATCATTATTATAGAACCTCAGATTGGTCTTTTGAGATTTTTTTCAGACTTTTGCATTCTGGCAACTGACTCACCCCACCCAGACACAAGACTCAACTACTCCTATGGCCTCTACCCAGAGGTAGACTCATTGCATGAAGACCATTTTCTACACCCCATGACTGTGTCCCCAACCAATCAGCAGCACCCATTCCCTAGCCCCTTGCCTACCAAACTATCCTTGAAAAACTCTAACCTCTGAACCTTCATAGAGACTTACTTGAGTGACAACTCCAGGATTGCCTCTTGGTGGCCTTGTGTTAATTAAACTCTTTCTTGAGCAGGAGTTTCTACTCTTATATCAGATAAAAGGCTTTAAAACAACAAAAATTAAAGACAAGGAAGGGCATCACATAAGGGTAAACAAGGATAAAGATAAACAAGAAGACATAACTATCTTAATTATATATGAACCTAACAGAGCACCCTGATTCATAAAACAAGTTCTTCTTGGCCTATGAAAAGACATAGACAACCACACAATAATAGTGAGAGCCTTCAACATCTCCACTGAAAGCTTTAGACAGATCATCAAGGCAGAAAACTAAACTAATAAAGAAGCTCTAGACTTAAACTCGACACTTGACCAATTGAACCTAATAGACAGCTACAGAACACTCCACCCAAAAACCACAGCATATACTTCTGATCTGCACATGGAACATATGCTAAGATCAACCACATGACCAGTCATGAAGCAAGTCTCAATAAATTCAAAAGCATTGACATTGCACCAAGCACACTCTCAGAACACAGTGCAAATGGAGAAAAAGGATATTAGAGTTTGAAAGAAAAAAACAGGCATTGCATTTCCACTCTCTGACAAAACAGACTTTAAACCAACAAAAATCAAAAAATACAAAGAAGGGCATTATGTAATGGTAAAGGGAACAATTCAACAAGAAGAGCTAACTATTCTGAAAATACATGCACCCAATACAGGAGCACCCAGATTCATAAAACATGTTCTTAGAGACCTACAAAGAGACTTAGACTCCCACACAATAATAGTGGGAGACTTTAACACCCCACTGTCAGTATTAGACAAATCAATGAGACAGAAAATTAAAAGGGATATTCAGGACTTGAACTCAGCCCTAGATCAAGTGGACCTAGTAGACGACTACAGAACTCTCTACCCCAAATCAACAGAATATACATTCTTCTCTGCGCCACATGGCACTTACTCTAAAATTAACTGCATAATTGGAAGTAAAACACACCTTCACAAATGCAAAAGAACTGAAATCATAACAAACAATCTCTCAGACCACAGTGCAATCAAATTAGAATTCAGGATTAAGAAACTCACTCAAAACCACACAATTTCATGGAAATTGAACAACCTGCTCCTGAATGACTCCTGGGTAAATAATGAAGTTAAGGCAGAAATCAAGAAGTTCTTTAAAGCCAATGAGAACAAAGAGACAACATACCAGAATTTCTGGGATGCAGCTAAAGCAGTGTTAAGAGGGAAATTGATAGCACTAAATGCCCACGTCAGAAAGCTAGAAAGATCTCAACATCACAGTTAAAAGAGCTAGAGAGGCAAGACCAAACTAATCCAAAAGCTGGAAGAAGACAAGAAATACCTAAGGTCAGAGAAGTATTGAAGGACATAGAGACATGAAAAACCCTCCAAAAAATCAACAAATCCAGGAGTTGCCTTTTTGAAAAAAATAACAAAATACATAGACCACTAGCTAGACTACTAAAGAAAAGGAGAGGGAAGAATCAAATAGACACAAAAAAAATGATAAAGGGGATATAACCACTGATCCCACAGAAATACAAACTACCATCGGAGAATACTATAAACACCTCTACACAAATAAACTAAAAATCTAAAAGAAATGGATAAATTCCTGGACACATACACCCTCCCAAGACTAAACCAGGAAGAAGTCAAATCCTTGAATAGACCAATAACGTTCTCTGAAATTGAGGCAGTAATTAATAGCCTACCAATCAAAAAAGGCCCAGGACCAGACAGATGCAGAGCTGAATTCTACCAGAAATACAAAGAGGAGCTGGTACCATTACTTCTGAAACTATTCCAAACAATAGAAAAAGAGGGACTCCTCCCTAACTCATTTTATGAGGCCAGCATCATCCTGATACCAAAACCTGGCAGAGACACAACAAAGAAAGAAAATTTCAGGCAATACTATTCAAGAGACAGGCATGGGCAAAAATTTTATGATGAAATCACCAAAAGCAATTGCAACAAAAGCCAAAATTGACAAATGGGATCTAATTAAACTAAAGAGCTTCTAGGCATAGCAAAAGAAACTATCAGAGTGAACAGGCAACTTTACAGAATGGGAGAAAATTTTTGCAATCTACCCATCCGATAAAGGTCAGATATCCAGAATTTACAAGGAACTTAAACATGTTTACAAGAAAAAAACAACCCCATCAAAAAGTGGGCAAAAGATATGAAGAGTCACTCCTCAAAAGAAGACATTTACATGGCCAACAAACATATGAAAAAAAGCTCAACATCACTGATGATCATAGAAATGCAAATCAAAACCACAACGAGATAGCGTCTCACAGCAGTCAGAATGGCGATTATCAAGAAGTTAGGAAACAATAGATGCTGGCAACGCTACAGAGAAGCAGGAACCCTTTTACACTGGGAATGTAAATTAGTTCAACCATTGTGGAAGACAGTATGGCAATTCCTCAAGGATCTAGAACCAAAAATACCATATGACCCAGCAATCCCATTACTGGGTATATACCTAAAGGAATATAAATCATTCTACTATAAAGACACATGCACATGTATGTTTATTGCAGCACTATTTACAATAGCAAAGACATGGAACCAACCCAAATGCCCACCAATGATAGACTAGATAAAGAAAATGTGTTACATATACACCATGGAATACTATTCAGCCATAAAAAGGAATGAGATCATGTCCTTTGCAGGGACATGGATGAAGCTGGAAGCCATGATCCTCAGCAAACTAATACAGGAACAGAAAACCAAATGCCGCATGTTCTTACTCATAATTCAGAGTTGAACATTAAGAACACATGAATGCAGAGAGGGGAACAACACAAACCAGGGCCTCTTAGCAGGTAGTGGGTGAGGGGAGAGAACTTGGAGAATCAGTAAGTGCAGCAAACCACCATGGCACACGTATACCTATGTAACAAACCTGCACATTCTGCACATGTATCCCATTTATTATTTTAGAAGAAATGAAGGGGAAAAAAAGACTAACAAAGTAAAAAAAAAGAGAGAAGATCTAAATAAGTACAATCAGAAATGACAAAAATGACATTGCAACTGATCCCACAGAAATACAAAATATCCTCAGAGAATACCATGAACAATTCTGTGCACACAAATTACTACCTCCAGAGGAAATGGATAAATTCCTGGAAACACATAATCTCCCAAGATGGAATCAGGAAGACATTAAAACCCTGAGTAGACCAATATTGATCTATGAAATTGGATCAGAAAAAACAAACCTACCAACCACAAAATGCCTGGATCAGATGGATTCACAGCCAAGTTCTACCAAATGCATCAAGAAGAACTAGTACCTATCCTACTGCAACTATTCCATAAAATTGAGGAGAAAGACCTCACTCATTCTATGAGGCCAGCATCAGCTTAATACTGCAAAAATCTGGCTGCGACACAACAAAAAAGGAAAATTCAGGCCAATATCTCTGATGAACATAGGTGTAAAAATCCTCAACAAAATATTAGCAAATCAAATCCAGCAGCACAACCAAAAGTTAATACACCATGATCAAGTAGGCTTTATTCCTGAGATGCAAAGCCAGTTTGACATATGCTCATCAAGAGATGTGATTCACCACATTAAACATAATTAAAACAAAAAACATATTATCATCTCCATAGATACTGAAAAAGCTTTAGATAAAATCCAGCAACACTTCACAATAAAAACCCTCAAAAAAACTAGGCATCAAAGTGTGTCTGGAATTGGTGGGTTCTTGGTCTCACTGACTTCAAGAAGGAAGCCACGGACCCTCGCAGTGAGTGTTACAGTTCTTAAAGATGGTGTGTCCAGAGTCTTGTTCCTTCTGATGTTCAGACGAGTCCGGAATTTCTTCCTACTGGTGGGTTCGTGGTCTCACTGACTTCAGGAGTGAAGCTGCAGACCTTCGCAGTCAGTGTTACAGCTCTTAAACGCAGCACGTCTGGAGTTGTTCGTTCCTCCCAGCCGGAGTTATTCGTCCCTCCCAGTGCGTTCCTGCTGTTGCTGGCTTCAGGAGTGAAGCTTCAGACCTTCACAGTGAATGTTACAGCTCATAAAGGCAGCGCAGACCCAAAAAGTGAGCAGCAGCAAGATTTATTGCGAAGAGCAAAACAACAAAGCTACCACTGCGTGGAAGAAGACCTGAACAAGTTACTGCTGCTGGCGCGGGTGGCCTGCTTTTATTCCCTTATCTGGCCCCACCCACATCCTGCTGATTGGTCCATTTTACAGAGAACTGATTGGTCCATTTTACAGAGAGCTGATTGGTCCGTTTTGATAGAGTGCTGATTGGTGCGTTTGCAAACCTTTAGCTAGACACAAAAGTTCTCCAAGTCCCCACCTGATTAGCTAGACACAGAGCGCTGATTGGTGCATTTACAAATCCTTAGCTAGACACAGAGTGCTGATTGGTGCGTTTATAATCCTTTAGCTAGACAGAAAAGTTCTCCAAGACCCCACCCATCCCAGAAGCCCAGCCGGCTTCACCTCTCACTGGCACTGGCCATGGGACTTTGCAGCACCTAGCTCAGGCAGTCTGGTAGCCCAGAGGGAGCTCATCCGGGACAACCAAGAGGAAAAGAGGGGAAGCGAGAAAGAGACAGAGACCCGCCATCATGGCCAATGACCCCGCGAAGAGGGAACAGCAGTCCACACACAGGACCCAGCCTCCCATCAAGCCCAGCAGGTGCTGGACCCAGCCTCCAATCAAGCCCAGCAGGCGCCTGGCCTGCACACTGAGTGTGGGCCCGCTGAGCCCAGCCCACCAGGAACCCCTGCCGGCCCACAAGGGCCGGGCGCAGCCCCGGCTCCCGCCCACGCCTCTCCCTCCACACCTCCCTGCAAGCAGAGGGAGCAGCTCTGGCCTGGGCTGGTCCCAGAGAGGGGCCCCCACAGCGCAGCAGTGGGCTGAAGGGCTCCTCGAGCACAACCAGAGTGGACACCCAGGCCGAGGAGGCGCTGACAGTGAGGGAGGGCTGCTAGCACGTTGTCACGTCTCAAAAGGAACATACTTCAAAATAGTGAGCCATCTATGACAAACCCATAGCCAACATCATATTGAATGGGCAAAAGTTAGAACAATTCCACTTGAGAACTGGAACTAGAAAAGGATGCCCACTCTCACAACTCCTATTCAACATAGTACCAAAAGTCCTAGCCAGAACAATCAGGGAAGAGAATGAAATAAAAAACATCCAAATAAGAAATGAAGTCAAACTATCTGTCTTTGCTGATGACATGATTTCATGCCTAGAAAGCTGCTAAGACTCTTGACTAAAAGCTACTAGAATTGATAAATAATTTTAGCAATGTTTTAGGATACAAAATTAATGTACAAAAATCAGTAGCATTTCTATACACCATTAACATCCAGGCTGAGAGTTCAGTCAGGAACACGATCCCATTTACAATAGCCACACACACACAAAAAAAATACCTAGGAATATAGCTAACCAAGGAGGTGGAAGATCTCTACAAGAACTACAAAACACTGCTGAAAGAACTCAGATATAACACGAATAAACAGAAAAACATTCTAGGCGCATGGATTGGAAAAATCAATATTGTTAAAACGGCCATACTGCTCAAAGCAATTTAGAGATTCACTGCTGTTCCCATCAAGCTACTGACGTCATTCTTCACAGAATTAGAAAAAACTATTCTAAAATTCATATGGAGCCAAAAAAGAGCCTGAATAGCCAAACAGTCCTAAGCAAAAAGAACAAAGCTGGAGGCATCACACTACCCAATTTCAAACTGTACTATAAGGTTACAGTAAGCAAAACAGCAAGGTGCTGATACAAAAACAGACACAAAGACAAACAGAACAGAATAGAAACCTCAGAAATAAAGACACACACCCACAACCATCTGATCTTTGGCAAGGCTGACAAAACAAATGGGGAAAGGACTCCCTATTCAATAAGTGGTGCTGGAATAATTGGCTAGCCATATGCAGAAGAAGGAAACTGGACTGTTACCTTTAACCATATACACAAATTAACTCAACATGAATTAAAGATTTAAATGTAAGACCTCAAACAATAAAAATCCTAGAAGAAAACCTTCTCAACATCAGCCTTGGCAAAGAATCTTTGGCTAAGTCCGCAAATCCAATAGTAACAAAAACAAAAATTGACAGGTGGTACCTAATTAAACTAAATAACTTCTGCATGGCAAAAGAAACTATCAACAGAGTAAACAGACAATCTACAGAATGGGAGAAAATATTTGCAAATTAAGCACCCAAAAATGGTCTAGTATCCAGAATCTACAAGGAACTTAAATCAACAAGCAAAAAACAAATAACCCCATGAAAACATTGGCGAAGGACACAAACAGACACTTCTCAAAAGAAGATATACAAGAAACCAAGAAACATGAAAAAATGCTCAATATCACTAATCATCAGAGAAATGAAATCAAAACCACAAGGAAATACCATCTCACACCAGTCAGAATGCTTATTATTAAAAAGTCAAAAAACAACAGCAACCAACAAACAGATGCTGGCAAGGCTGTGGAGAAAAGGGAATACTTATATACTGTTGGTGGGAATGTAAATTAGTTCAGTTACTGTGGAAAGCAATTTGGAAATTTCTCAAAGAACTTAAAACAGCTACCATTCGATTCAACAATCCCATTATGGGGTATATACCCAATGGAAAATAGATAATTATACCAAAAAGACATATACATTTGTATGTTCATTGCTGTGCTATTCATGACAGCAAAGACATGGAATTAACCCAATGTGTCCATCAATGGTGGATCCTATACAGAAAATGTAATACATATACACCAGGGAATACCATGCAGCCATAGAAAAGAATGAAATCCTGTCCTTTGCAGCAACATAGATGGAGCCAGAGTCCATAATCCTAGGTAAATTAGCACAGGAACAAAAAAACAAATCCCATATGTCTCACTTATAAGTGGGAGCTAAACATTGAGCATAAATGGACATAACATGGACCTAAACATATGTCCATAACGTGGACATAAACATGGGAACAACAGACACTACAGATTACTAGATGGGGGAGGAAAGGAGGAGGGCAAGGGCTAAAAAATTACCTATTGGTACTATGCTCACTACCTAGATGTGATATACCCACGTAACACAACTGCACATGTACCCACTGTATACAAAATAAAAGTTGAAATTTAAAAAATACATACATAAGCTCTTTCTCCACTGCAAAACCACAGTCTCCGTGAATTGGTTTTGTCCATGCAGTGGGCAGGAAGAACCCATCAAGTAATTACACTTTCTCACAGTTTTCAGCACCTGGAGCCTTGCTGACATCACTGTTATTATCACCACTACTACTGTGGGACTGTCTGGGGGCTGAGAAGGAAAAGAAGAAAAAAAAAGTAAAATGAATCCTACTGCCTCTGAATATTAGTTATCCACTTTCCTGCTTCTTAAACCAGAACTATGTTTTTCCTGCAGTTCTGTCTAGGTCCCTACCTTGGACTCAGGACTGGAGATACTGGAGGGAAAAAATGGGAAACTCACCAACAGTTGGTTGGTACTTCAAATTCTCATCTTCCTCATCAATCTTCCTGCTACCATTTACTTTTCAAAGCTCTCACTTAGCTGCTGCAGGTAATCTGTTTAAATTTTATAACTGTATTCACTAAGAAAGACAAGGTAGAGTATGGTTACTCCATCTTAACTCTTGAAGCCAGGACTTTCTCAGCCTCAATTTTGTCACCTGAGAACTGAAACCATCAGTGGTTACACAGCATAATTGCATTAAGAACGTGATCTTACTATTCCAGGAAATTCTTATCTGAGAAGATGAAATTGTATATAATTTTTGGTTGTTTCAGGGACTTCCTAAAAATTCAAATATTTGAACAAAAGAACACTCATCTAATTCTCATCAGGGCAATGGGCCCCTTCTCAAATTGCCAAGTCATTCCGTGCACTTTTTTTGTTATTGCTACACTTCAAGGCTTGCTTCAAAACTCTTACCTCACTGTGTTCATCAGTTCCAAATGATTGAAATATCACAAATTATTCCAATCCTAATCATGCTCCAGCATTAAATTATCTATTCTAAATCAGACCCCCAGAGTCTTATGCATATCTTACTATTGACTACCCCTTCTAGACATTACTAAGACAGGCAAATACTGATATCTCTTATTGCAGTATGAGATAAATGGACTTAGCCTGATCAATCAAAACATTATTATGGTGTGTGTATCATAATACATATAATATATAATATATATGTGTATATATATATATATATATATATATTCTCTTTTTCTGGAGAACCCTAACTGGGACGCATACCATTATATATACATATGTGTATGTGTGTGTGTGTGTGTGTGTGTGTGTGTGTGTGTGTATATATGTATGTGTATGTATATATATATATTTGTGTGTGTACCAGTTATATGTATGTGTGTTTGTGTATGTGTGTGTGTGTGTGTGTGTGTGTGTGTGTATAAAACAAGGAATTGACCTGCCTGATTATGGAGGCTAAGTGCCATAATCTGCTGTCTAAAATTTGGAGACCAAGGGAAGTTGATGGTGTAATGTCAGTCCAAACTTGAAGGCTTAAGAACTGGAAGACTAACGGTGTAAGTCCTGGCCTGAGTCCAAAGGCCTAAGAACCGGCTCTGATGTCTGAGGATAGGAGAAGACAGATGTCTCCACTCAAGCAGATAGGAAATTCTCCCTTCATCTACCTTTTTCCTCTATTCGATGGATTGGATGATGCCCACCCACATTGGTGAGGGTGGATCTTCTTTACCAATTGATCGACCAGTTCAGTCTACCAATTCAAATGCTAATCTCTTCCTGAAACACCCTCACAGACACACCCAGAAATAATGTTTTGCCAGCTATCTGGGCATTCCTTAGCCTACCCAATTTGACACATACAATTAACCATCACAGATGTTTGTGTGTGTGTGTTTGTGTGTGTGTTTGTAGAAGTCAGCAATTGACAGACCTATCCAAAAATATTCTTGTGGGACCAATTTAGCAATTGAAAACACTTACCAGTTCCTCTACTTTCACAAAAATAGTTTAGACAAATCACTAAAGATCTTAACAAGAGTTTATATATCACAAATGAGAGACATGAAAATTACCCAGTTTATTTACACCTGCCAACCTTTATGGACTAGAAAGTTCCCTGGATCTCACCATCCCAGCATTGTCAATAAGAAGTTTTCCATTTGTTTTGCCTTGTTACACATGATACCCAGAAGACAATTTTATTTTTCTACGTCCACTTCTATGTTCAACAACTTTCCTATATTAGAGTCATGTGGTTAGCTCCCATCTTCTGAGTCTCTCTCAAGCTCCCAGACACCCACCTCAAAACACTTAACTTCTGTACCTTTTTTCTTTGAACCAATGTTCCTTGTTTTCATACGTACAAAACTATCACCTGTTCTGTAGAGAACCAAACCATAATTATTGGATGCTTGAACTATAAATGCCACACACTAGTGTGTTAATATAGGTATGTGTGTAGTTAAATAAATATGTCTGAGCTAAAGGAAGAAAAATAACTCATTTGCCCTTAATCCAATTTATTTCCAGGCTATATGACTTGTCTGCTTTTTTAAAAATTTTGCCTAATATCTCAAAGGCTCTTCTCCCCTTTTTGCTTTTTATTTTAAACAAGACTGACATTAATGTCTTTAAAAGTATCATGTAAATATGTTATGCATGGTGTAACCAAAATGTGAGGCATTGCGATTTTAGAAACTGTGTCTTTAAAATTTTCCATTGCATTTTAGAAATATTTGGTGTAGTTTGTCATGTTGCAGTTTCCTTTGTTTCTCCAGCTTTTTTTCACTACCCAAAAGTCTCCACTCCTGCTAGACCATCTACTCCACTCTTCTTTCCATTTCCTATCTCAAATCCCCCTTTCTCTAATTACCTCTATCAAGTTTGACTCACATATACTTAAACAAAGATTGGCTTCTGGTAAAGTATATAGAAATAAAGCTATGTACACTAGAATTTTGCTTGAGGGGAACTCACAGTGGGGAAAGGATTTGTATAATTCCATTTTTTCTTTGGGGACTTTATCTCTGTTCTCTGGGCTTCTTATCAAACCAATTCACAGGGCTCTTCTGTATAATATTTGCATTTCCCTGTTTACAAATCACTTTGATATACATTTGATCCTTGTGAGAACTGCTTAAGACAGGGAGCAGCATTACCCTTCTTGAACAGATTAGGAAACTGAGGCTCACCCAAAAAAGGGACACCATGGACCACGTGCTAAACTAGGCAGATTTTCCACGTTTTAAAAAAAATTTACTCATTCATTTATTTACTCACGAAATATCTTCTGCACTCTTAGGCCATGTGAATTTCTGCGTTAGGTGCTAGGCCTTGATCCTATATTACTTTCAGACTTCTGAAGTATACAGATAAGACACCTTCCTTTAGAATTTGGATAATAAAATTCTTTTGCTTAGCTGCCTTTTTTATTTCTAGATCAAACCCCGGTGTATTTCAGCTCAACCCAAGTTGAATTAGAAATTAATGAAAGGAGACAGAAACAACACTAAATTGGAACTCAAGAGACATTAGGTATCAAACCTTACTCAGTCTTTCACTCTAAGTATGACCTTAGACAACTCTGTTTTTCTCTCTGAGCCTCAACTTTTCCATCTTTAAAGAGAGGCATTAGACTAGGGGTACGTACAGCTCTAAGAATCTGCCTTTAAAGATTCATATTAATTGGCTTTTACTATCTATTCAAAGGCCAGTGACTCTTAGTGGTGAGTGAGAACTACATTCCCCAAGGTGGGGTGTCAGAATCTCAGAGTGTGTGGAATTTAAAAAAAAAGGCTTTTAATATTATAATTGTGTATTTCAAAAAGCGAGAAAAAACCCTATTGGTTTTTTATTGAAACTTTCAAATGCAAACTTACGGTAGCCCTCTAGACTCTTGAGAACAGAGAACATAAATGGAATTTTTATAGTTAATTTAGGGTGGGAGGAATAGCATACTATCCTTTGACCTAAAGTGTCCATAAGTTTTAAGAGGTAGAAAATGCTCTGCTTAGCTTGCAGGGGTGGCAGGCAGGGTTGGGGCAGGCGTCACAGACCCTGTGGCCACCGTTAAGAGTTTCTGGTGGGTTGCCTGCTGGGTGTCACTCCCTCCTCCTTCCTCCAGGTCCCTGTCTGTCTTGTGGGGAGGAAGCTTTTGCTGCAGTGCTCTCTCATGGCCACAGCAGCTTCCCTTTCTGATGGAGCTACTGATTGAATTACTGCCTGCTGCAAGCCAAGTGTATTATTTAACAGTCATTTACCTTGTTTCACTGTCTTCCTTTGTAGACAATTTAATCTTGGTTTTGATCTCCATGTTGTGCTTTTTCCCTTTTGGTCTCCTAACTTGTTGATTTCTGCAAGCATGCCCTTGCTGCCCATTCCTCCCTTGATTTCATCTCTCATTTCACCTAACCTGTCTCTCTTCCTGGGCACTCCTTCTCACTGTTTTTTATTTCCACTTTGCCAATTAGCACTTTGGTGTACACCCCCCTCCCAGCTTCATCCGTAGCTTTTGTCTATCTAGCATTTAGCCACACATATCTTTCTGTCATATTCTTGCAGATTACTAGACCTGATGCATCAATTTTCCCCCTTTTTGCCTGAGAAAATAGTTACTCGCTGAATGATTGTGCTTTTCAAGCCTCCCCTACTTGAAGCTCACAAATTATCATTGATCAAAGACTTTCATTAAGTGCATCATTAAGCAAACACTATTCTTTAACACACCTGCAACCCGTCTTTCCCAGAAGAAGAAAGCAGGGAGAAGACCAGGGCAATTCCATTGCTAAGTTCTTCCTATGAAGATAGCGTGAAGAGCAGCCCTTCATCTCCATGGGGCTGCTCTCGTCTCCACATGAGCACATAACTGGCAGTGACATAAATCAATTTTTTACGGATTAACACAGGCTTCCATGCAGAAGACAGGCAGGGCTCCTAGTGACTTGCATCTGAAGAATGCTCCTGATTTCTTTTCTTGCTCCCTTTAAAATAAAACAAATACAGAGGCTTGGAGTTGAAAGTCTCCTGAATGCTAGCAAAGCTCTGTTGAACGAAGCAAGTTGCCACGCACTGCTGAACTCTCTTTGCTCCCAGAAATGCCACTTGAGCCACCTTCCAAACCTCAGCCTCTGTGGCACCCCTTTGAAAAGGCATTGTTTCTATTTCAACTGCTAAATGTGGCCACTGACTCCTCATTTACCCCTTTGAAGCCCAGCAAAAAGGGGGAAATTGGAGGGAGGAAAGCACCTGGGAAAAGCCGCCCAAGAGCAAACATCAAAATGCCTACACCCTGCATGTGTTAGAAAAAAAAAAAATCAGTGAAACCCAGTGGGAGCCAATAGCATGTGTTTCTTATTCTTAAAACCCCAGCAGGCTTCACTCTACCCAGACCAACTTTTGAAATGTAAAGGAGAAAAAAAGAAAGAGGAGATGATTAACAAAGAAGAAAAGCCATGCTTAGATGATGATTTTATTTCCCAGATACGCCTTTCCTGCCTCATTAATATACTTCTGGAGTGGATGAAAGTACTTGGCATCCAAAGCAGGTAGTAATGGCCCATCAAGAGATACCATGTCAGCTTCCTTAATGCTTTATCAAAGGTTTATTGAAGAATTCAGTCATCTTACTACTCTCACTGGTTTTAAAGAGTTACATGAAGACAAATGAAATGCCCCTCTCCTTCATACATTTTCCCTCAACCATTTCTGACAATATCTTTCATGTATAAATCATTCTTCCCTGATAGCATTTGGCTGGGTCTATCATATTAACAATGGGACCAAGACAATGCCAAAGGTCTGGGTAAATGCTTTATGTTCATTTAAAGATGCAGAAATGTGTTCACAGCATATTAAACCCCAGAGAGCAGTGGGCTGTTGTTCATGCTATGTACAATATTACTGGTGCTGAAGCAACTTGGGCTTTGTAAAGTGGCAAATATATTATTAGAAGTCTGTATAGAGCTGTAGTTGAGACTATATTATTAGTAACAACAAAATGGAAAAGCTATCTCTCACCAGTGGTTTTATTGAAACCAAGCTTGAATGGCTTTTGCCAGCTTGTCTCTGTGTAGTAGTGGAAGCAGATTTATCCAGGTGCCCAAACTTGAGAGGTTCAATGTGCCAGACACTAGCAGTGGGTCTAGTCTCTTGTGTATGAAAGGCCAACCCATTCCACCCCATCATCATTCTGCCATTTCCTCTGGTTCCAGGCTTTGAACCATATTTGGACCCTTTCTCTGCCTCTCATCAGATGCTATTATGTCCCGTTGTTTCTCTGTCTTATAGAGTCTTCTACCTGCTTCAGCCTCTCTGGGGCTGCCCTTGCTTAGCACCTCATCACCTCTTGTTGGGATACTGTAATAATATCTCCAAGGGTCTGCATACCTGTGTTGTTCCACCCAAGGCACCATGGCAGTTTCCATCCTGAAATTCAGCTCTGATCACTTGCCTCCCTGCTCATCACTCCCATCACAAAACCCTAAAAGACTTCAATTTGCTTGCATAAGAAAGTCCCATTGCCTTGTCCTGGCATTTAAAGACATGTTCCAATGAGAATACTTGGACACAGGGTTGGGAACATCACACACTGGGGCCTGTCGTGGGGTGGGGGGAGAGGGGAGGGATAGCTTTAGGAGATACACCTAATGTAAATGACGAGTTAACAGGTGCAGCACACCAACATGGCACATGTATACATATGTAACAAACCTGCACGTTGCACACATGTACCCTAGAACTTAAAGTATAATAATAAAAAAAATTGAAAATAAAAAGAAAATAAATAAAGACATGTTCCATGAGAATCCAGAAGCCCTATTCGTACCACATTTCCACACCAATATTTTGCTACTACAACCCTTCATGTAATCCTCTCCTCCAGGCAACTAAAATGCTTGTTCTGCGTACACCTAACAAACATTTCTTCCATATTTTACCCTTTCTTCCCACCCCATGCCTACATATCCAACTCTTCTCCATCCTTCAAGATATAGTTCAAAGGTCAATTCCCCCATAAAGTCTTCTGTTTCCCACAGCCAGAAGTGATTGCTTCCTCTTCTGACCCCCACTCAGAGTACTTGCTTTCTGCCTCTGTTGTGCTTTGTCACTCTCTAGCCTATATTTGAATAATTCCTCCTGTTACATGTAATAGCAGTTTTTATTTTATAAAATTGCTATGTATCTTAGCACTATGGTCTGAATGTTTGTGTCAGCCCAAAATTCATATGTTAAAATCCTAACTCTCAGGATGATGATGTTAGGAGGCAAGGCCTTTGGGAGGTGATTAGGTCATAAGGGTGGAGCCCTCAGAAATGGAATTAATGCCCTCATAAAAGAGGCCCAATGGACCTAGGTCACCTCTTCTACTTCTGTGTCTCTCTATAAGGACACAGAGAGAAAATGCTATCTATGAACCAGGAAATGAGCTCTTACCAGATACCAGTTCTGCCAGCACCTTGATTTGGTCTTCCCAGCCTCCAGAACTGTGAGAAATAGATCTCTCTTGCTTACAAGCCATCCATTCTATGGTATTTTGTTATGGCAGCCTGAACTAAGACTCTTTATAATCTGCTTCACAACTCTATCACGTAGGTAGGCATTATTATCCTAATTTCACAGATGAAGAAACTGAGACTGAGAATGATGAAATGAGTTATCCAAGGTCCTACAGTTTGTGGCAGATTCAGGAGTTGAACCCAAGTTTATTCCTCCGATTCCAAGTTTATAACTCCTGCTTGTCAATATGAGGAAAAAATGTGGTTGAAGTTTTTTTTTTTTTTTTGAGAAATCAGATTTTAATTAGAATGATAGTTATTTGATTCAACTGATCCACTTGTCTTCCTCCTCTAAATGATTTGGGTGTGTGGATGTCATAGGACAATGGGAAGGATAAGTTTGAAACTGTGTTTTGCCACCTTTGGCTTATACGTTCTTGGTAAATCACTTTCCTAATCTGGTCTTCACTTTCCTGATGTGTGACATGGACATAATTGTGCTTACTGTCAAAAGACAAAATTACAACATATTTAGTTTAAAGATCTAATTGGTTTTTATTTGCAATCTGGGAATTTGGCAACACCTTATTTCATAAAATAGAATGACTGTCTCTGGGCATGACAGAACAATTGGTTTCTGTAGGGTGGGAAAAAGCAAACAGAACAATAAAAAAAGCAGATTGCTCAACATCAGGTGGTTACCAGTCACTCTTCTTGTAAGGGTTAAAGAGAAGGGGATTCCCTTATTACACTGATTCAGGGAGATTGGGCTTTTTCGGATTGGCTGCTGTGAATCTCCTGTTTTCAGGAAATAAAAAAAAAAAACTGGTCTATTTGGGGATCTACCTGCTTTCATAAAGTTTCAGTTTGATTGTTTGGCACTCGGCATAAGTGACTCCATTTTTGTTTGGCCTGGTTTGTTGGGGCCTAGTATAGGAGACTAGTCCAAAGCAATGGCCTCCCATTAACTTCAGCATTACCTAGTCAGAATTAAGAGGATAATGTAGTTGCCAGAGGATTGGTCATCACCGCCCCTTTACTTATGTGCTCTGGGTCCTCCCTGGGGTACTTAACACAGTTCCCTACCCACTTTGGGAAATAGGGAGCACTGAGATAAATACTCCTACCCCTGCCAGCAACTTTTACCTGACTCCTGTCCTAGGATAAATCAATGCAGCAGATTGTTTTCTGACCTTTTCTAAGTGAGATGTGCTCAGCAGTATCCTGAAGAGCCAGTTTTCTTTTTCAAAAATAACTTCAGGCAAATGGTAAGGCATTTATCCCCTGGATCCTGCTCTGCTCATAGCTCTACCCAGAGCACACCCAGGGTTGGGAATCAATCATTTGGAGGTAAAAATAACCACTATTTGATGCAAAAGACTAATTTGTGATAAGACCACTTTGTGGTGACTGGACTAATTTAACTCAATTGGCTAGAGCACAGTGCTCACAGGCCAAGGGTTCCAGATTGATCCACATGTGGACCACTTGACCCCATAGCATGTTGTCCCATTCATTCCTCCAGGCAATTTGTCATAGGCCTTTCCTCTTTAACAATTATTGGGAAACTGAGTGATTGATTCAAAGTGGGAATAAATAATAGAGACAGAAATGAAAACAGAGGAAAATGGTAGGAACTAAAAAAAAGCCAAGTAAAGTAAACATAAAGAAATATATAAAAAACCAATCATTTTTCAAAGTGAATCCACTCATACAACTCCACCCAGGTCAAGAAATAGAACATTACCTGGATCCCAGATGTCTTCCTCATGATCAATTCCAAGCACTATTCTCTTCTCCAAGGGGTATCAATTTTCTCAGAAAGCCAGATCCAGAGGAGGTGAAACTTCTGGAAGGCAACCAGTATGGAAGACAAGTTACTTCACTTTGACTTTCTCATTTTTTCCCACTGTAGTATCAAAAAGATAATGCCTACCTTAAAGGCTGTTGTGATAATTAAATGAAGTCATGCATAGCTGTACAAAAGGTTCCTGACATATGATGTTTCGACTTACAATTTTTCAACTTTACAACGATGATGCAAAAGGGATATGCATTTAGTGGAAATGGTGCTTTGAATTTTGATCTTTTCCTACTCTACTGATATGTGGTGTGATACTCTCTTGTGATACTGGGCAGCAGCAAAGAGCTACAGTTCCCAGTTAGCCATGACATCACGAAGGTAAAGAACCCATACTCTACAGTGTACTGTATTGCCAGATGATTTTGCCCAACTGTGGGCTAACGTCAGCGTTCTGAGCATGTTTAAGGTAAGTTGGGCCAAGGTATGATGTTAGGTAGGTTAGGTGTATTAAGTGCATTTCCCACTTACAGTATTTTGAATTTATGATGGGTTTATCAGGACATAACCCCACCGTAAGTCAAACAGCATCTGTATAAACTTAATAGGTGCTCAGTGAATAGGTGCTGTTATTTTACCATCAGTATTATTGGTGAGTTTGGATGATGGATGATGCAGTGTAAACCCAAACTCAAGGCATGTGCACGGTGCCATCTACACTTTAATGTATCTCAATAGCAGCTGCTGCAAGAGATGTAGCCTGTGGCTGCTCTCACCAACAGATACAAGACCTGTTCCTACAAACCTCACTGAGGACCAGGCTGTGGATGCCGAAGAGTTCATTCTACCTGCTTCATTAAATAACTGATGTGTTTCTGGGCAATCAGGCCCAATCTCAGCCCTGCCACCTATAATTAGTTTGAACTGCAGGCAAATGCTGAACAGAGCCCAGCAGCAGTTCCTCAAGGGAAGGGCTGCAGGAGCAGGGTTGGGGAATAGAACCTAGAGAGTCTGAGGCCTGTAATGGGTAACCTGAAAAAGAATAGGGCGATGTGTTCAGAATGCCCTCAAACCATTTTTTGTGAGTTTCTATGATTTTGTTACAGTCATCTCTTTTTAGTTTTGTGTATTCTGATGAGTTGAGAAATGGGTCACCTTTTCTGTTCTTCTAAAGAACAATTAGCAGCAGGTGGGGATGGTGATTGGTTAAACCTACTTTTAAAAATTATGTCAATAATCATGGCTTCCATGAGCCTTTGCTTCAAAACACTCAAAAGAAAAAAAGCACTTGGTAATATCTGGTAGGATGTTTCTTGCCCTCAGGAGAAAGTAAAGCTTTTTGGGCTTCCTTTTTACAATGCCTGATCATTCTCCCATTGAATTTTGTCTTATCTTTGGGCCCATCCGATGCCTGCGGGCATCAGCCCCTGTCCTCTTCCTACTATCTAGGATTCTTACTCTACAGGGATGGACACTCAGCTTGGGCTTTTCAGCCATGATTGTTCGAAGGTTTCTCTTTAGAAACTCTGGTATCCTGAGAAAACCACTGCTCTTTGAAGAGACTAGGTCCAGCTTATGCTTCTCCCACCTTGGGAAGCTTTCCTGGATGCACCCAAGCAGACTTGGTCCCTCCCCTCCTTGTTGCCACTCTTATAGGAATCTGGAGCTCAGCACAGATTCCTCTGCATTGAAATGTATTATTCATCTCTTTTTCTCACATTCTGATCTCCCTGAGTGCTAAGAGTTATTTCCTTATTCTTCACTATATCTTCAGCTTTTAGCTCAGTTCCTGGCACATAAAGGTAAGCAGTAATCTCCCAGATTGATGAATAAATGTTTGTGCTGATCATACACTATGAAAAAATCAATTGCCAGCTTTTTATCTACATTTTTCCTATAGAGTGATAATAAAATAATAATAATTTCAATAATAATTTCAATCTTTCTTACGTTCAACCTAAAGTAGAAATTTGTTTTAGTGACATAACTCCTTGTATTAAATAATAACAAAAAAAGTTATTTTGCCCAGGCTGCCTTGTCTCTTGACACGTTTACTTTCACCTTTCTTTTCAGATTCCCCAGTGGATATTCAGGTCTTCTAGGCCCATCACATCCCTCAACCTTAGGTTTCAATATTTTCCTATAAATTTTGGGGGCTTGAAGAGTAACATTCAACTCCCACTACAGCCAAGTATTTAAAGTTGTCCTACAATTAGCCCCCAAACTGCTTTTTAAGTCTTACATCACAGCATCCCTCTGGAGTTTGGGTCACACTAGACTACTCCTGTTTTTGTTACATATACAATCACCTTTCATGGCTTCACACCTGAAGGTTGGTCTTGTTGAAATGTAATCTCCATTGTTGGAAGTGGGGCCTTGTAGGAGGTGTTTGGAACATTGGGGGCAGATCCTTCATGAATGGCCTGGGCTATCCCCCTGGTGATAAGCGAGCGCTCACTCTGAGTTTACACAAAATCTGCTCATTTAAAAGTATGTGGCACCACCCCTCCATCTTGCTCCTGCTTTCACCATGTGA
Organism: Homo sapiens; assembly: GCF_000001405.40. Taxonomy (NCBI): domain Eukaryota; kingdom Metazoa; phylum Chordata; class Mammalia; order Primates; family Hominidae; genus Homo; species Homo sapiens. The sequence goes on from NC_000023.11 coordinate 149,128,335, forward strand.
GACACCTGCTCCCCCTTTGCCTTCTGCCATGATTTTAAGCTTTCTGAGGCCTCCCTAGAAGGCAAGAAGATGCCTGCAGAACCATGAGCCAATTGAACCTCCTTTCTTTATAAATTAGCCAATCTCAGGTGTTTATTTATGGTAATGCAAGAATGGCTTAATACAACACTTTTGTTCAAACTGGTCACTCCTACAACTCCCTTCCCTACCCTTTTGGCCTACTGCCATCTTACTGAGGTTCACATTCAACTCTAATGTCATCTCCACTGTAAAATAATTTGCCTCCTTCTCTATACTCCCATAATTCTTTCTATGCACTTTTCTGAACACAATTATCTTTTGTATCTTACAATATTATTACTTGTGAGCCTGTCTGGTACCTGCCTAGTCTTCATAATCCTGTGCATTCTCCATGATAGTATCTATCGTACCTGCCCCAAGTGAGTGCCCAAAAGATTCATAATCTATGCCTCAAATGTAATTTTATTTAACATAGAATTTAAGAACCTTAAAATGTGCTTAGATAAAATCAAACAAATTATAATTTGAAAACAGGATTTCTCTATTAACTTTTCCTGAAAACAGTTTTACTTATCAGAGGAAAGCAAATTCATCATAATTAACTAGGAATCCTTTTGTAAGATTTCTCAAATTAGTAAAGATGTCTTAGCTGGATCATACAGCCCTCATTACTTGATCATATGTGACAGTGATTCAACTGTCATTAAATAGCAATTAAAATATTTTCCTGATGATCTTTAATTGAACATGCATTTTAATATGTATTGATGGAACTCTAATGAGGACTACAGGCAGCAGAGTTACCACAGATCAGAAATCATTTTTCCCTAATGCCAATTATTGAGGTCAATTGCCATTTTCATCTTGAGATGTGATTTTCAGGTAAAACTGGCTCAGAATCATGAGCTGAATGTGAAATACTTGATTCTGAAAGGCAAGTCACAGAAACCATGCAATTTTTGGAGATTAAAAATGGTCTATTGCTTTCTTTGGGGTTGGCTATGAAAAGAAATCACCATGTATGGAATTGCTTTGCTTTGGGGGAATTGTTTTTGTACTTTAGTAGTTAAACCGGATTTATTTTCCAAAATGAACTCTTTCTCTCAACAATTTCTGAGGGATACCCTGTGAATGATGCTTGAACATTTGGCAATCAGTTGGCCCTTTCCCACTGTGCCACTGCTCATTCACAACCTTCCCATAAACCAAGCACTCAGGAGTCTCTTGATAATAAGAAAAAACGGAGAATGTACTGATGACTTTTCCTTCCCACCCAAGTTGGAAGGAAAGCCTGGTTGAGGTCTCTGAGCTGTTTTCTATCCATTTAGGTCACTTAACACCTTATCAAACTAAGTCATTTATTGAGCATTAAAATTAATGTCCAAGAACATTAAATGTAAGTGAACATATCCGGGAGATTTAATCACTCTGTCTAATCAACCTAAAGGCTCTAAAAGCTAAACAAGCAGTCTATGTGAGGAGTTACATCAGAAAGGTCAAAGGGTGCTGACTATCCTAACACCAGATCGCAAGCTTCAAAACAAGGGCCAGTCAAAAGTGACAGATTCTAGCCATGATGATGTATGGAGACCTTCTCGGGTGACCTGAGGTGTCAACTCACAATGTAATGACTCATCAGTGAGGAAGAACAGTGGAAAGGGAGCAGGAAAACAGTAATCTGGTTATGACATGTAATGTATGCCTAGAAACGAGTGTCAATTTCACCCAGACGGCCTTTTTAGCCTTGAAAAACTGAATCAACACAAATGAATGGAGTTCTGAAAGTTCAAAAGGTTTTCTTTGAGGAAAAAAAAAAGATTGCTTCCTTAAAATCAAGCAATCACTCAGGAGGCATACAACGCTATTACTTCCAAATGTCTCTCATTACGACTCAGAATATTTTTGTCTCAGATTTATGGCAGTTTGAGTTTGTTTTCCCTCAAACCTTTCTTTACCAAAGAACCCCTTTTAATTTGTAACTTGAAAAAAAATTCCCCACAGACATTTGCAGACAACTGCTGCCTAGTATTGCAAATTCTGCTTTCAAATGGGATTCCATTTTTGCTCATTTTCAACCTGAATCCTTTTGTTCTGTACAGCGGAAGCATGCATTTCTATTTCCACTGCCTTTTGTACTTTTCTTATTAAGACTCCTAGCCCCTGTTTAAAAAATCAAGCGTTTTGAAGGCAGATTAATAAAAATCAGAAACAACAACAGATTTATGTTCTCAAGAACACACATAACCACCCTGATGTCACCAAGAGCAGTGGATATTGGAGGCCAGAGTCTCACTTGACAGACAAATGTATTTATTGCATCTACATCTTAGTCACTTGGGTTAAACAAAGGAACCCACTTAGCAATTCACTTATTGCACCCAAATTCCAAGGCTTGTTTCATCTTGGAAAATTTGCGAGGTTTCCAGATGCTGACAACACGAGACAGTAACTATGATGTCTACCGTGAGGACAAAGGGCGACCCTCAGGAAATTTCTCATTATTGCCATGGCAATGATGGCTGCATAGGTGCAATCTTTGCGTTGGTTGGAAAGGTTTTAAAATTCAGAGTTTGTGAATTAAAGATGGTAAGACAGAGTAGCCCTTAGACAATCCACTGTATAATTAGCTTCTGCTGAAATTAAAGGCTAAGTGACATGTTATCTTGTTGTCAAGTTGAACACGATTGCAAGAGATTTAACATAAATCATACTATCCTCTTCCTGTATATAGCATTACCCTTAAAACACACACACACACACACACACACACACACACACACACACACAGATGTATAGATTCTGTTTAGAATAGGCCTGCCCTTCCCCTATCCTGCTGAATAAAATTTGCTACTTGTTTTAAAATAGCAGCTGTTTTTAATCAGCTCAATATAGATAAAAGCCAAACACCCAAAGAAGCCCACATGGAAAAGTTTCCTTTGAGTTGTAGCTGACGTTATTCTCCATATTTTTAGATTTAGCAAATATAGATCCAAGCCACTTTTAGCTATCTCAAATTTTAAAGAGTATTAGAAATATCCCACTTTATTTTTGGTAGGAGGAAGGTTATTGTACCTTGGTTGAACTTAGGATTTGAGACTTTGAAATTATTCCCTGGGTTGAATTCCAGGTTGGGGTTGGGGCTGAGGTGGGGATAGATCTGTTCAGGCTGGTTTCCAATTCAATCCTGTTTGCAAGTAGGGAAACCTGATCCTACCTACACAGGGCTCACTGTAAGAGACCTTTGGTTTTTTAGGTGAAGGTCTCCAATTTCTTTTTTTTTTTTTAAGAGAAAACCTGGACTCAATCCATCTAAGCGAAGGGCAGGTCTTTTAGTTTATTTAAGTCTCAAATGGGGAAAAAAGCCCCCTTAGACATAACCCTTTGGTTACAAATCTATTGTAACCTTTTCCAGGCAAGTCACATTTCCCTCTCCAGTTTCCAATGTATAAATATGAGCGGTGCACAGGAACAGCCGTTTCCAGATCATTGAAGTATAAAGTTAGTTATTCTTCTATTAAATACTGACCAAGATGGTATCCTTATTTACAAGATTCAGTACTCCTCCACCACTCCCACTACATACACTACTAACCCTTAATGGATTCTTGTCCTTGAATAAGACAACCTGACTCATCTGTGGAATGATTCATTGCTCCTTAGAGCATATATTATTCCAATTCTCAAGAGTTAAAACTGTCCAGACAGAAGTGAACCATACAAAAGGCAAAGGAAAAACAAATTAGTGGACAATCATCATGCAGCAAAAGAAAATCTAAATTGTGTTCCACAGACATGTGTATACTTCGCCAAAACATGGCAAAATTGAGTCAAAAATGGAATGTTTTTATTCTAAACACTGCATCAATCCAGAGGTTAATATAATACTTTGCTCCTTATAAACATGGCTGAAAGCTGTGAATACAACCTGGAAAAAAACGACCATAGACAAAAATGACCACAGCCGAAAATGAATGCATAAGAGATTGACTGAAAGGTTTAAAGCACTGTGTCTGTCAAGTAGGAAGGAGAAGGCCTCTCTGAGAGGAGAGAGAACTGTTACATCATTTGTGAATTGATCCTGTTGATTTTATGAGGTGTGTGACAGAGTTAGGAAATAGTTTATGCACAAATATATGGTCCACAAATGAACAGATATAGTCATATCATTTCTAAAGGACAGTATAGCATTGGTTAAATGACTATTTCCTTACTAATGACATCAACTTCAAAAATTGTTTCTATCTAGTACTGATTTTTATGAAGAGGATTTACAGCCAGATCCATATAATATATTATGCAAGGCAATTTTGTTGGAGGGAACATTGGATTGGCCCAGATCTGACTCAGCATCTTGCCTTCATGGGACTGGTTGTTAAAAGACCAGAATGAGCATTCATACGCCGTGTCCCAAAAGACTCCGGAATCAAGCTGCAGTGCTCCAGACAAAGGCTTCAAGGCATTTTTTAAAGATAAGGTAGAGTCGGGCCACCAAAAAAGGCAAGACATGGAGGCAGTGTATCCAACTGCCTGGGTTCAAATGCTGACTCTACTACCACTAGCTATGTGAATATGGTTATGTTAATGTCTCTGAACTTCACTTTCCACATCTGTAAACTGGAGATCACCATAGTGCCTACTTCAGAGGGTTGTGTTGTAAAAATAAAAGATTACACACGTTAAAGCACTTAGAAGAATGATGCAGTGTAAGCACTAACTGAATGGTAACTCTTGTTTTTGCTGATGCATAAAGTATTCTAGACCGTTGGTGGAAGATTTCACACACATGGCTGCCTTTGAGATTGTACCCACAAGTTACCACTGGTCAAAATATAACCTAGCCTCCATATAAGAGTAGGAAACGACAAGAGTGAGGACATAACTTTGTAATTGGCATCTTCTTTCTCGGCAACAAGTTCTTCTTATTTTATTTATATATTGAGCAACAAGTATGGCTCAGGCACAAAGAATAGAACAATGATATAGATCGCTGTGGTCCTTGAATGAGTGGAGCTTACAATCTACCCTGTGCTCACACTTGTGGCCCTGAGGGATCTGGAATGGCTTTTTGTCACTATGTGGAGACTCCTGTATTTCTTCCTCTGCCGCCCCCGTGGCTTGAGACACAAGTTATCAAACTGTCTCCAAAATAACACGACTGACTGCTTTCAGAATTTCAAGATTTGCAGTAAATATTTGTGTGAAAATGAACAGGTTTGATAACTTCTATGATTTTTATTGATGTTTCTGTGTTTGATATTTTTAATCTGCCTAGTTCCACAAAGGTTGTGACACAACGTAAATGATATACTCCACAATAAGACAAAAATAAGTGTGGAGGCTCCCCTCAACATAGCAGATTAAGCCCATCCTTCCTCATATTATTAGAAAATACAGAAAAATATGTTTTATAGGGAAGTAATAAAGTAAAGAAGTGCTGATAAACAAGAAAGACTGTCATTGGGAGACCAGAAATGTTAAGGAATCCCTGGAAGATAGAAAACAAATTGGACTGAAACTGAGACCAATGTACACATAGAAGATCTCTTCAAGCTCATAATCAATAGAATCAAGTAGCTGGAGAGGCTCCAGGGTTAACAGTTAAGGTAATTAATTTGGGAACTTCTTCCAAGAAGAATTCTAGAAAAACAAAAGAGAGAGATGATGGAGGGAAAAATGGTAAGAATAATTAATATCTACTCTTAGAAAAGTTCAAGTATACAATGCATTATTAATTATAGTCACCATGCTATATGTTAGCTTTCCAGAACTTACTCATCTTAAGTTTGTACACTTTGACCAACAACCACACCCCAGACCCTGGCAACCACCGTTTTATTTTTTGTTTCTATGAGTTCAATGTTTTTTAGATTCCATCTATAATTGAGATCATGCAATATTTGTCTTTCTGTGTCTGGCTTATTTCACTTAACATAATATCCTCAAGGTTCATCCTGGTTGTCACAAATGGCAGGATTTCCTTCTTTTTAATGGTTGAATATATGTATACATATACACACACAATGGAATATGTATATATATGTATATATATATTCCTTATATATGTGTGTATATATATATATTCCATATATATACAGAAAATGTGAGATAAATGTTTATCAGTGAATGCTTAGGTTATTTTCATATCTTGGCTATTGTGAATAGTGCTACAATGAACATGGGAGTGCAGATACCTCTTTGACATACTGATTTCATTGCCTTTGGATATGTCCCCAGGAGTGGAATTGCTGGATCATATGATAGTTCTACTTTTTGTTTTTTGAGAAATTTTCATCCTATTTTCCATAATGGCGGTACCAATGAACTATCCCATCAACAGTGTATAAGTGTTCTCTTTTCTCTACATCTTTACCAAAACTTACATTCTGACTTTTTTATAATAGCCGTCCTAATATGTATGAGGTGATATCTCATTGTGGTTTTAATTTGCATTTCTATGATGATTAATAATGTTGAGCACCTTTTCATATACCTGTTGGCCATTGGTGTATTTTATTTGGAAAAAATGCCTATTCAGTTCCTTTGCCCATTTTAAAATTTTGTGTGTGTGTGTGTGTGTGTGTGTGTGTTTTGTTTTTCTTTTCTTGCTATTGAGTTATTTGAATCCTTACCACACAAATGGTTTGCAAATATTTTCTCCCATTCTATAGGTGGCCTTTTCATTTTGTTGATTGTTTCCTTTGCTGTGCTGAAACCTTTTAGATTGATATAGTTTCATTTGTTCATTTTTACTTACATTTGTTGCCTGTGCTTTGGTGTTATATCCAAAAATGATTGCCAAGGTGACTATCAAGGAGTTTTCTCCATATGTTTTCTTCTAGGACTTTTATAGTTTCAGGTCTTACATTTAAGTCCTTAATCCTTTTTAAGATGATTTTTGTGTATGGTATCAGATAAAGGTCCAATTTATCATTTTGCAAGTGGATATTTAATTTTCCCAAAACTATTTACTGAAGAGACTATCCTTTTCCTATTGTGTATTCTTGATGCCTTTGTCAAAGATCTGTTGACTGCATATGTGTAGGTTTATTTCTAGTACTATATTAAACAGAAGTGTGATGAGAGTGGGTGGGCATACTTATAGTGTTCCTGATCTTAGGGGAAAAGCTTTCAGCTTGTCACATTTGAGTATGAGTTTAGTTATGGGCTTGTCATACATAGCCTTTATTATGTTGAGATACATTCCTTCCATAGTGTATTTGTTGGGATATTTTGTCATGAAACAATGGTAAATGGTGTCAAATATTTTTTCTGCATCTATTGAGATGATCATATGATTTTAATCCTTCATTCTGTTAATGTAGTGTATCACACTTATTTATTTGTGTATGTTGAGTCATCCTTGGATTTCAGAGATAAATCTCAGGTAATCATGGTGTGAGGTCCTTGATATGTGCTGTGGGATTCAGTTTGTTAGTATTTTGTTAAGGACTTTTGCATCTATGTTCTTCAGGGATATTGAACTTTCCTTCTAACTTTCTTTTCTTGTAGTGTCTTTCTCTGGCTTTGGAATAGAGGTATTGCTGGACTCTTCTTCAAGAGAAGAAGAAGAAAGAAGACACATCTAAACCAAGTAGAAATGTGAAAAGGAATATAACTGCATATAGCTGTTAAGATTTTATAAATTACAAGAGGATTAGAGGATTTATAAGCTTATTCCAATAATTTTGACAGTCAAGAAAGCTTCCACATGATGTAAATTGTTTCCCAGCATTTAAGGACATTGACAGTTTACTTTCAAGTTACACAAGGCTACACTACCTTTATATTTACAAAAGATAAGTTTAGCACAAAAGGAGAACCTATAACCATTCTCTTCTCTGAAAATAGATCTAAAATCCTAAGTAAAATAGTGGCAATCAATTGCAGCAGCTGATCAAGTAGGCTGTGGCAAAGACTGCCAGTTGCCTACGCATTATCCACTCTCCTGTTCTTTCTTTCTAGTAGAATCTTAATTTTATTTAGTAGGAAAATGTGCCCAAATGAAAAGAAAAAGAAAAAAAAGAAAAGAACAAAATTTCCAATCCTGCCTGTAGATATATGTGATGATGTAGCTAACTCAGTGCTGGAAAATGAGATGTAAGTAGAATTACTGAGTGGGAATTCTATGAAAGTCCTTAAAATAGGTACATGCAGGTAGCCTAATCTCTTTTACTTTCTCTCTCCCCTGTAATGAATACTCTGCATTTCTTCCTCCAGAATTGCTCTACCCTTTTCCATTCTGCTCTATGGCCCCAGGCCAACCTGTATGGATCTCATCAGTGTCCTTGTCCTCTGGCTTCTTGTTTGGGTTTGGCCAATGAGAGGCACCAGTAGGAGAGTGATGCTGGAAGGGCAGAGAAATCAAGATCTTTGTTCCCTGGGCTCTCTCCCTGTTGGGCCACAAGTTGACAGTGGCTTCTTATCTCTATCAAAGGCCACAGCTCTGATCAGGCAACCCTCCCTTACAACCATAGCTGCAGCTCTTTTTGCATTACTATAATCATTCCTGTCCCTTTCCCCTTCAAGCCAAGGAATGGTAATGGCTCCCTATCGTTGCTAACTCCTGGGTTTCTTACCATCCCTTTTTTATTTCTCTCTGCCCATATAATTGTAAAAAGTCCATCCATTAAATTTGATAATTTAACTCACCTGTTTTTTGCCAGGACACTGTCTTATATATTCATTCAGTCTCCTGTGTGGAACATAGATGTGTTACCTGGAGTTAACTTCTTTTGTGTTTCCAATTCAGCTATCACATTATTTCCTGGAGACTGTGTAGGCCAAAGTCTAGTTTGAGTGTATAAGGGTGATGTGGTAAATAAATGGATAGTAGGGATAGAAAGGTGTGACATATTATTATTTCATGTATTCCAATGGAAAGAATGCTTATGTTCCCCCAAAATGTATATGTTGAAATCCTACCCTCCTAATGCAGTGTTATTATCAGTTGAGGCATTTGGAAAGTGATTAGATCATGAGGTTGGAACCCTCATGAATAAGATTAATGTTCTTATAAAAGAAACTTTAGAGAGCTCACACACCCTCTTTCTGTCATATGAGGACGCAGCAAGAAGATGATAGTCTGCAACCCAGAAGGGTGGCCTCATCAGAACCTGACCATAATGGCACACCAATCTTAGACTTTAAGCCTCCAGAACTATGAGAAATAGATGTTTGTTGTTTAAACTACTCAATGTGTGGTCACTGGTTATAGCATCCAGAACTAAGGTGTGTATCAGCCCACCACATGCAATAATATGTCATCAGTTGACTTCTTCTTCCGGTGAAGATAATTAGCTAGTGATGGGAAAGAGTACAACTCTTGAAGATCAAGCCACTTGACCCAGTTTGTTTTTAATAAACTTCTATATCTAATCCTCCACATAAAACATCATGCCAGCTTAACCCTGAAGGGGTCAATTCAGATCCTTCACTGAAATGCCCCATTTGAGCGAGTCTCCAAAATCAGAATGCTCTTTACTGGCATTGTTTCAATGCAGTGAGGAAATCTTATCCTTCTTTTCAAAATCACATGCAGCATCTTGCCCCTTGACAGTCAGCATACTTCATGGTAGAAAAGCAGAGTCTTAGATTCATTGTTTGATTCATGGCAACCTGAAAAGAAATGTAATCGAGCACATATTTTGATCGTATTAGTAACTGTCATTATTCCTTTCGGAACCGAGACAAGATCAGGAGACCAGTTGTTGACCACTAGTTATTTTCTATAAACAAACCTATGTACGCTTGGGCATTCAGGCATAACCTCTAATGTTTAATTTGGCAACACCCTTCCTTGATGTACACATTGCAGATTCTCCATCAGTACTAATCCAGATGCACTGTTTTCTCCAGTTTAAACAATCACTCATGAAATAATTATTAAGTAAATTAAGAAAGCCCCCTCCCCTTCTGTACTGTCAGTTGTCAGTGATAAATATAACAATAATAAAAGTGATTGAATTCAACAATCATATATGTCCCACACATATGCCAAGAGCTGATTTATACTCTATACATGAGTGGTTTTGTTTTGTGAAATATCTGCTTTCATGCACAAATGATAGTAATTGCTCTTTCTTTTGTTTGTTATTGATGTTTTGTAACATCCAACAGTGTCATCTAACACCTTTTTCTTCTTTCTCTCTGAGCAGTATATTTATCACTAAATTTGCAATGCTATCACAAACTTCTTGGTGATCAAGTGGCTTCACACCTGTGATGAAGTCTGAGTATGTGTTTGGCTGTATGAAAGAGGCCAAAATTACCAGAGGCTTCTATCTTTTATAACAGTCTGGAGTTAGAAGATTCAGGAATGACACGTAGGCTCCGCTCCAGGAAGTCATCCAGAGATCTAGGCTTCTTCTAGCTTATTGCTTCTCCTCTTTTAAGTGCTGCCCTCACCCATGTGGTTCAAGATAGCTCACTACCACATCCACAATGCAGGCAGCAGATGGGAGAAAAAGGGAGAAGGCACAATGTCTCTTTCCTTTAATGACATACTCAAGTCTCATGAATCACTTGCCTTCATATTCACTGGCTAGAATTCAGTCACTTGGACACACATAGCTGCAAAGAAGCTAAGCAATTACACATTTGTTCTGAGTGTCCACGTGCCCAACTAAAATGTCAGAGTTTTTCTTTCTGCAAAAAAAGTGGAGCACAGATCCGGGTGACCTCCAGTAACCTCTGTCACTTCTTGATATTTCTACAAGCAGCAAATCCTTAAATAGTGCTCTTGTAGTTTGAACCTGTTCTTTGTGTTTAATTAATTACTGGAAAACTTAATTGTCCACTTGCATAACAAATATTTAATGTCATGTGTTTTGTTAGAAAAGGACATGAAAGCTGTGATGCCTTTATGCAACCATTTAACAATTTTTAATATTTTGAACAGTCATAAGCATGTTTTCTCATCACACTTTTCCTTTTCTCTCTTTCTCCCTTCCTTCCTTCTTTTCCACTTTCCTTTCTTCCTTTTCTTTTTTTTTTTGCCTGCTTACATGAAATCATCCCAATCACACATTCACTTGTCCTAGAACATACAGATACATGGTCTATATTTGTACTTGAGTCCTGCTCACCATTTAAATTTACCACTTTATTCTGAGTTACAATGTTTTGGTTACCATTTTCATAAGTTTTTTATATACTTCATTAAACACTTTTAAGTCACTAATCTATTTTTGAATTGAGCTTAAAATCAAGCACAAGGAACAACAAAAAATACTGCACAACACCAATAAGCAATAATATACAAATGACATAAAAATATGAAAATGAAGAGCTATCTTATAATTAATATTAGGCAAGAGAAGTTAATCAACTAAGTCCTTATAGTGGATGTGCGATTTTAAGACTATAATGATTATTAAGAACATTAAGACATTTCTGTGACAATCATAATTAATCTTACATTTCAAATCTAGGGAACGTATGTGAATAAATTAATTTCATTGCTTTTTCCACTGAAACTAGGGAATGTTTTTGGAATCACGTGATATCCCATCAGAGATCTATGTTGGTGTTCTGAAGCCTGCACTTTGAGAAATACTATTTCCTTACTTGAATTGGCCCTGGTGTGGTTTGTATACTCATTTGCTCAGATCAACAAATCTGTTTCAACCTGGTATTGTAGCCAGAAAAAAAGATTAAGGCAGAAGAGTGGTCGTTCCTGTTATTTTCTGGTGGGGCATATATTAGGAGTTTGGGAGCAAGAAAGGCAGAAAATCAGTACTATTTAACAAAATAATCTTATTAACAGGGATTTTAATATATCTGAAAAATCAGTGCCAGTCAGTGGTGTAGTGGATTACTAAGTCACCTTTGCTATCCAGTGGTTGCTTTTCTCTAACTTCAGAAAGATTTGGAGAGATAATTTAGATATATATTCAACCTAGATTCCAGTGATCCTTGAATTTTTAAAATTTCTGGCAACACTACTAACACGCTAACATTCTAAGACCAAAGTTCTCATGAAAAATAGAGATCAAAATGACTGTTAACCCATCATTTACCCTTTGCAGACTTTGTAGGATGGAAAATTTACTTGAGTAGAATATAATCAGTGAAAGGAAGAATGTCTCTGGCATGTGTTAAAGCTAAGGAAGACATGGCTTATGGATAGCTTTCATCTGGGGCCTGGAAAGCTGAGCAGATCATTTTCCTTGACTTCTTTCTCTTGCTCTTCACTGGATCACAACTTCACCGGGCCAGTGTTTGGGGGAGCCTTCTCCAAACTTATGGAGATAATAAAGTTGACATAGAGCAGCAACATCACATAGTTATTTTAAAATTTGTGAGAAATATGAAAGATTTTAAGGAGCTAGAGTAAGACTGATACCTACTTTAACTCATTGATCTCAATGGAGTGTATTTCTGACTGAACTAGAATTGTGAAAACGGATCAAAAGGGATTTGCTTACTTCAAAAACTTTTTGCATCCATTCATCAAATTGGAGAACATCAGGACTACAAAAGACCTTAAATGGGCATATAAACCTTCCTCCTATTTTACTCCATCTGCTAGTTAATTATCCTATGGTACTGGTACTATGTAACACCAAAATGACCAATCACCATCTATATTAGTAAGATATTACCACAATAATGCTGCATAACAAGCTCCCCTCCTAAAACTCAGCACAATGCAATAATAGCTATTTCATTTGCATTCACATATTCGTGGATTAGCTAGAGATCAGCTGATGAAAGGTGGGCTCAACTGGGCTTTGCTCTAAGTTGTGGGCTGGATCCAGGTCTGTTCTACAGGTCTCTCATTTTCCTTGGGCCGTGGCTAAATGAGCATATTCTCATGGTGAAATGCAGGAGTGCAGGAGAATAACTTAACTTCACAAGCACATTTCAAGCTCTGTTAGCATCAAATCTATTAACATTATATTTGGCAAGGCCAAAATCAAGGGGGCAGGAAAATACACTCTACCTGCCACAAGGTTATGGCACAGATGTGGATGCATTAAAAATATTACAGGGCAGTGAAAAATTGGGAGCAATAATTTAGTCTACCACATCATCCCCATGTCTTTCAACTGTTTCTCATACGACATGATTCTGAGACCTCTCTCCATCCTGGGAGCTCTTCCCTTAGCATGATCATGTTTTTCCTTATTTCTCTGAAGATGTACTGGGCTCATGGCTATATAATATTTCAGGCATGGTTGATAGTCAGCAGATACATACCAGAGGTCATCCCTTTATATTAGCTGTGGCATCTATTAGCTCTGGTTCCATGTATTGCTGGAACTATACACAGTAGAGCCAATTTACCACCACTGTCTTTGTGAAGGTCTATTTTTACATGACGTGAGATTCTAGTGACGTTTTTGGTATCAATATGTTGCTAACAAGTTATTAATTAGCCACCATACTCTTTAATTAACTATCTTAATAATAAAGTTTCCATTTCTATTCTCATTTTGCAGTCAGTTAATGCTTTGCTTAGGAAGAACACATCTTATAGAATATTTTATATAATCTATTGAAGTAGCATGTTTTTTTAACAAACCAATCAGAATATATGAGTGTAAGTGTGTGTGCGTGTGTGTGTATGTGTGTGTGTGTAAATTCTCCAAATGAAGAGTCTGTTTTAAAGTGGGAAGTCATAAACATATTCAAAATGTTTGTGAACATACTTTTGAATGTACAGTACCTGCCATAGCAGTATAAAATCCATGGGCATTCACAATAGATTTAGATGTAGGTCCTTGGAGACTGCAACTCTGCTTATATAGAAACAGTAGTCAAGGTCCTGTTTCTTACTATTCTAATGGGCATATTGTTAGATCTTATGGAAGAAAATGAAAAAAAACTGTTTAGCATAGCTGTTCTGTAATATTAACACCATATACCTTTTTTCAGAGTCCTGAAAAAGTACATAAGTGACTTTCAAATCCTAAAACAGAAAGTAGCGCCCAGAGATCGGTGCTATAATTAATGATCTCAAGATGGCTTAGCAATAATTCTGATCTATAAGCTTTTGCACATTGCTATTCCCCTATCAAAAGGTGGAGTGTTTTTCCCTCCCTTTGAACCCAGGCAGGCTTTTGTAACTGCCTCAACAATGTAGTAGAAATAACAATGTGACACTAGTGCATGAAAGGCAACATGACTTTCACCTACCCACCCCATTCCTCCCTTGAGATGCTTGTCTTTGGAACCTAGCCACCACGATGTGAGGAAGACAAGTAGCCACAGGGAAAGACTATTTGTAGGCTTTAAAGCTAAAGCCTGGGAAGTTTAGTCTGCTAGCTGACAGATGACGGTACCAGTTACCACACAATGTGAGTAAGTTAGCTTTCAGATGATTCCACCCTCCAGCCTTTCAGACAATTTGCTGAGGTTGAGTACAGCAGAGATGGGCATCCCTGTCAAGCCCTACTCAAATTGCAAATTGATGAGCAAAATAAATGTTTTCTGAGGTACCTGTTATACGGTAGATAACTGGAACAGAAGCAGGGCAGAGAAATCGGTCATTGGCTTGAGGGGTTGTGGGGACAATAGAGAGTGGAGATGGTGGGTAAAAGAGGTGTTTTGAAAAAAGCAGAAGAAAAATAATGAGTTTGGTTTTAAATATGTGGTGTTTGAGCTGCCTGAGAGAGGTAAACAAGTAGAGCTGTCCAGTAAGCATGTGAATATCACAAGTAGAGCTGTCCAGTAAGCATGTGAATATCACAAGTAGAGCTGTCCAGTAAGCATGTGAATATCACAAGTAGAGCTGTCCAGTAAGCATGTGAATATCACAAGTAGAGCTGTCCAGTAAGCATGTGAATATCACAAGTAGAGCTGTCCAGTAAGCATGTGAATATCACAAGTAGAGCTGTCCAGTAAGCATGTGAATATCACAAGTAGAGCTGTCCAGTAAGCATGTGAATATCACAAGTACAGCTGTCCAGTAAGCATGTGAATATCACAAGTACAGCTGTCCAGTAAGCATGTGAATATCACAAGTACAGCTGTCCAGTAAGCATGTGAGTATCACAAGTGGAAGAGTTTGAGGAGTCATCCCTCCGAAAAGAGTACTGGCCTGGGAGGCTACAGACAGGATCGCTCATTACTTAACCCCTAACTTGCTGAGAGACCATGGGCAAGCCCTCTTCCTCTCTCAGAATCAATACCCCTGATATACACTGAGAGAGATGAAATTTTAGGGTTTGTTTTTGCTTTGCTCTAACAGCGTGTAACAGTGTTTATTATCAGATGCTTATGTATTTCTTGTTCTGTCACAGAAACATAATACAGTTGAAATCCTGGTGATCTTAAATAAGTTTACCATTCAATGAAGATAATTCAAAGATCAAATTTATCATCTAAGAGCTTCTGAAAGAAAAAAGACATCAAATGTAACTTGGACTTCTCAGAGTAACATTAATAAGACTCTCTTATGTACTCATAGAATATAATTCACCTCAGAAAATCAACCTAAGGAAGCCCACATGATATGGGGTGTGCTGACTCTGTCACAAATAGAAAGGGGGTACTTCTGACCAATCCTAACCTAGGTATATTGGAATATGTGACCATTACTTTCAAACAGATTGTACATAATTCCAACGTTGACTCTCTGCTTTTATCATGGAGCTATTTCCAATATCATGTGTCCAATGTGGTTCTTAATCTTGTTGGAGTTTCCAAGATAGCTAGGGAAAGTCTATCCAGAAGAGACTTTCTTTACACAATTTTTCATGCAGTCATGAGGAGTTTACAGATCTCCTCTTCCAGATCATGGACTAGCAGGCTAAGCACCTTCAAATTAAGACTGTTATATTCTCTTTACCAGTAGATCAACTTCCAAACAACACTTACTGTGTAATCATGGGCAGGCTTCTCAAATTCCTTACTACCCTGCTTTCCCATTTACTGTTTTATTATAATCTTTTTAAAAATAGACTTTAGTTTTAAAGCAGTTTTAGGGTATCAGGAAAATTATGCAAAGTATAGAGTTTCTATACATCCCATTACCTCACACATGCACAACCTTCCCTATTATTGATATCCTCCACCATAATGGTACATTTCTTGCAACTGATGAACCTACATTGATGCTTCATTCTTACCCAAAGTCCATAGCTTATGTGACGGTTCATACTTGGTGTTGTACATTCTTTGAGTTTCAACAAATGTATGATGACATGCATCCCCATTATAATATTATACAGAGTAGTTTCACTGCCCTAAAAATCCACTACCTATTCATTCCATTTAAAAAATCAGTGATTTTTTAATGTCTTCATAGTTTTACCTTTTCAAAAATGTCATATAGCTGGAACCATATAGTTAGTAAAGTTTTCAGACTGGGTTCTGGGTTCTTTCACTTAGGAATATGCATTTAGGTTTCCTCCATGTCTTTTCGTGGCTTGACAGTAGTTTATTTCTTTTTAGTGCTGAATAATATTCCATTGTCTTGATATATCAGTTTGTTTATCCATTCACTGACTGAAGAACATCTTTGTTGCTTCCAAGTTTTGGCAATTATAAATAAAGCTGTTCTATTTCTAGTTTGATGATAGATTGTATAACAAATGGGTGTGACATTTTGTCAAATTCTTTTTCTGTACCTGTTCATATGATTATGTGATTTTTCATTTTTAGTCTGTTGATGTGATGGATTATCATTTATTGTTTTAAGGGCAGTAAATAAGCAGAAAGAATAATATCTACCTTGCAGTATCATTTTAAGGCCTAAACTGACTAATGCATGTAAAAGGCCTAGCCTTGCAAATGGCATGTAATAGGAGTACAGTAACTTACCATTTTCTTCTTTTTAATCCCTCCAACAAAGGTGTAAACTACTGATGCTCAAGCCATGATCCCCAATCTGCTCCCAGAAAAGCTCTAAATCTCCTGCCAGAGGAGCACCCAGGCACTTGGGAGGACGCTACCACCATGTGGCTACCTCAGCCTTCTGATCCTTGCTAACTTATCAAAGGGCAAGTTTTGTGGTGTAGTGCTCCTACAATATCTTCAAAACAATAATTATCAGCATCATCACACACAGTTTTCTTATGCTTAGCAGTGCAAGTGCCTGCAAGATCATTACATATTAACTGATAAACAGATTTTTTGACCCTACAATCTGTGAAATATCATAACTGGTACAATGGAAGAAAAGGTCCATGGCTTAGAGTCCATCAGTGTTTAATTCCTCCCAGAGAGTGTTTGGAGAGATCCAGATTCATGTCAGTGACTTAATGGAGCTTTCAAACATGTTGACCAGAAGTAGGATGGACTCCAGTAGGAGTATTGTCCACAGTAAATTACATGCACACTTTGAGAATTGAGATAGCAAGAGATAAGCATTTTCTTAGACTGGCTGTCATGAAGTTCTGAAACAGTCACACTTTGAAGATTAAGGCTTGCCTACTCTATCTTCTGTACCCCCCTGACTTTGTTGTATAAAATAGAATGGGTTGGGGGGTCACATGGAGTTGGTTAAAGCTGAAGTCTAGCAAAAGAATACGCTAAGACAGACATGGATCTTCCCTGTGTGTCCCAGAGCCAGGCCTGCCTCCTGAGGCGCCCTGCTAGAGGGCCTGTGTGCTTGTGGGTGTGGGTTGTGGTCTGCTGAGTCATTGCTCTTTATTATAATTACAACTAATGAGGCTGTTGCTTTACAGGCAATTTTGTGGGCTTTCCTGCAGTTTTACTAGTTAGGAAGTAATTCATAACTATGAAGACTCTGCCTTCTTCCTAAATTTATGTGCCTAGGGAAGGGAGGTGTCTTATGTCAGAGGCGCCTAAGAAACTGCCATAGCAAAAGTCAGTCCCCATTCATTCCATGCAGCAAACATCCATTGACAGCTCCCTTGGGGTCAGGCCCTGGGGTGGGGGTGGGAAGTTGGAGAGGCGGCAGGGTTGAAGATGACATAATCCATGCCTTCACAGAGCTTGCAGTATCATGGTGGTAACAGACATGCAAACAGGTCATTCAAAAGTCGAAGGCAAAGCCAAGAGAGACCTGGAAAATCACCAGAAAGCACCTGGGATGCTGTTCAACTAAAAATCCCCAGATAAAAATGTCTTCAATCCAGAAAAAGAAGGCCAGGTCTTCTTATGCCATTGCCCTATTTAAAAAAAAAAAAAAAAAAAAAAAAAAAAAAACTTTCCACAGATACCCAGCAACTTAGAGAAAACAATTCAAACTTCAATTGTCACTTTACAAAACCTGGCTCCATCCTACCTTATAACCTTATCTCCTCTGGCCAAGGCTTCATTCTGCCCCTATGTTTTCTCACTGCTATACTGTTTCCCCTGTCTTGTGGGGTTTTAAAAATAATTTTTAAATAATTTTTATTGTGAAAATTATACAAGCTAGTGAAAATAAGTAAAACTGATGGTGGCAGCAGCCTATCTAGAGTGGCTGCTTTGAAGACGCCAGCAGCAGCGGGGAAGGCATGGCAAGGGCTATGCGCTCTGTGGAGCCAGTGGGTGCTGTAAACAGGTGATCCAAGTGGGAACCCCACCAAGTTGGCATGGCAGGAGCCCCTGCTCCCGGGTGCAGCTGTAGCCACCCAGCCATGGCTCTAGACCCAGGCATCCCTGCACTCTTAGGAGCCCAGGGAGTGCCTGCTCCTGCTCCCTGGCCTCTCCCTGCTCCTGGTGTCTGCTCCAGTGTGGAGCAAAGTTGTGGTAAACCCGGCTGAGTGTGCACATGCTTGGGGTGGCATTGACATGCTAGCCCTCTGCTGCCTTGGCCCCCTCCGGACTTTGGGAACTGACAAACACAGGAGGGCAGAGGGGGGCTGAGGGGGGCTTGGCATGGGTCTACAGGCACTCCTCAGCATGGAAAGCCTGGGCACCATGGGTGGCATGTTGATGGCAGCAGAGGCAGACAGGTTCCTGGGGGAAGGGGCAGGTCCCCAGTGAAACCTCACCTTCAAGCCAGGCCTGAAGCCTGGGGCCCGGGGGCCAGGCTGCCAGTTAAGGTGGAGTCTACCACATGGAGTGAGAATTTCATTGGCGCCTTTCAGACAATTGAATGGTGCTTTTTCAAGCCCACCCATGGCCACTCATGGACCAATCAGCATGCACTCCCTCCATTCTGAGCACATGAAAACCCCCAGACTCAGCTAGATATATTTCTGCTAGGTTTTCTAGTTTGTGTGCATAGAGGTGTTTATAATAGTCTCTGAAGTTTTTATTCGTATTTCTGTGGAGTCAGTGGTAATGCCCCTTTGTCATTTTTTGTAGTGTTTATTTGGATTTTCTCTTTTATTATTTATTAGTCTTGGTAGTGATCTATCAATCGTATTTATTTTTCAAAAATCAACTTTTGGTTGTGTTGTTCTTTTGTATGGCTTTTCTCATCTCCATTTTGTTCAGTTCAGCTGCGATTTGGGTTATTTCATTTTTCTGCTACCTTTGGTGTTGGTTTGCTCTTGTTTTTCTAGTTCCTCTAGGTATGATGTTAGGTTGTTAATCTGAAATCTTTCTAACTTGTTGATGTGGGCATTTAGCACTATAAACTTCCCTCTTAGCATTGCTTTAACTGTGTCGCAGAGATTCTGATATGTTTTATCTTTGTTTTTATTACTTTCAAAGAATTTCTTGGTTTCTGCCTTAATTTCATTGTTTACGCCAAAGTCACTGAGAAACAGATTATTTAATTTCCATTCTTTTTACTAATTTATATTTTTTTAGGTCTATGGTCTGAGACTGTGGTTGGCATAATTTTCTTTCTTTCCTTTTTTCAATTTGTTGAGAATTCCTTTATGGCCAAGCATCTGTCCAATTTGAAAGTATGCGCCTTGTGCAGATGAGAAGAATGTGTATTCTGTTTTTGTTGGGTGGACCGTTCTGTACATGAGTGTTAGGGCCATTTGGTCAAGTGTAGAGTTTGAGTTCTGAGTATCTTTGCTAGTATTTGGCCATGATGATTTGTCTAATACAGTCAGTGGGGTGTTGAAGTCTTCCACTATTATTATGTGGTTATCTAAGTCTCTTTGTAAATGTCTAAGAGCTGGTTTTATGGATCTGGGTGCTGCAGTATTGGGTGCATATATATTTAGGATATATTACATAATGACAAAGTGTTCAATTCAACAAGAAGATTTTGTTATCATTATGTAATGTCCTTCTTTGTCCTTTTTTATCATTGTTAGCTTAAAGTCTGTTTTGTTTGAAATAAGAATAGCAACTCGTGCTCTTTTTTGTCTTTCATTTGTTTGATAGATCTTATTGCATCCCTGTACTTAGAGCCTATGAATAACCTTGCGTGTGACATGGATGTCTTGAAGACAGTATACAATTGGATGTTCCTTCTTTATCCAACTTGCCACTCTGTGCCTTTTTTTTTTTTTTTTTTTTTGAGATGGAGTGCAGTGGTGCAATCTTGGCTCACTGCAATCTCTGCCTCCCAGGTTCAAGCAGTTGTCCTGTCTCAGCCTCCCCAGTAGCTGGGACTACAGGCGCACACCACCTCGCCTGGCTAATTTTTGTATTTGTAGAGATGGGGTTTCACCACATTGCTCAGGCTGGTCTCAAACTCCTGACCTCAGGCAATCCACCCTCCTCAGTCTCCCAAAGTGCTGGGATAACAGGCGTGAGCCACCACATCCAGCCCACTCTCTGCCTTTTAAGTGGGGCATTTAGCCCATTTATGTTCAAGATTAATATTGATAGGTACAGATTTGATTCTGTCATTGTGTTGTTAGCTGGTTGTTATGTGCACTTGATTGTGTAGTTGCTTTATAGTGTCAATGGTCTGTGGACTTAAGTGTGTTTTTGCAGTGGCAGGTACCAGTCTTTTATTTTTATGTTTAGCACTCCCTTAAGGACCTCTTTTAAGGCAGATCTGGTGATAATGAATTCCCATAGTACCTGCTTGTCTGAAAAAGGATTTATTTCTCCTCCACTTATAAAGCTTAGTTTGGCTGGATATAAAATTCTTGGTTGAAATTTGTTTAAGAATATTGAATATAATCCCCCAATCTCTTCTGGCTTGTAGGGTTTCTGAGAAAAGGTCTACTGTTAGCCTGATGGGGTTCTGTTTGTAGGCGACCGGCCCCTTCCCTTTAGCTGACTTTAACATTTTTCTTTTATATTTACCTTGGAGAATCTGATGACTATGTGTCTTGGAGATGTTTTACTTGTATAGTATCTCACAGGGGTTCTCTAAATTTCCAGAATTTGCATGTTGACCTTGCTGGCAAGGTTGGGGAAAATTTCCATGTATCATATCTTCAAATATGTTTTCCAAGTTGCTTGCTCTCTCTCCCACTCTCTAATGGATGCTGAAGAGTTGTAGATTTCATCTCCTTACATAATTCCATATTTCTCAGATATTTTGTTCATTATTTTTTTTCTTTATATTTATGTTACTGAGTTAATTCAAAGAACTGGTCTTTGGCCAGGTGCAGTGGCTCACACCTGTAATCCCAGCATTTTGAGAGGCCGAGGCAGGCAGATCATTTGAGGTCAGGAGTTCAAGACCAGCCTGACCAACATGGAGAAACCCCGTCTCTACTGAAAATACAAAAATTAGCCAGGCATGGTGTTGCATGCCTATAATCCCAGCTACTCAGGAGGCTGAGGCAGGAAAATCACTTGAACCCAGGAGGTGGAGGTTGCAGTGAGCTGAAATCGCACCATTACACTCCAGCCTGGGCAACAAGAGTGAAGCTCCATCTCAAAAGAAAAAAAAAAAAAAAGAACTGGTCTTCAAGCTCTGAGATTATTTTCTCAACTTGATCTATTCTGCTGTAAATACTTCTGATTATGTTATGAAATTCTTGTAGTGAGTTTTTCAGCTTTATCAGTGCAGTTTGGTTCTTCTTAAAATGGCAATCTCATCTTTCATCTCTTGACTCATTTTACTAGATTCCTTGAAATGGGTTTCAAGTTTCTCCTGCATCTCAGTGATCTTTGTTGACATCCAGATTCTCAATTTTATGCTTGTCATTTTAGCCATTTCATTCTGATTAACTGTTTCTAGGGAGCTAGTGCAGTTTTGGAGGTAAGAAGACATTCTGGCTTTTAGAGTTTCCAGGGTTCTTTCACTGGTTCTTTCTCATCTGTATGGGCTGATGTTCCTTTAAATGTGGTACAATTTGAGTATGGCCAGTTGTCTTCATTTCTGGATGTTTTCAGAGGGCTGAGGCTTTCTGAAAGGCCCTTATTTGTGGTTGAATTCTGTCTTTTATTTCACAGGGGGGTATATTCACAAAGTATTTTGGCATTGAAGTTTGAGCTTCAATCCAGTAAATCCAGTAGATGGTGCTTAAGCATAATGGATGGTAGGTAGGCCCTTAGCCAAGTGTCTTCTCTGTATTTTCTTGCATTTGTAGCCATGCTCCCTCTCAGTGCTCTGAGAGTGTGGGCTCCTTTCCCCCTCAATGCTGGCTGTAGACGTCGGCTTGACACTCCCAGTCTGTGTACTGCAGCTGTGGGGCTAGCTCAGGCTTTTGTTCCCTCCCCAACTTGGGGACAGCATGGGCAGAGACCTTGGCACTGGCAATGGCAGAGGGCCTTTCACTTGTCCCTTGGTACTCCACCCCAGAGAAACACAGAGCAGCTACCAATCAGAAACATCAGCCTAGGGTGGGACAGCTGCATTGTGGGCCCAAACTGAGGAGCCCTGCCTGGTGAAGAGCAAGAGGGTGGGGGGCTTGCGGGGAAGACAGTCTGGCTTCTCTGTATGGTGGCTATGGCATGCTGGAGGTGTGAGTAAAGCACTCAGGCTCTTTGTTCCCTTCTTGGACTGGTGGTAGCAAGGGCAGGTACTGCTACATTGGCAGTAGCAGAGGGGCTGTCAGATACCTCTGGGAATTCCACCCCAGAGAGACACAAAACATTGCAAAGGGGAACCTTCAGGCCAGGGTGAGGTAGCTACACTGCAGGCCCATGCCAGGGGTCCTTCTGATAAGGACAGGAGAGAGGGAAATACTGGGTAGAAGATGGCAGTTTCCTGGCAAAGGCCCCACCCTCAAACCTGAAGACCCACAACCCTAAATGAAGACAGACATTCCTGTTTTTGCACCCAAAAAGTTGCCTTTTGGCCCACCATGACCCCTGTCCTGCACCCATATAAACCTCAAACCCCAGGCTCCAGAAGCAGACCAGCAAGCCAGCAGATCAGCAGACAATGGCAGAATGACACAGCAGAGAAAGAGAGAAGAGGAGGATCATCTGAACACCAAGAGGAGTTCCACTGAAGTGGTTGGAGAGGAGTCCACTGGGGGACCCAACTCCAGGGGTATATCACCTTCCCATTCCATCCCCTTCTTCTAGCTCCCCATGCATCCTGCGGAAAGCCACCTCCACCACTCGGTAAAACTCCGCATTCATCCTTCAGGCCCATGTGTGACCCTATTTTTCTTGGATACTGGGTGAGAACTTGGGATACAGAAAGCTGTCACATTGGCCCTCTGCCCTTGCAAAAAGACAGAGGGCCTATTGAGCTGAATAACACTCAAGCAAAGCTGACACTGCTGCAGTGGCAATGGAGAAGAACTTGTGGGATTCTCTGCCTCTGGGATTTCCTCCTCAGAGAAATGCAGTATTGCCACCCACTGAAATGTTCAGGCAGGGTTGACGTAGCTATACTGGAGGCGCAGGTTAGGAGGTCCACCCCAGTAAAGAATAGGAGGGGCAGGGACTCATGGGAAAAACTGTTTGGCTGCTTTTCCATAAGGCAGCTGTGGTTTGCTGGAGGCCTATGATAGAACTTAGGCTCTTTCCTCCCTCCCTCCATAGACTGAGGGCTGTATGAGTGGGGGCTGTGGCAGCTGCAACAATGGTGGGCCTGTCAGTTGCCTCTGGGACCTCCATCCCAGAGAAATGCAGATCTTCTATGGGTCCAAGTGCTCAGGAAGGGGTAGGGTGACTGCACTGGGGTCCTAGGCCAGTTGACTATGCCTGACAAGGTGTACCAGAGACAAGGCCTGTAGTTCATCTGCTCCTCAGCACCATGGGTGTAGTCACTATCCTGGGGGCATGCAAGCTGGAGCTGGGGTGCTTAGGGATTCAAGGACCTTGGGCTCCATGGAGGCCTGAGCAGCAGCTCTTTCCAGCTTCCATGCAGCTCTCAATTCAGTCTGGAGGCCCTGGGAGGAGGGAGCAAGGGAGAATTTCCTATGCCCAGGATTGCAAAAGTCTGTGGCAGAAGTGTCAGTCTCTAGGGGTTCTCACTCACTCATTTCCCACGGTGGTAAGCCTCTCTTGGCTCTGCACCAGCCCTGAGTGGGTGGCTGTCCTGTCTTGCTTTTCTCTGCTCTACATGGTTCACATTGCTTCTTTGATGACTCTCAAGAAAGCAATGTTCAGGATGTCCTCCTGAACATTCCAGCTGAAGAGCTAGTGTTAACTAGCCAGTCTCATCTGCTTTCTGTGAGAGTGGCACACACTAGCTACTTCTAGTCAGTCACCTTGTCCAAGAAAAATTTGAAGTTAAGATTTTAACATATGAATTTTTTTTGGAGGGGGGCGGATACAAACATTCAGTCCATAACACTTCATGATAAAAACACTCAAACAACTAGAAAAAGAAGGGAACTTCCTCAACCTACTGCATCTATGAAAAACCTACAAATGTCATTATACATAATGGTGAGGGACTGAATGCTGTCCCCCAAGATCAGGAAGAAGAAAAATATGTTCACTCTTTCCACTTCCATTCAACACTGTACTGAAGTTTCAAGCCAGGACAATCAGGCAATAAAACAAAATAGAGTATTCTGGCAGTCGTTCAAATTATTAAACATAGAGTTACCTCGTATGACACAAATTTCACCATCTCCTTGACTCTCTTTTTAATTGTCATTCTAGTAAGTATGTAGTGGTATCTCATTGTGGTTTTAATATACATTTCCGTAATGACTAATGATGCCAAGAATCTTCTCATGTGTTTATTTGCTGTCTATGTATCTTCATAGGTTTAAAGTTTATTTAAATCCTTTGTTCATTTGTTCATTTAGGTGTTCATTTTCTTATTATTGAGTTTTGAAAGTTGTTTATATATTCTAGAATTAAATCCTTTATTAGCTATATTATTTATATGCTTTGCAAATATGTTCTCTCAGTCTACACCTTGTATGCATTCTCTGACAGTGTCTTTCAAAGAACAGAAATGTTTATTTTGATAAAGTTCAATTTATCATTTTTATTTCTCTTCTATTAATCATGACTTTGGTGTTGTAGCAAAGAAATCTTTGCTTAACTGAAGGTCACAATTTTCTCCTATGCTTACTTCCAGAAGTTTCACAATTTTAGGTTTTATATTTATGTCTGTGATTCGAGTTAATTTTCTTAAATGGTGTAAAGTATGGAACCAAGGTTATGTTTTATTTTTTGTGTGTTTTTCCATATAGATATCCAATTGCTCCAGCATCATTTATTGCAATGTACTGTACTTTCATCTACATTATTTATTTTATTGCCTTTGTTCTTTCATCTACATTAAATTGATCATATCTTCTGGTTCATTGATCTATTTTTCTATATTTATGTCACTACCTTGCTTTCTGTAGCTTTATAATAAGTCTTGAATTCAGGTGGTGAAAATCCTTTAACTTTTTTCTCCTTTTTCAAAGTTCTGGTTATTGTAGGTTCTTTGAATTTCCATACGAATTATAAGACCAGTTTGTCAATTTCTTAAAAGAACTGCTGGACTTTTAAATGGGACTATGTTGACTCTGTACATTAATTTGGGGAGCATTGACACATTAACAATCCATGAATATGTTACAGATCCCCATTTAGTTATGTTTGCCTCAATTTTCTTAGCAATATTTTACAGCTTTCAGTGTACAGTTCTTTTGCATGTTTTGTCAAATGTATCCCTATATATTTTTAAGCTATTGTAAATGGTATTGTAATGGTATTGTTTTTAAATTTCAATTTCTGAATGTTCTTTGCTACTATTTAGAACTACAATTAATTGTTGTACATTGATCTTGTATCTGCTAAATTCAATTATTAGTTCAAATAGTTTTCTTGCAGATTCAATCAGATTTTCTACCTAGATATACATGTCATCTGCAAATAAAGATAATTTAATTTTTATTTTAAATCTAGATGCTTTTTATTTCTTTCACTTTTCTTATTTACACTGGTGAAAACCTTCACTACAATGTTGAAGCAGTGGTCTTTAGCAGACTAAAGAATCCTTCTATTCTTAGTTTACTGAGCATTTTTATCAGGAATGGATGTTGGATTTTGTCAATGCAAGGTTAGCTGAACATTTGAAAATCAATGTAATTTACCATATTAACAGACTACAAAAGAAAAGTATATAATCACCTCAATAGGAAACATTTGACAAAATCCAATTCAATTTTCTGTAAGAGTTTGCAAATTGCTATTATTTCTTTTTCTAATGTTTAGTAGGATTCGCCAGTGAATCTACATGGCTCCAGAGTTGTCTTTGCAGGAAGGTGATTAACTACAAATTCAATTTCTGTAATAGATATAGCTTATTCAAATTTTCTATAGCTTTTCCAGTGAGATTTGATACTTTGCATCTTTCACAGAATTTTACCACTATATCTAACTTAGTAATATTATTGACAAAATATTATTGGTAATAGTCCCTTATTTTTTTTACCATCTAATGTATCTGAAGAGATGTCACCTCTGTCACTCCTGACGTTAGTAATTTGTGTCATCTCTATGTTTTCTTACTAGTCTGGCCAGAAGCTTATCAATTTTACTGATCTTTAAGAACTATCCATTTCATTGATTTTAAAAAATATTCTGCTGTATTTTATTTCATTGATTTCTTCTCTGATTTTTATTATTTTTTTCTGCTTAATTTATGTTTTATTTGCTTTTCTTAATCTAATTTTTAAATATTAGTGCTGATGTAATTGATTTGAAACCTCTCTTCATTTCCAATATAAGCATTTTTTAAGAAGACAAAAATATAGCTATTTATTCTTTTTCAGTAAGTTTCATTACTACTAAGGTATAAGCGTTTAAATTGTTTGTGTAAGCAGTTATTCTTTTTACCCCAGTTTTACATTTTGTACCACGAGTTACAACCTCCCACACAGCATAAAACAAAATATCATTTAAAATGTGATATCCTGGCCGGGCGCGGTGGCTCACGCCTGTAATCCCAGCACTTTGGGAGGCCGAGGCGGGTGGATCACGAGATCAGGAGATCGAGACCATCCTGGCTAACACGGTGAAACCCCACCTCTACTAAAAATACAAAAAAATTAGCCGGGCGTGGTGTCGGGTGCGTGTAGTCCCAGCTACTCGGGAGGCTGAGGCAGGAGAACGGCATGAACCCGGGAGGCGGAGCTTGCAGTGAGCCGACATTGCGCCACTGCACTCCAGCCTGGGCGACAGAGCGAGACTCTGTCTCAAAAAAAAAAAAATGTGATATCCTGCAAAAACTACAATCAAATTCACCAATTAGAATATATTGCATCTAAATTAAAAACATATTTAAATTTTTAAAAATAATTTCAACTTTTATTTTAGATTCAGGGGGTACATGTGCAGATTTGTTACATGGGTATATTGTGTGATGCTGAAGTTTTGGGTATGAATGATCCCACAACCCAGGTAGTGAGCATAGTACCCAACAGGTAGTTTTACAGCCCTTACTCCCCTAGCTCTAACCCCTCTCTTGTAGTCCCCAGTGTCTATTGTTGCCAACTTTATGTCCATGTGCACCCAATGTTTCTAATATAAACTTTTTGATACTTATAAATTTCCCTCTAATGACTACTTAAGCTGCATTCTACAAATTTTAATATGTCGTATTTTTATTTCTGTTTATTTTTGGATACCTTATAATTTCTCTTTTGGTTGATTTTATCAACCCATTGGTTATTTGAAAGTGTGTTGTTTACTTGCAAATAGTTGAGGATTTTTCCAGTTATATTTCTAGCATTGATTTCTAATTTAATTCCATGTTGTCAAAGAACATAAGTTGTGTTCTTAAATTCATGTTCTAGAATATGATTTATTTTGTTAAATGTTCTGTGTACACTAAAAATAATTTGTATTTTGCTGTTGAGTGGAATGTTCTATAAATGTCAATTAGATTAGCTTGGCTGAGACTGTTGTTCAAATCTCCAATAATCTAATTGATTTTCTGTCTACTCGCTCTGTCAATTATTGATAGAGGGGTATTGAAATCTGTAATTGTGAATTTGTCTATTTTTCTTTGAAATTCTATTAGTTTTTGTTTTTTGAGTTTTGAAGCTCCATTTTAAGGTTTATGAACATTTAAGATTCTTATGTCCTCTTGATGAATGGACTCCTTTATCATTATAAAATTACTCTCTTTACCCCGGTAATATTTTTGTTCTGAAATCTACTTTGTCTAATATTAATAAGGCCACTCCAGCTTTCCTTTCATTAGTATTTGCAAGATATTTCATTTTCTGTCTGTTTGCTTTTAGATGGTTTGTGCCTTTACGTTTAAAGTTGTTTCCTCCTAGGGAGCATATAATTGGCTCATGCTTTTTTTTAAATTGAATCTGAGAATCTGTTCTTTAATTGGTATTGTGAAACCATTTATATTTAATCTTATTATTGATATGATTGTGTTTAAATTTATCCTTTTGATATTGTTTTCTATTTTTTCCATTAGTTCTTTGTTCTTTTTCCCCCTCTTTTCCTAACTTGGATAATCGAGTAAGTTTTTTTGTTTTTTTGAGATGGAGTCTCACTCTGTCGCCCAGGCTGGAGTGCAGTGGCATGATCTCGGCTTACTGCAAACTCCGCCTCCTGGGTTCACACCATTCTCCTGCCTCAGCCTCCCGAGTAGCTGGGACCACAGGTGCCCGCCACCACACCCGGCTAATTTTTTTGTATTTTTAGTAGAGATGGGGTTTCACCATGTTAGCCAGGATGGTCTCGATCTCCTGACCTCGTGATCCACCCGCCTCGGCCTCCCAAAGTGCTGGGATTACAGGCGTGAGCCACCACGCCAGGCCACTAATGAGTAATTTTTATACTTTCATTTTATATCGTTTGTTTTCTTATTCATTATAACTATTTGTTATGTTTCTTTAGTGGTTGCTTTAGGATAGATTTATAGTATACATCTTTAACTTGTCACAACATGCTTTCAAGTGATGTTATTACCACTTAATGCATAGTATAAGAACCTCAATACAGTATACTTTTAATTGTCTTCTTCCAAGCTTTTTTATATTGTCCACATTACATTCTGTAATACTTCTACATACACTATAAACCCCACAATACATTGTTATTATTTTTGCTTTAAATGGTCAATTATCTTTTACAGAGGTTAAGAAAAAAATGTCAATCATACTTACTCATGCCAATAAATTTCCCATATTTTTCATTCTTTATAGATCCAGATTTACATCTGGTATGATATTCCTTCTGCTAAAAGAAATTCATTAAAAATTTATTGTCGTGCAATTCTGTGGGTAATGCGTTATTTCAGCTTTTGTATGTCTGAAAACGTTCTTATTTTGTCTTCATTGTTGAAAGATATTTTAGCTGAATTTGATGGCGAGTTTATATGTTAACTTGGCTAGGCTATATAATACCACATTATTCAAGTAAAGACGAATCTACTTGCTGCTGTTAAAATATTTTTTTAGATGTAGATAACATCTACAATTGGTTGAAATTAAGTAAAGGAGATTATCTTCAATAATCTGGATGGGCCTTATCCGATTACTTAAATGGCCTTAAGAACAAAACAGGTTTCCTTGAGCAGGAAAATATTCTGCTTCAAGAATGCAGCATCAGCTCCTGCCTGAGAATTCCCAGCCTACAACTCTGTTCTATGGATTTAGGGACTGCCATTCACCAAAACTGCATGAGCCAATTCCTTAAAATAACTAGCAACTCCCCCACTACCCCTCTCTCCTACTGGCCCTGTTTTCCTAAGAACACTCATTGGTATGCTGGATAAAAATTCTAGGTCACAGGATTTTTTTCTTTCAGCATTTTAAAGAAGTTACTCCACTCTCTCCTCATTTGCATTTTTTCTGATGAGAAATGTGCTGACCTCCTTATTTTTACTCTTCTATGTATATTCTATTTTTTTGTCTGCTTTTAAGATTTTTTTGTTTATTGCTAGTTTTAAGTAATTTGATTATCATGTATCTTGGTATTAATTTACTTCATGTTTCTTATTCTTGGGTATGTTTGGGTTTCATGAAGTTGTAGGTGTATTAGTTCATTCTCATGCTGCT
The DNA here is from genome assembly GCF_000001405.40 of Homo sapiens. Lineage (NCBI taxonomy): Eukaryota > Metazoa > Chordata > Mammalia > Primates > Hominidae > Homo > Homo sapiens. The sequence goes on from NC_000023.11 coordinate 149,158,505, forward strand.
AATAAAGACGTACTGATACTGAGCAATTTATAAAGGAAAGAGGTTTTATTGACTCACAGTTTTGCATGGCTGGGAGGCCTAGGAAACTTATAATCATGGCAGAAAGGGAAGCAAACACGTCTTTCTTCACATGGCAACAGCAAGGAGAACTGCTCAGCAAAAGGGGGAAAAGCCCCTTATAAAACCATCAAATCACTCACTATAGTAATAGCAGCATGGGGTAACTGCCTCCATGATTCAATTACCTCGTATTGGGTCCCTCCCACAATACATGGGAGCTAGAATTCAAGATGAGATTTGGGTGGGGACACAGCCAAACCATACCATTCCACCCCTGGCCCCTTCCAAATCTCATGTTCTCACATTTCAAAACCAATCATGCCTTCTCAACAGTCCCCTACAGTCTTAATTCATTCCAGCATTAACTGAAAGTCAAACTCAAAAGACTCATCCAAGACAAGACAAGTTCCTTCCACCTATGAGCCTGTAAAATCAAAAGCAAGTTAGTTACTTCCTAGCTACAATGGAGGTACAGGAATTGGTTAAATACAACCATTCCAAATGGGAGAAATTGGCCAAAACAAAGGGGCTACAGGCCCCATGCAAGCCTGAAATCCAATAGGGCTGTCATTAAACCTTAAAGTTCCAAAATGATCTCCTTTGACTCCGTGTCTCACATCCAGGTCACACTGATGCACGAGGTAGGCTCCCATGGTCTTGGGCACCTCCACCCCTGTGGCTTTGTGAGGTACAGCCTCCCTCCTGGCTCATTTCATGAGATGGCACTGAGTGTCTGTGGCTTTTCCATTTGCACAGTGCAAGCTGTTGGTGGATGTAACATTCTGGGGTTTGGAGGACAGTGGCCCTCTTCTCACAGCTCCACTAGGCAGTGCCCCAGTGGGGTCTCTGTGTGGAGGCTCTCACCCCACATTTCCCTTGCACACTGCCCTAGCAGAGGTTCTACATCCAGGCATTTCCATACATCCTCTGAAATCTAGGTGGAAGTTCTCAAACTTCAATTCTTGACTTCTGTGCACCAGCAGGCCCAACATCACGTGTAAGCCACCAAGGCTTGGAGCTTGCACCCTCTGAAGCAATAGCCTGAGCTGGCCCCTTTTAGCCATGGCTGGAGCTGAAGCAGCTGGAATGAAGGGCACCATGTCCCAAGGCTGCATAGAGCAGGGGGTCCCTGGGCCTGGCCCATGAAACCATTTTCCCCTCCTAGGCTTCCAGGTCTGTGATGGGAGGGGCTGCCGTAAAGGACTCTGACATGCCCTGGAGACATTTTCCCCATTGTCTTGGTGATTAACATTTTGCACCTAGTCACTCATGCAAATTTCTGCAGCAAGCTTGAATTTCTCCCCAGAAAATGGGGTTTTCTTCTTTATCACATAGTCAGGCTGCACATTTTCCAAATTTTTATGTTCTGCTTCCTCTTCAACACTTTTCTGCTTAGAAATTTCTTCTGCCAGATACCCTAAATCAACTCTCTCAAGTTTAAAGTTCCACAAATCTCTAGGGCAGAGGCAAAATGCTGCCAGTCTCTCTCTATAACAAGAGTGATCTTTACTCCAGTTCCCAACAAGTTCTTCATTTCCATCTGAGACCACCTTAGCCTGGACTTTATTGTCCATATCACTATCAGTATTCTGGTCAAAGACATTCAACAAGTCTCTAAGAAGTTCCAAAGTTTCCCACATCTTGTCTTCTGAGCCCTCCAAGTCTCTAGTAAGTTCCAAACTTTCCCTCTTTTTTGTCTTCTTCTGAGCCCTCCAAACTGTTCCAACCTCTGCCTTTTACTCAATTCCACAGTCACTTCCACATTTTCAGGTATCTTGATAGCAACATTCCACTACCCAGTACCAATTTACTGTATTAGTCCATTCTGATGCTTCTAATAATGACATACCCAATACTGGGTAATTTATAAAGGAAAGAGATTTAAGTGACTCACAGTTCTGCATGGCTGGGGAGGCCTCAGGAAACTTACAATCATGGCAGAGGAGGAAGCAAACATTTCCTTATTCCAGTGGTGGCAGCAAGGAGAAGTCCACAGCAAAAGTGGAAAAAGCCCCTTATAAAATTATCAGGTCACTCACTATCCACAGAACACCAGCATGGGGGTAACCACCCCAATAACTCAACTACCTCCCGCTGGGTCCCTCCCATAACATATGAGGATTGTGGGAGCTACAATTCAGAATGAAGTTTGGATGGGGACACAGCCAAACCATATCAGTTGTTTTATAGCTTATATCAAATTTGAAAAAAGTTTCATTCATTATTACTTCAAATATATTTTCTGCTTTCTTCTCTACCTTACCCTCTCTTCTTCCAGGAATCTAATTACATATATAGTAGGGTGCTCAAAATTGTCACACAGCTCACTGATGTTTTGTTCATTTTTCTTTATCTTTAGTCTATGTTTTTATTTTGGATATTTGCTATTGCTAGTCTTCAAATTCACTAACCATTTTTGATTTTTAATTTTTGTGAGCACACAGTAGTGGGGGTGGAGGTGTAAAGATTATTAATGGGTATAAAACAACAGAAAAAAAAGACCTGTTATTTGATAGCATAACAGGGTGACTATAGTCAACAATAACTTATTTGTACATTTCAAAATTGTACATTTTTTAAAAAGAGTGCAATTGGATTATTTGTACCACAAGGATAAATGCTTGAAGGGATGGCTGCCCCATTCTCCATGATGTGATTATCATGCTTTGTATGCCTGTATTAAAACATCTCATGTCAACTGAGGGGCAAGATGGTCTACTGGAGACAGCCAGGAAGAACATCTGCCACCAAGAGACTGGGACATCAGGAAGATTGGCGCACTACTAGCAGATCGTCAGAGAGAAGGCATTGAGAGTGGATGGAGGAAAGACACAGATGCTGGAATGAATGAGGAGGCAGCTAGGAACCCTGAATAGTGATAAAACACACTGGGACTCAGTCCTGGTCCCCAATGACTCCTGGGGAATGGGTAAGTTAAACAGGCAAAGAACAACCCATTCTCACCACAGGCCCCTGGAATCCCAGCAGAAGGAGACCCTGTGGTCACCATGGACACTTGAGTTCACAGGGAAAGCTGCTTAGAGAAGTGTTAGGGGCAGAACTCCAGCTGGCGCAGAGCCCAGAGGGTTTAGTGTGGGAGAATCTGTAGTGGAACACTGCCAGGGAAGCCCATCTGCCTAGGCTCAACTTGCTCCTATAGAAGACTTTAGCTGTAGAGGAACTATGGGACCTGAACTCTGAAGGGTAGTCCTGCCCATGAGAGAGGCCCAGTCCAAGCTGAGCATGTGTCAGTCTGCTGGCCTCTCCTGGGACTCAGCCTGGCCATGCTTGCTTGCACAGCAGCCTCCGGTGCCCAGGGGGCATACCCCCTTGGGGCCTGCATCATAGCTTCTGAACTGGCAGACTATGCCTGACCAGCAGAGAGCCTCTACAGAGTGACCCCTATGGACATGCACCAGCCTGCCCATGCCCTCCCCCTACTGCAGCCTCCCCCATGTCACTTTGCCTGCATACACTTGCCCACAGCCACCTTCAACATCACTTTGCCAGTGCATGTTTGCACAGGTGAACTTTGCCTTTCCTTCTCTACCAGTGCAAATGTGTGTGTGCACCCTGTGGTGCCACTGCTGCCAAAATTTGTCCACCCCTGCCCCTCGTCCATCATACTGCCAAGATTCTTGTGTTGAACCCTGGCTCCCTAAAATGTTCCAGAAACAAAACCAGTTGACTGAACCCACCTTATATCATAATCAAACCTTCAAGGTCATCAAATAGGACAAAGGAAATAAAAAATTTCCTAAGGACAGCAATTTCAATGACTGATGGAACGTCAGCCCATAAAGTTGAGAATGAACCAGTGCAAGAACTCTGACAACTCAAAAAGCCAGAATGTCTTCTTTCCTCCAACAATGGCACTAATTCTCCAGCAAGGGTTTTTAACCAGGCTGAGATGGCTGAAATGACAGAAATAGAATTCAGACTATGAATAGGAACAAAGATCATCAAGATTTAAGAGAATGTTGAAACACAATCTGAGGAAGCTAAAATCACAATAAAATGATACAAGAGCTGACAGGTAAAATAGCCAGTATAGAAAAATAATGTAAGTGACCTGATATAGCTGAAAAACACACTATAAGAATTTCATGATGCAATAGCAATTGTTAACAGCAGAATAGACCAAGCTAAGGAAAAAATCTCAGAGCTTGAAGATTTGTTTTCTGAAATAAGACAGTCAGTCCCCGAAAGACATGGGGAGAAAGAAAGCAACTTGGAAAACATGTTTCAGAATACCCATGAGAACTTCCCCAACGTAGCTAGAGAGGCCAATGTTCAAACTCAAGAAATGCAGAGAATCTCCAAAAGATACTTCACAAGAAGATCATCACCAAGACATATAATCATCAGATTCTCCAAGGTTGAAATGAAAGAAAAAATGTTAAAGATAGCTAGAGACAAAGGACAAGTCACCTATCAAGAGAAGCCCATCGGGCTAACAATAGACCTCTCAGCTGAAACCCTACAAGCCAGAAGAGACTGGGGACCAAAATTCAACATCCTTAAAGAAAAGAAATTCCAATCAAGAATTTCATATCCAGCCAAACTACACTTCCCAATCAAATAAAATTCTTTTCAGATAAGCAAATGTTGAGGGAATTTATAACTGTCAGATCTGCCTTACAAGAGCTCCTGAAAGAAACATTAAATATGGAAAGGAAAGATCATCACCAGCCACTACAAAAACATACTTACATACATGAAATAGTCACACTATAAAGCAACCATACAAAGAAGTCTGCATAATAATAATAATACTTTGATGACAGGATCAAATCCACAGATATCAATACTAACCTTGAATGTAAATGGACTAAATGCCCCAATTAAAAGATACAGAGTGGAAAGTTGGATAAAGAAGCAAGACCCAATGGTATGCTCTCTTTGAGAGATCAATCTCACATGCAGTGACACTCACATGCTCAAAATAAAGGGGTGGAGGAAAATCTATCAAGCAAATGGAAAACAGAAAAAATGGGGGTTGAGATCCTAATTTCAGGCAAAACAGACTTTAAACCAACAATGATCAAAAAAGACAAAGAAGGGCATTATTACATAATGGTAAAGGGTCCAATTCAACAAGAAGACCTGACTATCCCAAATATATATGCACCCAACCCAGGTTCATAAAGCAAGTTCTTAGAGACCTTCAAAGAGATTTAGACTCCCACACAATAATGGTGGGAGACTTCACCCCATTGGCAATATTAGACAGGTCATCAAGGCAGAAAATTAGCAAAAATATTCAGGACCTGAACTCATCACTGGACCAAATTGACCTGATAGACATCCATAGAACTCTCCACCCCAAAACAACAGAATATACATTCTTCTCATGGCCACATGACACGTATTCTAAAATCAACCACACAATTTGACATAAAATAATACTCAGCAAATGCAAAAATAACTTAAATAATACCAACCACTCACTCAGACCACGGTGCAATAAAAATACAAATCAAGACTGAGAAAGTCACTCAAAACCATAAAATTACATGGAAATCAAACAACTTTCTCCTGAATGACTTTTGGGTAAATAATGAAATTAAGGCAGAAATAAAAAGTTCTTTAAAACTAATGGGAACAAAAATACAACATACCAGGATCTCTGGGACATACCTAGGGAAGTGCTAAGAGAGAAATTTATCGCACTAAACACCCACATCAAAAAGTTAGAAAGATCTCAAATTAACAATCTAACATCACAATTAAAAGAACTAGAAAAGCAAGTGCAAACCAATCCTAAAGCTAGCAGAAGATAAGAAATAATCAAAATCAGAGCTGAACTCTGTGAAAGAAACCTGAAAAAAACATTCAAAAAATCAACAATCCAGGAGCTGGATCTTTTAAAAAAAAAAAAGTTAATAAGATGCATAAACCACTGGTTAGATTAATAAAGAAGAAAAAAGAGAAAATCCAAATAAACACACTTAGAAACAACAAAGGGGATGTTACCACCGACACCACAGAAATACAAATAACCCTCAGAGACTACAAAGAACACCTCTATGCGCACAAACCAGAAAATCTAGAAGTGGATAAATTCCTAGACACATACACCCTCCCAAGACTGAAACAGGAAGAGATTGAATTACTGAACAGACCAATAACAAGCTCCAAAACTGAATCAGTAATAAATAGCCTACCAACCAAAAAAAGCACAGGACCACATGGATTCACAGCCAAATTGTACTAGATGTATAAAGAAGAACTGGTACTATTCCTACTGAAACAATTCCAAAAAATTGAGGAGGAGGGATTCATCCCCAGCTCATTCGATGAGGCCAGCATCATCTGATATCAAAACCTGAAAACTATACAACCAGAAAAGAAAACTTCAGGCCAATATCCTTGATGAACATAGACGCAAAAATTGTCAACAAAATACTAGCAAACTGAATCCAGCAGCACATCAGAAATCCAGTCTACCATGATCAAGAAGGCTTTATTCCTGGGATGCAGGGTAGGTTCAACATATGCAAATCAATAAATGTAATTCATCACATAAACAGAACTAAAGACAAAAACTACATGATTATCTCAATAGATGCAAAAATGCTTTCAATAAAATTCAATACTGCTTTATGTTAAAAACTCTCAGTAAACTAGGTATGGATGGAACATACCGCAGAGTAGTAAGAGCCATCCATGACAAACTCATGACAAACTCAAAGCCAACATAATCCTAAATGGGCAAAAGCTGTAAGTGTTCCTCTTGAAAATGGTATAAGAAAGGATGCCTTCTCACCACTCCTATTCAATATAGCAATGGAAGTCCTGGCCAGAGGAACCGAGCAAGAGAAAGAAATAAAATGCATCCAAATATGAAGAGAGGAAGTAAAACTATTCCTGCTTGCGGACAACATGATTCTATATTTAGGAAACCACATAGTATGAGCCCGAAAGCTCCCTAAGCTGATAAACAACTTCAGCAAAGTTTCAGGACACAAAATCAACACACAAAAATCACTAGCATTACTATACACCAACAACAGCCAAGCCAAGAGCGAAATCAACAATGAAATCACATTCACAATCGCCACAAAAAGAATAAAATACCTAGGAATCCAGCTATCCAGGGACATGAAAGATATCTACAATGATAATTACAAAACACTGCTTGAAGGAATCAGAAATGACACAAACAAATGAAAAAATGCTCCATGTTCATGGATGGGAACAATCAATATCATTAAAATGGCCATACTGCCCAAAGCAAGTTACCAATTCAATGTTATTTCTATCAAATTACCAATAACATTCTTCACAAAACTAGAAAAACTATTTTAATATTCACATAGAAATGAAAAAGAGTCAGAATAACCAAGGCGATCCTAAGCAAAAGAACAAGACAGAGGCATCACATTACCAGACTTCAAATAATACTACAGGGTTACAGTAATCAAAACACCATGGCACTGATACAAAACTAGACACATAGACCGATGGAACAGAGTAGAGAGCCTAGAAATAAGGCTGCACACCTACAACTATCTATCTGATCTTCAACAATGCTAGCAAAAACAAGTAATGGGGAAAGGACACGCTTTTTAATAAATGGTGCTGGGATAACTGGCTAACCTTATGCAGGAGATTGAAACTGAACCCCTTCTTTAAACTATACTCAAAAATCAACTCGAGATGAATTAAAGACTTAAAACTCAAAATCCATAAAAACCCTAGAAGGAAATCTAGGCAATACCATTCAGGACATAGGCACAGGAAAAGATTTCATGATGAAGACACCAAAAGCGATTGCAACCAAAGCAAATATCGACAACTGGGATCTAATTAAACTCTAGGGTTTCCGTACAGCAAAAGATACTATCAACAGACTAAACAGACAACCTACAGATTGGGAGAAGCTATTTACAAACTATGCACCTGACAAAAGTCTAATATTTTTCATCTATAAGGAACTTAAATTTACAAGAAAAAAACAAACACCATTAAAGAGAAGGTGAAGGACATGAACAATTTTCAAACGAAGACATACCATGCAACCAAAAGGCATATGAAAAAAGGCTCAGTATCACTGATTATTAGAGAAATGCAAATCAAAACTACAATGAGATACCATCTGACACCAGACAAAATGGGCATTACTAAAAAGTCAAACAAATAACAGGTGCTGGTAAGGTTGTAGAGAAAAGAGAACACTTACAGACGTGCTGGTGGGTGTGTAAATCAGTTCAACCATTGTGAAAAGCAGAGTGGTAATTCCTCAAAGAGCTAAAAACAGAACTACCATTCAACCCATCAATCCCATTACTGAGTACATACCCAAAGGAATATAAATTGTTCTATCATAAAGACACATGCATGTATATGTTCACTGCAGCACTATTCACAATAGAAAAGACATGAAATCAGACTGCATAAAGACAAATGTGGTACATATACACAATGGAATACTGTGCAGCCATAAAAAATAATGAGATAATGTTCTTTACAAAAACATGGATGGAGCTGCAGGCCATTATCCTTGGCAAACTAACACAGGACACAAAACCAAATACCATATGTTATCACTTATAAGTGAGCAGCTTAATGTTGAGAATGCATGGATACAAACAAGGGAGTAACAGACACTGGGACCTCTCTAAGTGTGGAGGTTGGGAGGAGGGATAGGATCAGAAAAAATAACTATTTGGGTACTAGGCTTAGTACTTGGGTAATGAAATAATCTGTAAAACAAAGGTCTGTAACATGAGTTTACCTATATAACAAACTTGAACATGTACCTCTGAACCTAAAATAAAAGTTTTTTAAAAAAATCTCATGTACCCCAATAAATATATACACCAACTATGTATCCATACGTTCACTAATCCTTTATTCTGCAATGTCTAATCTGCTGTTAATAGAATAGCATCCATTGGATTGTTATTGTCAGACATTATGATTTTATTTCTAGATGTTAGGCTTGGGTTTTTTCCATACATTTTGTATCTCAACTTAATATTTTTAATATTTCCCTTGGCTTCTTGAACATACAGAATATAGCTATAATAATCATTTAATATTATTGCCTATTAATTCTATCATCTGTATCATTTCTGAATGTTTTTGTTGATAAATTTTATTATTTTTTTCCTGTTTCTCTGCATGACTGATAATTTCAATTGGATGTAGACATTCTATCTTTTAAATTGATGTGTGTTGTATATTTTTGTATTCCTATAGTCTCAAGGTTTGTTTGTAAATTCACCTAAATTACTTGGAAATAGTGTTATCCTTTAAGGTCTTACTTTCTAGCTTTCTTAGGGGATCAGAGAAGCATTTACTTTAGGGTTAATTTTTCCCTGTGACTGAGGTAAACCTCATCTATGTATTCAACTTAATGTCCAATGAGTTATGAGATTTTCCACTATGGCTCTTGAGAACAAGCACTATTCCAGGAAATGTATGGACACCATGGATAGTTCCATCTATAACTTTTTAGGTGGTTCTTTTCATGACCTTGGGTACTTTCATCACATGTATGCACTTACTAGTACTTGGATGAATACTCATGGGGGACTCTGTGCAGATCTCTAGAGTTCTTTCTCTATGTAGCTTATCTTCTCTGGTATTTTACCCTGTGATCTCCAGCTGCCACAGCCTACCTGGACTCCTAATTCCTTCTTCTCAAATTAGGGAAATAACCCTACCTACTATCTAGCTTGAAGAATTTCTCTAAATAGTAAGCTAAACCAATTGTAGGCTATATTTGCTTCCTGTCCCTCTAGGATCACAGTTCTTCATTGTCTAATCTTTAATGTTTTGAGAATTGTCATTTCAGAGTTTGCCTTTGTATGTTATTTCATCTGGGAGGGAAAAACTAGTCCCTGTGATTTCAATTTACTTAAAAGCAAAAGTCTTCAGTAGTTTATTTTAATGGAAGAGGCTTGAGCATGTTTTAAGGCAAAGAAGAAGGTTATCATTGAGAAGGGGTGGTCTAATATTTAAAAAGGAGACAATCAATGGTGCTCAGTTGTTGAGAAGTCCGATGTGGATGGAATCTAGAATACAGATGGAAAACTATTGGGCAAAATTCACCCCCGATATTTCATGTAGGTTCTTTTCTATTTTCCCTAAGTGTTGGCTGGTCTGAGAAATAAAGGGACAAAGTACAAAAGAGAGAAATTTTAAAGCTGCTTGTCCAGGGGAGACATCACATGTCGGCAGATTCCGTGATGCCCCCCAAGCCACAAAACCAGCAAGTTTTTTATTAGTGATTTTCAAAAGGGGAGGGAGTCTATGAATAGGGTGTGGGTCACAGAGATCACATGCTTCACAAGGTAATAAGATATCACAAGGTAAATGGAGGCAGGGCGAGATCACAGGACCACAGGACCAGGGCAAAATTAAAATTGCTAATGAAGTTTTGGGCATGCATTGTCATTGATAACATCTTATCAGGAAACAGGGTTTGAGAGCAGACAACTGGTCTGACCAAAATTTATTAGGCGGGAATTTCCTCATCCTAATAAGCCTGGGAGCGCTATGGGAGACTGGAGCTTATTTCATCCCTACAGCTGCGACTGTAAAAGACAGCTGCCCCCAAAGCGGCCATTTTAGAGGCCTACCCTCAGGAACACATTCTCTTTCTCAGCGATGTTCCTTGCTGAGAAAAAGAATTCAGCGATATTTCTCCCATTTGCTTTTGAAAGAAGAGAAATATGGCTCTGTTCTGCTTGGCTCACCAGCAGTCAGAGTTTAAGGTTATCTCTCTTGTTCCCTGAACATTGCTGTTATCCTGTTCTTTTTTCAAGGTGCCCAGATTTCATATTGTTCAAACACATGCTCTACAAACAATTTGTGCAGCTAACACAATCATCACAGGGTCCTGAGGTGACATACATCCTCCTCAGTTTACAAAGATGATGGGATTAAGAGATTAAAGTAAAGACAGGCATAGGAAATCACAAGGGTATTGACTGGGGAAGTGATAAGTATCCATGAAATCTTCACAATTTGCAGTAAAGACAGGTATAAGAAATTATAAAAGTATTAGTTTGGGGAACTAATAAATGTCCATGAAATCTTCACAATCCACATTCTTCTGCCTTGGCTTCAGGTGGTCTCTCCATTCGGGGTCCCTGACTTCCCGCAACAGAAAACTGACTTTATATGGGAGGAAGAGCAAATCCTGTGTTATAATACGAGGGATGGAGAAGAGGATGGGTGTATATGTGGGAGGATTTTCCATTTAATGGGCTCTATTTTTCTATTAAATAGAAGGAAAAGACATCTGCTGAGAATGAAGAAGGTGGTAGAGGTTAGAGACATTTTAAGAGGTTAGAGACACATGTAGTTTTAAGAAAAGTTGCTGTAGAAAGAGGAAAATTGTTTGACCAGAAAAACATACAAGGAAGGTCAAGCCTTACTAATGATCCATTTAAGGCTCATATTCATAAATACATATTGGAACAAATCTAGCCTAATATCTCCTCTTGACCATGAATAGCTCAAATTCAACATATTCACAACTGAAAACATAATTTTAAAGTGACTCCCTGACATGGTTAATTGGATGAATGAAAAATTACATTTGTTGAAATGGTCAGCATAAGAGGAGGGAAAACTTAGAAGAGAGATGTGTTTAGTTTTGGACAATCCGAATTTAGGAGAAGTTAGTGACCACCAAGACCACCCAACTTCAGCTTCATGTAATAGATCACACTGATTCCAATGGCTACATTTAGTCATCAGTATTCAATACCATAATTATCTTGACAAAAGCCAATTGATATGGTTTGGATATTTGAGCCCTCCAAATCTCATGCTGAAATTTGAAAGCTGAAGGTGGGACCTAGTGGAAGGTATTTGGGTCATGGGGGTGTATTCCTCATAAATGACTTGGTGCCATCTTCATAGTAGTGAGTTAGTTCTTGCTCTATGAGTTTCCACAGGAGCTGGTTGTTAAAGAGCCTCATACCTCCTCCCCTGTGTCTTGCCTCCTCTCTCTGCATGTGATCTCTGCACACACTGGCTTCCCTTCACCATCCAACATAAGTAGAACAAGCTTGAGGCCCTCACCAGATTCAAATGCTAGATTCATATTTCTTGTACAGCCAGCAGAACCATGAGCCAAATAAACCTCTTTTCTTTATAAATTACCCACCCTCAGATATTCCTTTATAGCAGCATAGGAACAGAAAAAGACACCAATTCAGTGAGTGGTAGCAGATGAGATGAGGTGGTAACTGGTCAGGACAAGGGCAGGAAGAGGAAATACAGACCAAAGAGCATCCTTAAAAGAGATAAATGATTGGAGCATGTTTAAACATTATTGGAGAAGATACAGTGTAAAGAGGAAAATGGTGAATATACATAAGAAAGAAAGAAATTATCATTGCTGTATGATTTTGTAAAATTGGGCAGGGATGGGATACATAGCATAGATGAAAATGTTGGCTTTATTATTTTTTACTGCCCACAATTATGCAGATAGAAGCTATCAATAAAGCAAACTACATGACATTACCATAGACCCCTGATTATAAGTGCCTCTGCAAAATGTGTCTGTTGTATCACTAAAAGAATCAGTGTAGGCATAAATGTTCCCCTGACATGACAGAAAATAATTTCCAAAGATAAAATAGAGGGCTATATTTTAGTACCTTTTTTAATTTGAGAAGATTTCATAAGTAATTGGCCCTGGTCAAAACTAAAGTTATCTTTGTAGACCTTGTAAACACTCACTACAATATAAATAAACAACACTCAGCAGGCAAACTTGGTCAGTTATTCCAGGGCACATTTGGCAGACAACTCATCTTAGCAGCCTCATATAGAATCAGACCTTCTGAGGAGTGTGAATGAGTGTTTCCTATGGCTGAAGGGAGTAACACCCACTCTGAAATTCTTCTAGGCCAAGTGTATTAGTGCATTCTCACACTGCTATAAAGCATACTATCTGAAGCTTGGTAATTACAAAGGAAGGAAGTTCAATTGACTCATAGTTCTGCAGGCTTAACAGGAAGCATGGCTAGGAGGTCTCGGGAATCTTACAATCAAGGCAGAAGGGGAGGCAGGCATGTCTTACATGGCAGCAGGTGAGAGAAGAGTGTCAACAGGGGAAATGCCAGGCACTTATAAAACCATCAGATCTCATGAGATCTCCCTCACTATCACAAGAACAGCATAAGGGAGACCACCCCCATGATCCAATATTTAATCATTTCCCATCAGGTTCCTCCCTTGCCACATGGGGATTACAATTCAAGATGAGATTTGGGTGGGGACACAGAGCCAAACCATATAATTCCACCCCTGGCTCTTCCCAAATCTCATGTCCTCACATTTTAAAACCAATCATGCCTTCCCAACAGTCCCCCATAGTCTTAACTCATTCCAGCATTAACTCAAAAGTCAAAGTCCCAAGTTTCATTTGAGAGACAAGGCAAATCCCTTCAGCCTATGAACATGTAAAATTAAAAGCAAGTTAGTTACTTGAAGATACAGTAGGGTACAGACATTGGGTAAATGATCCCATTCCAAATAGGAGAAATTGGCCAAAGCAAAGGGTCACAGGCCCCATTCCAATCCAAAACCCAGTGGGGCAGTCATTACATCTTAAAACTCTGAAATGATCTCCTTTGACTCCATGTCTCACATCCAGGGCATGATAATGCAAATGGTGGGTTCCCACAACCTTGGGCAGTTCCTTCACTAACTGGTGTTCAGTGCCTGTGGCTTTTCCAGGCACATGGTGCAAGCTGTCAGTGAATCTATCATTCTGGGGTCTGGAGGACAGTGGCTGTCTTCTCACAGTTCCATTAGGCAGTGCCCCACTGGGGACTCTGTGTGGGGACTCCAACCCCACATTTCCCTTCCACATTGCTCTAGCAGAGGTTCTTCATGAAGGCTCCACTCCTGAAGCAAACTTCTGCCTGGACATCCAGGCATTTCCATACATCCTCTGAAATCTAAGTGGAGATTCCCAAACATCAATTCTTGACTTTTGTGCACTTGCAGGCCTGACACTACATGGAAGCTGCCAAGACTTGGGGCTTGGACACTCTGAAACAATGGCTGGAGCTGTCTGTACCTTGGCCCCTTTTAGCCATGGCTGGAGCTGGAGTGGTTGGGACACGGGGCACCAAGACCCTGGGCTGCTTTTTCATGGAGCAGAGGTGCTCTGGGCCTGGCCTGGAAAACCATTTTTCCCTCCTAGGCTTCTGGGCCTGTAATAGGAGTGGCTGTTGTGAAGGTCTCTGAAATGCACTGGAGACATTTTCCCCATTGTCTTGTCTATTAACAATCAGCTCCTCATTACTTATGCAAATTTCTGCAGCCAGCTTGAATTCCTCCCCAGAAAATGGGTTTTTCTTTTCTACCACTTGGTTATGCTACAAATTTCCCATACTTTTACACTTTGCTTCCTCTTTAAACATAGTTCCAATCCAAACCATCTCTCTGTGAGCATGCATAACTGAACACTTTCAGAATCAACCAGGTGACCTCTTGAATACTGTGCTGCTTAGAAATGTCTTTTGCCAGATTCCTTAAATTATCTCTCTCAAGTTCAAGTTTCCACAGATCTCTAAGGCAGGGATGAAATGCCTCCATTCTCTCTCTTTTTTTTCATTATACTTTAAGTTCTAGGGTACATGTGCACAACATGCAGGTTTGTTACATATATATACATGTGCCATGTTGGTGTGCTGCACCCATTAACTCATCATTTACATTAGGTATATCTCCTAATGCTATCCCTCCCCACTCCCCCCACCCCACAACAGGCATCAGTGTGTGATGTTCCCCACCTTGTGTCCACATGTTCTCATTGTTCAATTCCCACCTGTGAGTGAGAACATGTGGTGTCTGGTTTTCTGACCTTGTGATAGTTTGCTCAGAATTATGGTTTCCAGCTTCATCCATGTCCCTACAAAGGACATGAACTCATCCTTTTTTATGGCTGCATAGTATTCCATGGTGTATATGTGCCACATTTTCTTAATCCAGTCTATCATTGTTGGACATTTGGGTTGGTTCCAGGTCTTTGCTATTGTGACTAGTGCCACAATAAACATACGTGTGCATGTCTTTACAGCCACCTGATTTATAATCCTTTGGGTATATACCCAGTAATGGGATGGCTGGGTCAAATGGTATTTCTAGTTCTAGATCCCTGAGGAATCGCCACACAGTCTTCCACAATGATTGAACTAGTTTACAGTGTCACCAACTGTGTAAAACTGTTCCTATTTCTCCACATCCTCTCCAGCACCTGTTGTTTCCTGATTTTTTAATGATCGCCATTCCAACTGGTGTGAGATGGTATCTCATTGTGGTTTTGATTTGCATTTCTCTGATGGCCAGTGATGATGAGCATTTTTTCATGTGTCTGTTGGCTGCATGAATGTCTTCTTTTGAGATCCTCCATTCTCTTTGCTATGGCATAGCAAGAGTCACCTTTGCTCCAGTTCCCAGTAAGTTCCTCATCTCCACCTGAGACCACCTCAGCCTAGACTTCATTGTCCACATTATTATCTGCATTTTGGTCAAAACCATTAAACAAGTCTCTAGGAAGTTCCAAACTTTCCCACATCTTCCTGTCTTCTTCTGAGCCCTCCAAACTGTTCCAACATCTGCCTGTTACCCAGTTCCAAAGCTGCTTCTCATAAGTTGTGGAACTCCAGGATGTCAGTGAAGTACCTGTCCAAGAGGTAGCATATCATTGTAGTAAAAGCATGAATCTTGAAGCCACATTGCCTGAGTTCAACTCCTGACCGCTGCTTACTGGCTGTGTTACCTTAGGTAAGTATTTTTTAAAGATATCTGTGCTTTACTTTCCTTATCTGTAAAACAGGAAGGGGGAGAAGTTATAGTACCTACCCCATAGGATGAAGATTAAATGAATTAATCTTTGTAAAGCACTTAGAGTAGTGTCAGGTACATGGTAAATATTTAGTGTTTGTTACATAAAAAGGAATATTTAAATTGGTGAAGAACTGCATTGTGAGAGAAATTCTGTCTACAAGATAAACTTTTATCTGGGTGAAAATATTGGTCACTGTAGTTAACTTTAATAGCGTCACCAACTTGTCTATTTGCTAAGTTATATTAATCTTAGCTTAACTGACTAACCAGGTTACCAGGTATGTTAAACAGAGTACCAAAGTTTTGAAGTGGATGCCATAAAACTAGCAAAACTCTAGCAGAGAGGTATAAAAATTAAAGAAGTTGATATTGAACATGCTATTTATAGACACTATAGCTGGTGTCTGAGTTGTTCTTTAAAGTGAAAGCGTTATTCCGTGAGAAAAGCAGATAATTCAGCTCATAACTCCAAGCTGAGACAATCAATGGACTTTGGTACATGGCAGAATTGCTTTTATGTGAACTTCCCATTTTGTCACATGGAATATTAAAAAGACTAGTGCTCAAGGGTCAATATTTAATATAACTAATAATTTTTAATGATTCATCAAGGACATTCTTGTGTGAAATTGGCTTTTTTTTTACTACAAGCATGTGACAGTGAATAAAACAATGACTACTGACATGTTTTTTTTTGGCCACTGTATTGATTCACTAAAATCATGGTAAATAAATATGCTATAAAAAGTGATATTTCAAAATTAAAATTTCAGACAAAAACATCCTCCTGAATTTAATCAGCAAAACAGTTTTTAGTAAAAACAAATATATATATATATACATATAGTGGAACAAAGTTGAATTGTGCATTAAGTCTAAATGAACCCAAACATTTTGCTTGGCATACATACCAAGTAAGAGGGATGAAGAGGTAGCTTCATTCTGTTGTGCAAATGAGCTATTTCACATATTTCAACATGAAATGATTTTTCTTTATTTTCCTCTAAAGTTGATTTTCTGTTCTGTAATTTTATTTTTAGATGCAGTATCAATACAAGATAATCATGAGTCCCTCCACCTCAACAAAGGAAAATAGATCAAGATTATAATGTATACAGAAAAATAAAGCATAATAAACCTTGATTACTTTAAACCTTATGTTCAGACTATATTTATTTTCACATTGTTGTTTATTACATACATATACTTATTTTCATTGTTTAATTATTCAATTTTCTTGTTCAGTATAGGTGATAATTGCTTATGTATCTTGGATTGAGATGAATGCATAATAATTTTTCCTGTTAAAATTAGTGGGATTTTTTTTTTTCATTTAACAGCTTTTCACTCAGCAGCAGGGTTTTCAGGAGCAAATTAAAGCCATTAAATTAGGGATAGATATGTGCTATCTAGTATTTTAGTTATATTCATCAAGAGTGTTGTTCAGGATATCTAAGACATAATACTGTTGGAAACTGAAGTTCCCTAACTCCTCTTTAAATAAAAGTAATCAACTGACACATTAATGTAAGGGTGGCCCCATGTTGAATGTAATCTTATTATCACCATAAAATCTCATTATCAAATAGTGATCAGTTCACACTGACATGTATGTACACCTTTATTGATTTATATCCCTATACTTTTTCAAAAAGTTCTGCAGCAGTGTACAATGACATAATTTAATCAAAGCTCCTAGATCATTATCTGGAAAGTAGTAAGAACTCAATAAATGTTTGTTGTTATTGTCATTATACAGATACACATTGAAATCAGTAGGATAAAACTGGAAGATTAATTATATGCAAATGCAAAGGGAAAATAAGCTAACATTAAGCTTTGAGAGTTATAGTGATTGAGCATTAAACTTCACTCGGATTTTCCAAGCAACTAGAGAAAAAGGGCTATAGAAGTATTTTCTGACAGAAGGAAATCTAACAATTCTTCAAGGAAATTAAACTTTCTCTTGGTGGTGTGGTTTTTATACCAGGGACTGTGAAAAACATAATGGACAATATCTTACATGATAGTTTTGTAGTAAATGCAGCAGATAATTTATCCATCCATTCATTTAGAAAATATTTTGTCATTTTCTTTGTGGCCAAGGGCATAACAATAAAGCACAACTCAATTAGGGCATCTCTATAGCAAGCTAAACAAATGAGGCCAAGTATAAAGCTTTCCAGAAATCTAGATTATGAAGGTTAGAATTTACACTACCTAGTGTAACAATACCTACTAACAAAAAAACTTACAACAAATAAACATGTTAGTAATCATTGTTTTATTCACTGTCTCATGCTTACAGTAAAAAAAAAGCCAATTTCACATAAGAATGTCCTTTATGAATCATTAATTATATTAAAAGTATTAATTATATTAAATCTTGACCCCTGAGCACATCTTTTTAATATTCCATGTGACAAAATGGGAAGTTCATATGAGAACACTTCTGCCATGTACCAAAGTCCAGTGATTGTCTCAGACTGGAGTTGCAAGCTGAATTATCTGCTTTTCTCATGGCATTACACTCACTTTAAAGAACAACTCAGAAACAAACTATAGTTATTCAAATTTGGGTATTTAGCAGACATTTTCTTGAAAACGAACAAAATGAGGCTACTACTTCAAGAAAAACAACTGACAGGCCGGGTGCGGCAGCTCACACCTGTAATCCCAGCACTTTGGGAGGCCGAGGCGGGCAGATCACGTGAGGTCCGGAGTTCCAGACCAGCCTGGCCAACATGGTGGAACCTCATCTCTACTAAAAACACAAAAATTAGCCGAGTGTGGTGGCGTGAGCCTGTAATCCCAGCTACTTGGGAGGCTGAGGTAGGAGAATCGCTTGAACCGGGGAGGTGGAGGTTGCAGTGAGCTGAGATCCTGCCACCTGCACTCCAGCCTGGCAGACAGAGCGAGATTCTGTCTAAAAAAAAAAAAAAAAAAAAGAAAAGGAAAAAGAAAAAGGAGAAAAACAACTGATGGTATTTGTTGCCTATGATAAATTCCATCACTAAAGTGAAAATTAGAATTTAGAAAAATTTGAATCTACCACCTAGAATTTGACAGCTTTCCAGTACTTAAGGATTTTTATGAGTTGGGGGGAACATTAATGAATGTGAATTCCTGATGTTTCATATTGAAATATGTGAACATTTGGAAGATCTACATAACTCAGTGACCCAGTATTTTACCAAAAAAATCCTAATGTATAACACTAAAAAGTTATGTTTGAGTAAAAGATTCATTCAAAGTGTAAGCAAGACCAATGGATTTTTATATAACTGAGTATAAAAGATTCATTGATATGATTTCAGAATTCAGATTTTAACTTTTAAAAAGCTAACTTTTGGGGGTTTGATGTAATATCAAAGAAGAATGTCCACAATTATATAAAAAGGTGAATAGAAACCTCACTTTTCCTGCTATGTATCTGTGTGAGGTCATATTTCCTTTAACCAAAATAATATAATGCAACAGATTGAATACAAAAGCAAATATGAGAATCCAACTACCTTTTATTAAAGGAAACATTAAAGAGATTTTAAAAATATTAAAACAATGGAACACTCCTGACTAAATTGTTTTGTTTCAGAAAATATATTTCATAAAATCATGTTTTAATTATAGCAAAAACTTTGTTATTGTTCTAAAATAAATAAATATGTAAAAATTGAATCAGTTTTAATTTTGAATATGGTAAATATTGAGAGTTATAAACCATATAAACAAAAAAATCTTTGAGTTTTTAAATAATTTTTTTTAATGTTTTTTTTTTTTATTATACTCTAAGTTTTAGGGTACATGTGCACATTGTGCAGGTTAGTTACATATGTATACATGTGCCATGCTGGTGCGCTGCACCCACTAACTCGTCATCTAGCATTAGGTATATCTCCCAATGCTATCCCTCCCCCCTCCCCCGACCCCACCACAGTCCCCAGAGTGTGATATTCCCCTTCCTGTGTCCATGTGATCTCATTGTTCAATTCCCACCTATGAGTGAGAATATGCGGTGTTTGGTTTTTTGTTCTTGCAATAGTTTACTGAGAATGATGGTTTCCAATTTCATCCATGTCCCTACAAAGGACATGAACTCATCATTTTTTATGGCTGCATAGTATTCCATGGTGTATATGTGCCACATTTTCTTAATCCAGTCTATCATTGTTGGACATTTGGGTTGGTTCCAAGTCTTTGCTATTGTGAATAGTGCCGCAATAAACATACGTGTGCATGTGTCTTTATAGCAGCATGATTTATAGTCCTTTGGGTATATACCCAGTAATGGGATGGCTGGGTCAAATGGTATTTCTAGTTCTAGATCCCTGAGGAATCGCCACACTGACTTCCACAATGGTTGAACTAGTTTACAGTCCCACCAACAGTGTAAAAGTGTTCCTATTTCTCCACATCCTCTCCAGCACCTGTTGTTTCCTGACTTTTTAATGATTGCCATTCTAACTGGTGTGAGATGATATCTCATAGTGGTTTTGGTTTGCATTTCTCTGATGGCCAGTGATGATGAGCATTTCTTCATGTGTTTTTTGGCTGCATAAATGTCTTCTTTTGAGAAGTGTCTGTTCATGTCCTTCGCCCACTTTTTGATGGGGTTGTTTGTTTTTTTCTTGTAAATTTGTTTGAGTTCATTGTAGATTCTGGATATTAGCCCTTTGTCAGATGAGTAGGTTGCGAAAATTTTCTCCCATGTTGTAGGTTGCCTGTTCACTCTGATGGTAGTTTCTTTTGCTGTGCAGAAGCTCTTTAGTTTAATTAGATCCCATTTGTCAATTTTGGCTTTTGTTGCCATTGCTTTCGGTGTTTTGGACATGAAGTCCTTGCCCACGCCTATGTCCTGAATGGTAATGCCTAGGTTTTCTTCTAGGGTTTTTATGGTTTTAGGTCTAACGTTTAAATCTTTAATCCATCTTGAATTGATTTTTGTATAAGGTGTAAGGAAGGGATCCAGTTTCAGCTTTCTACATATGGCTAGCCAGTTTTCCCAGCACCATTTATTAAATAGGGAATCCTTTCCCCATTGCTTGTTTTTCTCAGGTTTGTCAAAGATCAGATAGTTGTAGATATGCGGCATTATTTCTGAGGGCTCTGTTCTGTTCCATTGATCTATATCTCTGTTTTGGTACCAGTACCATGCTGTTTTGGTTACTGTAGCCTTGTAGTATAGTTTGAAGTCAGGTAGTGTGATGCCTCCAGCTTTGTTCTTTTGGCTTAGGATTGACTTGGCGATGCGGGCTCTTTTTTGGTTCCATATGAACTTTAAAGTAGTTTTTTCCAATTCTGTGAAGAAAGTCATTGGTAGCTTGATGGGGATGGCATTGAATCTGTAAATTACCTTGGGCAGTATGGCCATTTTCACGATATTGATTCTTCCTACCCATGAGCATGGAATGTTCTTCCATTTGTTTGTGTCCTCTTTTATTTCCTTGAGCAGTGGTTTGTAGTTCTCCTTGAAGAGGTCCTTCACATCCCTTGTAAGTTGGATTCCTAGGTATTTTATTCTCTTTGAAGCAATTGTGAATGGGAGTTCACTCATGATTTGGCTCTCTGTTTGTCTGTTGTTGGTGTATCAGAATGCTTGTGATTTTTGTACATTGATTTTGTATCCTGAGACTTTGCTGAAGTTGCTTATCAGCTTAAGGAGATTTTGGGCTGAGACAATGGGGTTTTCTAGAAAAACAATCATGTCGTCTGCAAACAGGGACAATTTGACTTCCTCTTTTCCTAATTGAATACCCTTTATTTCCTTCTCCTGCCTGATTGCCCTGGCCAGAACTTCCAACACTATGTTGAATAGGAGTGGTGAGAGAGGGCATCCCTGTCTTGTGCCAGTTTTCAAAGGGAATGCTTCCAGTTTTTGCCCATTCAGTACGATATTGGCTGTGGGTTTGTCATAGATAGCTCTTATTATTTTGAAATACGTCCCATCAATACCTAATTTATTGAGAGTTTTTAGCATGAAGGGTTGGTGAATTTTGTCAAAGGCTTTTTCTGCATCTATTGAGATAATCATGTGGTTTTTGTCTTTGGCTCTGTTTATATGCTGGATTACATTTATTGATTTGCGTATATTGAACCAGGCTTGCATCCCAGGGATGAAGCCCACTTGATCATGGTGGATAAGCTTTTTGATGTGCTGCTGGATTCGGTTTGCCAGTATTTTATTGAGGATTTTTGCATCAATGTTCATCAAGGATATTGGTCTAAAATTCTCTTTTTTGGTTGTGTCTCTGCCCGGCTTTGGTATCAGAATGATGCTGGCCTCATAAAATGAGTTAGGGAGGATTCCCTCTTTTTCTATTGATTGGAATAGTTTCAGAAGGAATGGTACCAGTTCCTCCTTGTACCTCTGGTAGAATTCGGCTGTGAATCCATCTGGTCCTGGACTCTTTTTGGTTGGTAAACTATTGATTATTGCCACAATTTCAGAGCCTGTTATTGGTCTATTCAGAGATTCAACTTCTTCCTGGTTTAGTCTTGGGAGAGTGTATGTGTCGAGGAATGTATCCATTTCTTCTAGATTTTCTAGTTTATTTGCGTAGAGGTGTTTGTAGTATTCTCTGATGGTAGTTTGTATTTCTGTGGGATTGGTGGTGATATCCCCTTTATCATTTTTTATTGTGTCTATTTGATTCTTCTCTCTTTTTTTCTTTATTAGTCTTGCTAGCAGTCTATCAATTTTGTTGATCCTTTCAAAAAACCAGCTCCTGGATTCATTGATTTTTTGAAGGGTTTTTTGTGTCTCTATTTCCTTCAGTTCTGCTCTGATTTTAGTTATTTCTTGCCTTCTGCTAGCTTTTGAATGTGTTTGCTCTTGCTTTTCTAGTTCTTTTAATTGTGATGTTAGGGTGTCAAGTTTGGATCTTTCCTGCTTTCTCTTGTAGGCATTTAGTGCTATAAATTTCCCTCTACACACTGCTTTGAATGCGTCCCAGAGATTCTGGTATGTGGTGTCTTTGTTCTCGTTGGTTTCAAAGAACATCTTTATTTCTGCCTTCATTTCGTTATGTACCCAGTAGTCATTCAGGAGCAGGTTGTTCAGTTTCCATGTAGTTGAGCGGCTTTGAGTGAGATTCTTAATCCTGAGTTCTAGTTTGATTGCACTGTGGTCTGAGAGATAGTTTGTTATAATTTCTGTTCTTTTACATTTGCTGAGGAGAGCTTTACTTCCAACTATGTGGTCAATTTTGGAATAGGTGTGGTGTGGTGCTGAAAAAAATGTATATTCTGTTGATTTGGGGTGGAGAGTTCTGTAGATGTCTATTAGGTCCGCTTGGTGCAGAGCTGAGTTCAATTCCTGGGTATCCGTGTTGACTTTCTGTCTCGTTGATCTGTCTAATGTTGACAGTGGGGTGTTAAAGTCTCCCATTATTAATGTGTGGGAGTCTAAGTCTCTTTGTAGGTCACTCAGGACTTGCTTTATGAATCTTGGTGCTCCTGTATTGGGTGCATAAATATTTAGGATAGTTAGCTCCTCTTGTTGAATTGATCCCTTTACCTTTATGCAGTGGCCTTCTTTGTCTCTTTTGATCTTTGTTGGTTTAAAGTCTGTTTTATCAGAGACTAGGATTGCAACCCCTGCCTTTTTTTTGTTTTCCATTGGCTTGGTAGATCTTCCTCCATCCTTTTATTTTGAGCCTATGTGTGTCTCTGCACGTGAGATGGGTTTCCTGAATACAGCACACTGATGGGTCTTGACTCTTTATCCAACTTGCCAGTCTGTGTCTTTTAATTGCAGAATTTAGTCCATTTATATTTAAAGTTAATATTGTTATGTGTGAATTTGATCCTGTCATTATGATGTTAGCTGGTGATTTTGCTCATTAGTTGATGCAGTTTCTTCCTAGTCTCGATGGTCTTTACATTTTGGCATGATTTTGCAGTGGCTGGTACCGGTTGTTCCTTTCCATGTTTAGTGCTTCCTTCAGGAGCTCTTTTAGGGCAGGCCTGGTGGTGACAAAATCTCTCAGCATTTGCTTGTCTGTAAAGTATTTTATTTCTCCTTCACTTATGAAGCTTAGTTTGGCTGGATATGAAATTCTGGGTTGAAAATTCTTTTCTTTAAGAATGTTGAATATTGGCCCCCACTCTCTCTGGCTTGTAGGGTTTCTGCCGAGAGATCCGCTGTTAGTCTGATGGGCTTTCCTTTGAGGGTAACCCGACCTTTCTCTCTGGCTGCCCTTAACATTTTTTCCTTCATTTCAACTTTGGTGAATCTGACAATTATGTGTCTTGGAGTTGCTCTTCTCGAGGAGTATCTTTGTGGCGTTCTCTGTATTTCCTGAATCTGAACGTTGGCCTGCCTTGCTAGATTGGGGAAGTTCTCCTGGATAATATCCTGCAGAGTGTTTTCCAACTTGGTTCCATTCTCCACATCACTTTCAGGTACACCAATCAGACGTAGATTTGGTCTTTTCACATAGTCCCATATTTCTTGGAGGCTTTGCTCATTTCTTTTTATTCTTTTTTCTCTAAACTTCCCTTCTCGCTTCATTTCATTCATTTCATCTTCCATTGCTGATACCCTTTCTTCCAGTTGATCGCATCAGCTCCTGAGGCTGCTGCATTCTTCACGTAGTTCTCGAGCCTTGGTTTTCAGCTCCATCAGCTCCTTTAAGCACTTCTCTGTATTGGTTATTCTAGTTATACATTCCTCTAAATTTTTTTCAAAGTTTTCAACTTCTTTGTCTTTGGTTTGAATGTCCTCCAGTAGCTCAGAGTAATTTGATCGTCTGAAGCCTTCTTCTCTCAGCTCGTCAAAATCATTCTCCATCCAGCTTTCTTCCGTTGCTGGTGAGGAACTGCGTTCCTTTGGAGGAGGAGAGGCGCTCTGCGTTTTAGAGTTTCCAGTTTTTCTGTTCTGTTTTTCCCCCATCTTTGTGGTTTTATCTACTTTTGGTCTTTGATGATGGTGATGTACAGATGGGTTTTCGGTGTAGATGTCCTTTCTGGTTGTTAGTTTTCCTTCTAACAGACAGGACCCTCAGCTGCAGGTCTGTTGGAATACCCTGCCGTGTGAGGTGTCAGTGTGCCCCTGCTGGCGGGTGCCTCCCAGTTAGGCTGCTCGGGGGTCAGGGGTCAGGGACCCACTTGAGGAGGCAGTCTGCCCGTTCTCAGATCTCCAGCTGCGTGCTGGGAGAACCACTGCTCTCTTCAAAGCTATCAGACAGGGATACTTAAGTCTGCAGAGGTTACTGTTGTCTTTTTGTTTGTCTGTGCCCTGCCCCCAGAGGTGGAGCCTACAGAGGCAGGCAGGCCTCCTTGAGCTGTGGTGGGCTCCACCCAGTTCGAGCTTCCCGGCTGCTTTGTTTACCTAAGCAAGCCTGGGCAATGGCGGGCGCCCCTCCCCCAGCCTCGTTGCCGCCTTGCAGTTTGATCTCAGACTGCTGTGCTAGCAATCAGCGAGATTCCGTGGGCATAGGACCCTCTGAGCCAGGTGTGGGATATAGTCTCGTGGTGCGCCGTTTTTTAAGCCGGTCTGAAAAGTGCAATATTCAGGTGGGAGTGAACCGATTTTCCAGGTGCGTCCGTCACCCCTTTCTTTGACTCGGAAAGGGAACTCCCTGACCCCTTGCGCTTCCCAGGTGAGGCAATGCCTTGCCCTGCTTCGGCTCGCGCACGGTGCGCACACACACTGGCCTGCGCCCACTGTCTGGCACTCCCTAGTGAGATGAACCCGGTACCTCAGATGGAAATGCAGAAATCACCCGTCTTCTGCATCGCTCACGCTGGGAGCTGTAGACCGCAGCTGTTCCTATTCGGCCATCTTCGAGTTTTTAAATAATTTTTAAGGGTGCAAAAATTTCCTAAACCTACATCATTTGAAAACACTGCTTTGGAAATAGATGTTTAAGCACTTTCTGGAGAAACTTATAAAACTTTAAAGACATTAAAGCAAACTAAATAAATGGAGAAATGGGTGGTGTTCTCGGGTAAGAAGACTTAGCATTGTAAAGATGTAATTCTCTCTAAATTGATCTATAGATTCAAAGCAATTTCAATAAAAATTGCAATTTTTTCCAGGGGAAGTTACACTTATTCTAAATTTTACATGGAAAGAGCAAATGTCTTAAAACCGTCAATACCCTCCTAAAAAAAGAGCAAGGTAGGGAGAATTAGCCTACTTAATATCAAGACATAATTTTAAGCTACAGTAAATAAGACGGTGCAAGATTGTCCCTGGGATAAACAGGTTAGTGTAAAAGCTTAGAGAGCCCAGAAAACAACCTACACATATATGGAAATGCTGTATGACAGAATAACATTGCCGACCATGGGTAGAAACACCATTCAAAATATAGTACTGAGACAATTGGCTATTCACATAAAGAAAAATATAAAATTGAATCCCTATCTCATAGCATAATATAAATTCAATTCTAAGTGGAGTAAACACTTGAATGTGAACTTTAAAAGTATTCAAACTTTTACAAAAATAATACATTTCCAATATAACCTTAGAGTGGGAAAATTTTAAAACAAGTCACAAAAGGCACGAATTATAAAGGGAATGACTAATAAATTCAAATACGTCAAAATTTAGAACTTTGGTTCATCAAAAGACACAATGAAGGGAATAGAAAAACAAGCTACAAGCTGGGTAAAAATTTTTGTAACATATATCACCTACAAATAATTAGCATCCAAAATATATAAACGACTCTTATAAACCACTTAGAAAAATACACATAGCCCAACAGAAAAAAATATATATATAGCACAAAAACTGAATAGGCATTTCCCAGAAGATGAAATACAAATGGCCCATACACTATGGATAGATGCCCATTCTCGTTAGTAATCAGGAGAATGCAAGTGGAAACCGCAATGACATATCATTTTACACACAAAACATTGGCAACTATTAAGAGGTCTGACAAAACTAAGTGTCAGCAAGGATGCAGAGAAACAGGAATTGGGTGCTGCTGGTGGGAGTGTGAATTGGTGTAGCTACTGTGGCATCATAGACATGTACTGCTCATCCCCCTCTGTTTTCACAGGGCCAGACCTGTATTGAGGTCTGAAGCTTCTCTGTCTACACCTCTGTCTCCCCTTTATCCTTCACCATTTCTCCAACAAATCTCTTGAATATCAAATTCCATTCTGGCAGATGCTTCTTAAAACACAAAGTGACTCAAGCTCTTTGGAAAATATCTTCACATTACCTGGTAAGGTTGAACCTGGCATGTTTACAATCCAGTGACTTTACTCCTAAGTATGGCCTAGAAAAATTTATACCAGGAGAAATGTACAAGAATCTTCATAGCAGCATTGTACCAAATAGCCAAAACCTGGAAATAAGTCCAATTATTGATCACTGGCAGAATATGTAAATGAATTGTGGTTTATTCACACAGCCTGGGCTACTTTACAGCCTGGGCTACTCTGTTTATGGCAGAACTCCAGGGAAGGGGGCATTCACACAGGTTAAGAACCCATTACAGATAGATGCATCAACCTGGAAAACCTCAAAAAGGACAAAGTGAATAAAAGAAGCAAACAACAGAAAATTCCCTAGAGTATGATTTCATTCAAAGCCCCAAACCAGGCAAAACTAGACAATACATTGCTCAGGAATGTATGTATAAGCACAAAAACTAAGGGAGGAGTAGGGGTAATTCTATGATTTGGGTATCTTAATTTTTATCTAGAAGATGGGAAAAACAAAGAACAAATGAGTAATCAATACAAATTCCGGAGAAAGGTTACAACTGGGGCAAGGAAGGAGGGACATGGCATAGAGGGGGCTTCTAAATTACTGGTAATATTTCTTAAGGTGGGTGGTGGGTAATTTTTTATTAACTATTATTAGTAGTATTATTTTGTGTGCATGACATACTTCACAATATTTTGAAAGGGCTGGCACCTCCATGCCATAACAATTTAAAACAACCTTTTGGCTTATCTCTTCTTAAAACCAACTCCAATAACTCAGCATATGCTTTACTAGGTCGATGCGTTAAAACTGATTTGGGGAAAGGAAACAATAAGCAGTTGCTAATGACGATGTTCACATTTCTCCTCTTTACATAGTGAACATGTTCTCTGGAGAGCAGAGATAGTCACAACAGATAAAACAGGTGTGCTGCTGGATGCTTTCCTCAAGTCCCAATTAGTCATGCAGCAAAAGAAACACACAAAAAAAGCAGGCCTGTGTTTAAGTGGCTATAAAAGTAATTTTATAGAAATATCATGTGTGAATGCTTCCCTTTCAGAGTCAGAGAATTTGAGGAGGTGAGTTTGTGAGGGAGCTCCCTCACAAGACACGGCTAGCAGAAACAACCCCTTCCTTCTTCCTTCATTTTCACAGACACAGTGCGTGTAGGTGGAAGTGCTTCTTAACCAACCATTGGGCATCACTCTGGCTATGGCCAGATGTAGGAGCTTCATAACAAGCCCTTTAACATTCCCACTGGTCTGGGGTGAAGATGCTCCAGGAAGGTCTCTGTCAGGGACAGGAATGCCCCACCATTGAATGAGAATGGTCCAGAGTAATCCTGAAAAGACGGAATACATAGTTTCAAGCAGTCCAATGGCCCCAACTGCTGTAGTCAAAGGCTCTCCTGTTAACTCCATTTTCCCGGTAATAATACCAAGAAGGCATTTGCAGAATTATCTCATCAAAAGATAAGAAAACATAATGGTGTTTCAACATACGTAATTTTGACAACAATCTCATGAAGCAGATACTTATCAACCCCATTTTACAGGTGAGAAAACTGAGGCACAAGAAGAGAAGTTACATGCCCAAGGGCACTCAGCTTATGAGTGGTATAGGTCTCCTAGCATTGGATCACAGAGCTCATTCACAGTCTCTGTCCCCTGCAGCATGCTACTTTCCATGTTTTGTGGACTGTGAGACCCAAGTCTGTCTTATCCATCCTTCTTTTCCATTCCCACCTACACTCACTTCTCTCAATCAGTCTCTCGGTACTTTTCTACTTGATTATTTGAAGAGCCTTTTGAAGGGTCTCTCCGCTCCCTGTCTCTGGCCTCCTCTGTTCATCCATTACATTGTCCGTTGACTGCCTTCTCTATGTAGCCTCCATGAATCCCCACACCCCATTCTCCTTCCCTGAGCTCCTATGGCATTTTGCTTGAACCACTTTTGAGTAGTGAGTTTGTGCAGCATTGTATATGGCACAACTATATCCCCCAATTATAACACTTCTTATAACATTCTAGGCAATGCAAATGCACTTTTGGCCTTTTTAGCAATCGTGCTAGTTTTAGTCTCAGTGCACAGGAATTAGGAGTCATTCCTACTGGCAATAATTTGAAGCAAAAAAAGAGGGAATAAGAGGTAGAGAAATAAAAAGGGAAGTAAAGGGAAACGCAAAGAAGGAGTTGAGAGTCTTGCAATGAAACCTGAGGAGGAAAAAAAAGAAGTTAAGGAAAGGTTAAACAAGGCCAAGATCAATACACTTGGTCTTGCTGTTTTCCCATGCAGAACCAAAGCCAACAAAGACAGTGGCTGACCCTGCCAAGTGTAGCCTGGTATCTATTGATATAGTGCAGTAGTCCAGACATTAGGACAGTATATTAAGGTGGAAGCATGGGTAACCCCTCTACCACTGTAGAGTGTAGGGCAAATAAAGGTTGTTCAACGGAGAAGGGACCCAGAGATGGAAGTCTCCACAGCCTTAGATCAACCTAGAGGGGCCTTGAACATGATTCATAACCTCAGTCCCCTTAACCCTTTTTTTCATAAGGTCTAGATTTCTTCAGGGAAGAATAATTTTGTGTAATAAATATAATAATAGCAGTACAACACATTTAATATCTGCTGTGTTCCAGACACTAGACTAAATGCTTTCTGTACATTATCCCATTAATCCTCACAACATAAACGAGTTAGGTTAAGAAAGAAAATATCATTTTCTTCATTTCACAACAGAAGTAATATAGGTTTTACAGATGTAGTGCCTTGCCTAAGGCTACACAGTTGTAAGGGGGAAGTTCGGGGATTCTAACACAGAGGGCTGTGACTCTGAAGCTGGTGCCTTCACCCATTAGTCTTTGCTGTTTCCCAGACTGTGCTCCAGGGAGAGACTAGGGTGGTAATGGGGTACACTGCAAGTGTCATGGGAGGCAAGGAAAGGGAAAGACTGTTTCGAACTAAGTAAATCCATGAAAACTTTGAGGAGGAGGTAGGCTTCATTGAAATATATTGTCATTACAGGGGAGCATCTGTACTACTGCACTGTATCAGTAGATACCAGGCTACACTTGACAGGGTCAGCACTGTCAATTTCCTCCAGCCAGACACCATAAGGAGCATACTGTAGTTCAACAAATCAGAACTATTGATTTGTTGCAATGAGGGTGACCACACATCATGAGGAATTGTATGGTGCCACAAGAAGAGGAGGATAGACAGCACTTATAAGATTATCATAGGATCTGGGATTGCATTAAGTGGTTTAGGGAAAGGTTCAATGAAGTGGGACTCTGTTATGGATTGGATGCTGTGAGGAGTGAGGATAATTCTATGATTTGAGTATCTTAATTTTTATCTTGAAGATGGGAAAAACAAAATGAAAATAAGTCTATAACTAGTTAAAAAAAAGTAGCAGTTACTCATATTAGCCAGGATAGTGGGATATTTGGTTGGTTTTGTGCTTTGGACAATGTTTTTGTTTATGCCTGTGCTCAGACTTGTTTACAAGTAATCTTGATCCATCAAAGCCACAGAATGGCGTTATCTGATGTTGATGCTCTGTGTAATTGTTTATGCTTAACCAGAGAACACCAAGGTCTAGTTGTGAATGCTCAACTAGCTTTCAGATGTCAGAGGCTGCTTTTCTCTCTTTTAACACTTAACTTCTGTTCTTAGACCTTCAGTCATGGGTGTCAGCTAGTTAAAGCCAAATAGATACCTTTAATGGGATAATACACACAAGGATGATAACTATCACTTACTGAATGCCAGGTACCATGATAAGTACTCTGTAAACAATGACTTATTTAATTATATGCAATCAAGTAATGTAGTATTAAATATTATTATCTCCATACTTTTTATTATTGTGGTAAAAACATACAACACAAAACCTCCATCTAAACCATTTTTTAAGTGCACGGTACAATAGTTTTAACTATACGAACATTGTTGTACAACAGATCTCTATAACGTTTGAATCTTCCAAAACTCAAACTCAAACTCTGTACCCATTGAACAACTCCTATTTACCTCTCTCTATAGCCCCTAACAACCAGTATTCTACTTTCTTCTTCTAGAAATTTGACTACTTTGGATACCTCATATAGGTGGATTAATGCAGTATTTGCCTTTCTGTGGTTGGCTTATTTCACTTAGCATAATGTTCTCAATAATATATCCTTAGCACAATACTTCATATGGTACAACCTGGATGAACTTGGAAGTTGTACCATATGACAGAATTTTCTTCTTCTTCAAGGCTGAGTAATATTTGATTGTATGTATGTACCACATTTTCTTTATCCATTTATCAATCAGTGGACATTTCGGTTGCTTCCACTTCTTGGCTATTGTGAATAATGCTGCAATGATCATGGCTGTGCAAATATCTCTTTGATATCCTGTTTTCAGTTCTTTCAGATATAAATCCAAGAGTGGAATTGCTGGATCATATGGTAATTCTGTATTTAATGTTTTGAAGAACTTCTGCACTGTTTTCCATAGTGGCTGCATCATTTTACATTCTCAGCAATGGTGCACAAGGATTCCAATTCTTGCACATTTTTCTCAACACTTATTTTGCATTTTTGAATAGTGGCCATCCTAATGGATGTGAAGTGATATCACATGGTAGTTTTGACTTGCATTTCCCTGATGATTAGTGATGCTGAGCATTTTTACATATACTTGTTGGCCATTTATATATTATCTTTGGAGAAATGTCTATTCAAGTCATTTTCCCATTATTAATTGAATTATTTGGTTTTTGTTGTTGCGTTGAGGAATACTTGATATATTCTGGATATTAACCCCATATCAGATATATGCTTGCAAATATTTTCCTTTCTTTCTTTTTTAAAAAAATATTTTATTTTAATTTTAAATTCCTGGACACATGTACAGGACGTGCAGGTTTGTTATATAAGTAAATGAGTGCCATAGTGGTTTGCTGCACCTATTAACCCATCACGTAGGTATTAAGCCCTGCATGCATTAGCTCTTTATCCTGATGCTCTCCCTCCCCTGGCCCCTCGACAGGCCCCAACGTGTGTTTCTCCCCTCCCTGTGTCCATGTGTTCTCACTGTTCAGCTCCCACTTACAAGTGAGAATATGCAGTGTTTGGTTTTCTGTTCCTGTGTTAGTTTTCTGAGGATCATGGCTTCCAGTTCCATCCATGTCCGTGCAAAGGACATGATCTCATTCCTTTTTATGGCTGCATAGTTTTCCATGGTGTATATGTACCACATTTTCTTTATCCAGTCTATCATTGATGGGCATTTGGGTTGATTCCATGTCTTTGCTATTGTGAATAGTGCTGCAATAAACATACATGTGCATGTATTTTTGTAATAGAATGATTTATGTTCCTTTGGGTATATACCCAGTAATGTGATTTTGGGTCAAATGGTATTTCTGGTTCTAGATCTTTGAGGAATCACCACACCATCTTCTACAATGGCTGAACTAATACCCACCAACCATGGAAAAGCATTCCTATTTCTCCACAGCCTCACCAGTAACTGTTGTTTCTTGACTTTTTAATAATTGACTTTCTAACTGGTGTGAGATGGTATCTCATTGTGATTTTGATTTGCATTCCTCTGATGATCAATGATGTTGAGCTTTTTTTCATATGTTTATTGGGTGCCTGTATGTTTTCTTTTGAGAAGTGTCTGTTCCTGTCATTTGCCCACTTTTTAATGGGGTTGTTTGTTTTGTTCTTGTAAATTTGTTTAAATCCCTTGTGTAGATTTTGGATATTAGACCTCTGTCAGATAGATAGATAGATTAGATAGATAGATAGATAGATAGATAGATTACAAAAAATTCCTCCCATTCTGTAGGTTGTGTGCTCACTCTGATGATAGTTTCTTTTGTTCTTTAGTTTAAGTAGATTCCATTTGTCAATTTTTGCTTTTGCTGCAATTGCTTTTGACATTTTTGTTATGAAATCTTTGCCTGTGCCTATGTCCTGAATGGTATTGCCTAGATTTTCTTCTAGGGTTTTTATAGTTTTGGCTTTTACATTTGAGTCTTTAATCCATGTTGAGTTAATTTTTGTATAAGGTATAAGGGATATGTCCAGTTTAAATTTTCTGCATATGGCTAGCCAGTTTTTCCAGCACCATTTATTAAATTGGGAATTCTTTCCCCATTGCTTGTTTTTGCCAGGTTTGTAAAAAATCAGATGGTTGTATATGTGTGGTGTTATTTCTGAGATCTCTATCCTGTTCCATTGGTCTATGTGTCTGTTTTTGTACCAGTATTATGTTGTTTTGATTACTGTAGCCTCATAGTATAGTTTGAAGTCAGATAGCATGATGACTCCAGCTTTGTTCTTTTTGCTTTGGATTGTCTTGGCTATGAGGGCTCTTCTTTGGTTCCATAAGAATTTTAAAGTACTTTTTTCTAACTACATGAAGTATGTTAATGGTAGTTTAATGAGTACAGCATTGAATCTGTAATTTACTTTGGGCAGTATGGCCATTTTCATGATATTGATTCTTCTTATCCATGAGCATGGAATGTTTTTCCTTTTGTTTGTGTCCTCTCTTATTTCCTTGAGCAGTGGTTTGTAGTTCTTGAAGAGGTCCTTCACATCCTTTGTTAGCTGTATTCCTAGGTATTTTATTCTCTTTGTAGCAATTATGAATGGGAGTTCTTTCATGATTTGGCTCTCTGCTTGTCTATTGTTGGTGTATAGGAATGCTTTTGAATTTTGCACATTGATTTTTGCATCCTGAGACAGCTCAAGTTGCTTATCAGCTTAAGAAGCTTTTGGGCTGAGATGATGGGGTTTTCTAGATATAGGATTATGTCTTGTAGAGTTTCTGCCAAAAGATCCGGTGTTATCCTGATGGGCTTCCCTTTGTGGGTAAAACAACCTTTCTCTCTGACTGCCCTTAACATTTTTTCCTTCATTTCAACCTTGGTGAATCTGACAATTATGTGTCTTGGGGTTGCTCTTCTCGAGGAATATCTTTGTGGTGTTCTCTGTATTTACTGAATTTGAATGTTGGCCTGCCTTGCTAGGTTGGGGAAGTTATCCTGGATAATATCCTGAAGAATGTTTTTCAATTTGGTTCTGTTCTCCCCGTCACTTTCAGGTACACCAGTCAAATGTAGATTTGGTCTTTTCACATAGTCCCATATTTCTTGGATGCTTTGTTAATTTCTTTTTACTCTTTTTTCTCTAAACTTCTCTTCTTGCTTCATTTCATTCATTTGATCTTCAATCACTGATACCCTTTCTTCCACTTGATCGAATTGGTTACTGAAGTTTGTGCATCCAGTCTGCCTTACAAGAGCTCCTGAAGGACGCACTAAACATGGAAAGGTACAACCGGTACCAGCCACTGCAAAAACATGCCAAATTGTAAAGACCATCGAGACTAGGAAGAAACTGCATCAACTAATGAGCAAAATAATCAGCTAACCTCATAATGACAGGATCAAATTCACACATAACAATATTAACCTTAAATGTAAATGGGCTAAATGCTCCAATTAAAAGACACAGACTGGCAAATTGGATAAAGAGTCAAGACCCATCAGTGTGCTGTATTCAGGAGACCCACTGACATGCAGAGACACATATAGACTCAAAGTAAAGGGATGGAGGAAGATCTACCAAGCAAATGGAAAACAAAAAAAAGCAGAGGTTACAGTCCTAGTCTCTGATAAAACAGACTTTAAACCAACAAAGATCAAAAGAGACAAGGCCATTACATAATGGTAAAGGGATCAATTCAACAAGAAGAGCTAACTATCCTAAATATATACGCACCCAATACAGGAGGACCCAGATTCATAAGACAAGTCCTTAGAGACCTACAAAGAAACTTAGACACCCACACAATAATAATGGGAGACATTAACACCCCACTGTCAACATTAGACAGATCAATGAGACAGAAAGTTAACAAGGATATCCAGCAATTGAACTCAGCTCTGTGCCAAGTGGACCTAATAGACATCTATAGAACTCTCCACCCCAAATCAACAGAATATACATTTTTCTTAGTACCACATCACACTTATTCCAAAATTGACCACATAGTTGGAAGTAAAGCACTCCTCAGCAAATGGAAAAGAACAGAAATCACAACAGTCTCTCAGACCACAGTGCAATCAAACTAGAACTCAGGATTAAGAAACTCACTCAAAACCACACAACTACATGGAAACCGAACAACCTGCTCCTGAATGACTACTGGGTAAATAACGAAATGAAGGCAGAAATAAAGATGCTCTTTGAAACCAATGAAACCAAAGACACAACATATCAGAATATCTGGGACACATTTAAAGCAGCATGTAGAGGGAAATTTACAGCACTAAATGCCCACAAGAGAAAGCAGGAACGGTCTAAAATCAACTCCCTAACATCACAATTAAAAGAACTAGAGAAGCAAGAGCAAACAAATTCAAAAGCTAGCAGAAGGCAAGAAATAACTAAGATCAGAGCAGAACTGAAGGAGATAGAGACACAAAAAACCTTCAACGATTAATGAATATAGGAGCTGGTTTTTTGAAAAGATCAACAAAATAAATAGACTGCTAGCAAGACTAATAAAGAAGAAAAGAGAGAAGAATCAAATAGACGCAATAAAAAATGATAAAGGGGATATCACCACCAATCCCACAGAAATACAAACTACCATCAGA
Organism: Homo sapiens; assembly: GCF_000001405.40. Lineage (NCBI taxonomy): Eukaryota > Metazoa > Chordata > Mammalia > Primates > Hominidae > Homo > Homo sapiens. The sequence continues at coordinate 149,194,249 of NC_000023.11, forward strand.
GACTACTATAAACACCTCTATGCAAGTAAACTATAAAATCTAGAAGAAATGGATAACATAACTTCCTGGACACATACACCCTCCCAAGACTAAACCAGGAAGAAGTTGAATCCCTGAATAGACCAATAATGGGCTCCAAAATTGAGGCAATAATTAATAGCCTACCAACCAAAAAAAGTCCAGGACCAGACGGATTCACAGCCAAATCCTACCAGAGGTACAAGGAGGAACTGGTACCATTCCTTCTGAAACTATTCCAATCAATAGAAAAAAAGAGAGAATCCTCCCTAATTTATTTTATGAGGTCAGCATCATCCTGATACCAAAGCCTGGCAGAGACACACACACAAAAAAAGAGAATTTTAGACCAATATCCCTGATGAACATCGATGCAAAAATCCTCAAAAAAATACTGGCAAACTGAATCCAGCAGCACATCAAAAAGCTTATCCACCATGATCAAGTGGGCTTCATCCCTGGGATGCAAGGCTGGTTCAACATACGCAAATCAATAAACGTAATCCATCACATAAACAGAACCAAAGACAAAAACCACATGACTATCTCAATAGATGCAGAAAAGGCCTTCAACAAAATTCGACAGCCCTCCATGCTAAAAACTATCAATAAACTAGGTATTGATGGAACATATCTCAAAATAATAAGAGCTGTTTATGACAAACCCACAGCCAATATCATATTGAATGGGCAAAAACTGGAAGCATTCCCTTTGAAAAGTGGCACAAGACAGGGATGCCCTCTCTCAGCACTCCTATTCAACATAGTGTTGGAAGTTCTGGCCAGGGCAATCAGGCAGGAGAAAGAAATAAAGGGTATTCAATTAGGAAAAGAGGAAGTCAAATTGTCCCTATTTGCAGATGACATGATTGTATATTTAGAAAACCCCATCATCTCAGTCCAAAATCTCCTTAAGCTGATAAGCAACCTCAGCAAGGTCTCAGGATACAAAATCAATGTACAAAAATCACAAGCATTCCTATACACCAATAATAGACAAACAGAGAGCCAAATCATGAGTGAACTCCCATCCACAATTGCTTCAAAGAGAATAAAATACCTAGGAATCCAACTTACAAGGGATGCGAAGGACCTCTTCAAGGAGAACTACAAACTACTGCTCAACGAAATAAAAGAGGACACAAACAAATGGAAGAATATTCCATGCTCATGGATAGGAAGAATCAATAATGTGAAAATGGCCATACTGCCCAAGGTAATTTATAGATTCAATGCCATCCCCATCAAGCTACCAATGACTTTCTTCACAGAATTGGAAAATACTACTTTAAAGTTCATATGGAACCAAAAAAGAGCCTGCATTTCCAAGACAATCCTAAGCCAAAAGAACAAAGCTGGAGGCATCATGCTGCCTGACTTCAAACTATAGTACAAGGCTACAGTAACCAAAACAGCATGGTACTGGTACCAAAACAGACATATAGACCAATGGAACAGAACAGAGGCCTCAGAAATAACACCACACGTCTACAACCATATGATCTTTGATAAACCTGACAAAAACAGGCAATGGGGAAAGGATTCCCTATTTAATAAATGGTGCTGGGAAACTGGCTAGCCATATGTAGAAAGCTGAAACTGGATCCCTTCCTTACACCTTATACAAAAAATAATTCAAGATGGATTAAAGACTTACATGTTACACCTAAAACCATAAAAACCCTAGAAGAAAACTTAAGCAATACCATTCAGGACAGAGGCATGGGCAAGGACTTCATGACTAAAATACCAAAAGCAATGGCAACAAAAGCCAAAATTGACAAATGGGATCTAATGAAAAAACTAAAGAGCTTCTGCACAGCAAAGGAAACTACCATCAGAGTGAACAGGTAACCTACAGAATGGGAGAAAATTTTTGCAATCTACCTATCTGACAAAGGGCTAATATCCAGAATCTACAAAGAACTGAAACATTTTTACAAGAAAAAATCAAACAACCCCATCAAAAAGTGGGCAAAGATTTGAACAGACACTTCTCAAAAGAAGACATTTAGGCAGCCAACAGACACATGAAAAAATGCTCATCATCACTGGCCATCAGAGAAATGCAAATCAAAACCACAATGAGATACCATCTCACACTAGTTAGAATGGCAATCATTAAAAAGTCAGGAAACAACAGGTGCTGGAGAGGATGTGGAGAAATAGGAACACTTTTACACTGCTGGTGGGTGTGTAAGCTAGTTCAATCATTGTGGAAAACCATGTGGTGATTCCTCAAGGATCTAGAACTAGAAATACTATTTGACCCAACCATCCCATTACTGGGTATATACCCAAAGGATTATAAATCATGCTGCTGTAAAGACACATGCACACGTATGTTTATTGCGGCACTATTCACAATAGCAAAGACTTGGAACCAACCCAAATGTCCAACAATGATAGACTGGATTAAGAAAATGTGGCACATATACACCACGGAATACTATGCAGCCATAAAAAAGGATGAGTTCATGTCCTTTGTAGTGACATGGATGAAGCTGGAAACCATCATTCTGAGCAAACTATCACAAGGTCAGAAAACCAGACATGGCATGTTCTCACTCATAGGTGGGAACTGAACAATAAGAACACTTGGACACCGGGCGAAGAACATCACACACCAGGTTGTGTCATGGGGTGGGGGGAGAGGGGAGGGATAGCATTAAGAGAAATGCCTAATGTAAATGATGAGTTAATGGGTGCAGCACACCAACATGGCACATGTACACATATGTAACAAACCTGCACGTTGTGCACATGTACCCTAGAACTTAAAGTATTATAATAATAATAATATAAAAACACATAACAAAAAGGGATTATATCATCTACAAACAGAGGTTGTTTGACTTTTTCTCTTCCTATTGAATATTCTTTGTTTCTTTCTCTTGCATGATTGCCCTGGCCAGAACTTCCAATACTATGTTGAATAGGAGTGGTGAGAGAGGGCATCCTTATCTCATACTGGTTTTCAAGGGCAATGCTTCCAGCTTTTACCCATTCAGTATGATATTGGCTGTGGGTTTGTCATAAATGGCTCTTATTATTTTGAGGTATGTTCCATCAATATATATTTGGGATAGTGCATATATATTTGGGATAGTTAGGTCTTCTTGTTGAACCTTTTCCCATTATGTAATGGTCTTCTTTGTCTTTTTTTTTATCTTTGCTGGTTTAAAGTCTATTTTGTCAGAAACTAGGATTGCAACCCCTGCTTTTTTCTTTCCATTTGCTTAGTAAATTTTCCTCTATCTCTTTATTTTCGGCCTATGTGCGTCTTTGCACGTGAGATGGGTCTCTTGAAGAGAGCATATCATTGGATTGTGCTTCTTTATCCAGGTTGTCATTCTGTGTCTTTTAATTGGGGCATTTAGCCCACTTACATTTACATTTAAGGTTAATATTGTTATGTGTGAATTTGATGCTGTCATCATGATGCTAGCTGGTTATTTTTCAGATTTGTCAATGTAGTTGCTTCACAGTGTCATTGGTCTTTGTACTTCAGTGTGTTATTTTAGTGGCTGGTAATGGTTTTTCCTTTCCATATTTAGTGCCTCCTTCAGGAGTTCTTGCAAGGCAGATCTCGTGGTTAAAAATTCCCTCAGCATTTGCTTGTCTGAAAAGGATTTTACTTCTTCACTTATGAAGCTTAGTTTGGCCAGATATGAAATTCTGGGTTGGAAATCCTTTTGTTTAAGAATGTTGACTATTGGCATCCAATCTATTCTTGCTTGTAGGGTTTCTGCTGAGAGATCCACTGTTAGTCTGATGGGTTTCCTGTTGTAGGTGACCTGGCCTTTCTTTATGGCTGCCCTTCACATTTTTTTCCTTCATTTCAACTTTGGAGAATTTGATGATTATGTGCCTCAGGGTTCATCTTCTCATGGAGTATCTTTCAGAGAACTGGAGTTATCTGAATTTCCTGAATTTGAATGTTGACCTGCCTTACTAGGTTGGGGAAGTTCTCTTGGATGATATCCTGAAGTATATTTTCCAACTTGGTTCCATTCTCCCCATCTCTTTCAGGTACCCAATCAGTTGCAAGTACAGTTTTCTTTACATAATCCCATAGTTCTTGGAGGTTTTCTTTACTCCTTTTCATTATTTTTTCTCTAATCTTGTCTACCTGTCTTATTTCAGCAAGATAGTCTTCAAGCTCTCAAATTCTTTCCTCTGCTTGGTCTATTCAGCTATCGATACCTGCGGTTGCATTTTGAAGTTCTTGTGCTGCATTTTTCAGCTCCACCAGGTCATTATCTTCCTTTCTTAACTGGTTATTCTGGTTAAAAGTTCCTGTAATGTTTTATCATGGTTCTTAGCTTCTTTGTATTGGGTTAGAACATGTTCCTTTAGCTCAGCAAAGTTCATTATTACTCACCTTCTGAAGCCTACATCTATCAACTCATCCATATCAGCCTCTGCCCAGTTCTGTGCCCTTGCTGGAGAGGTGTTGCAATCATTTGGAGGAGTTGGGGCACTCTGGCTTTTTAAGTTTTCAGTGTTTTTTCATTGATTCTTTATCATCTTTGTGAGTTTATCTAGCTTTGATCTTTGAGGCTGATGACCTTTGGATGGGGTTTTTGTGGGAACTTTTCTGTTCATGCTGTGGTCGTTGTTGCTTTCTGTTTGTTTGTTTTTAACAGTCAGGCCACTCTTCCATAGATCGGCTGCAGTTTGCTGGGGTTCCACTCCAGACCCTATTTTCCTGGGTCCCTCCCACACCTGGAGGTGTCACCAGTGGAGGCTGCAGAACAGTAACAACAGCTGCCTGATCCTTCCTCTGGAATCTCTGTCACTGAGGCACCAACCTGATGCCAGTAGGAGCGCTCCTACGTATAAGGTGTCTGGTGACCCCTGTTGGGAGATCTCACCCAGTCAGGAGGCATAGGATCCAGAACCTGCTTAACGAAGCACTCTGGTTACTCCTTGGCAGAGGGGGAGCACTGTGCTGGGGGGAATCGCACTCATCTGGACTGCCTGGATTCCTCGGAGCCAGCAGGTGGAAAGACTAAGTCTGCTGATACACAGAGAATGTGGTTGCCCCTTCTCTCAGTGACTCAGTCCCAGGGAGATCAGAGGCCCTGGTGGCATGGGCTCACAAGGGGGATCTCCTGATCTGTAGGCTGCACAGATCTGTGGGAAAAGTGTGGTTTCCCAGACAGGGTAGCATGATCTCTCACTGCCTCCCTTGGCTGAGGGTGGGAGTTCCCCTTGCCCCGTGTGGCTCCCAGGTGGGCCGTCACACCACTCTACTTTTCCTCACTCTTCATGAGTCACACCAACCACCTAGTCAGTCCAAATGAGAGAACCTGGATACCTCTGTTGACGATGCAGGATTCACTTGCCATTTTGTTCTTCTCTTCGTGGGAACCTCCGATGACAGCTGTTTCTAGTAGGTCATCTTGGCCCCTTGACTTTTGTTTTTAATTCTGTTTATGTGGTGTATCACATTTATTGACGTGCATATGTTAAACCAACCCTGCAGCCCTGGTATGAAACCCACTTGGTGATGGTGGATTATCTTTTTCATACGCTGTTGGATTCAGTTAGAATTTTTGGAGGATTTTTGCATTTATGTTAATCAGGGATATTGGTAGGTAGTTTTTTTGTTGTTGTTGTTATGTCCTTTCCTGGTTTGGGTATTAGGATAATACTAGTTTCGTAGAATGATTTAGGGAGGATTCTCTCTTTCTCTATCTTTTGTAATAGTTTCAGTAGTATTGGAACCAATTCTGTTTTGAATGGCTGACAGAATTCAGCTGTGAATCTGCCTGGTCATAGACATTTTTGGTGGCAATTTTTTTCTATTACCGTTTCAATCTTGCTACCAGTCATACGTCTGTTCAGAGATTTTATTTCTTCCTGGTTTAACCTAGGATGGTTGTATATCTCCAGGAATTTATTCATCTCCTCTAGGTTTTCTAGTTTGTACATATAAAGGTGTTCATAGTCGCCTTGAAAGATCTTTTGTATTTCTGTGGTACCGTTTGTGAGATCTCTCATTTTGTTTCGAATTGACCTAATTTGGATATTCTCTCTTCTCTTCTTGGTTAATCTCAATAATGATCTATTAATTTTGTTTATCTTTTCAAAGAACCAGATTTTCTTTTATTTATCTTTTGTATTTTTTGTTTCAATTTAATTTAGTTCTGCTCTGATCTTTGTTATTTATTTTCCTCTGTTGGGTTTGGGATTGGTTTGTTCTTTTTTCTCTACTTCCTTGAGGTGCGACCTTAGATTGTCTATTTGTGTTCTTTCAGACTTTTTGATGTAGGCATTTAATACTGTGAACTTTCCTCTTAGTACTGCTTTTGCTGTATCACAAAGGTTTTGATAGGTTGTGTCACTATTATTCTGCTCAAGGAATTTTTAAATTTCCATCTTGATTTCATTGTTTATCCTAAGATTACTCAGGAGCAGGTTATTTAATTTCCATGTATTTGTATAGTTTTGAGGGTTCCTTTTAGAGTTAATTTCCAGTTTTACTCCACTGTGGTCTGAGAGAGTATTTGATATAATTTTGTTTTTCTTAAATTTACTGAGACTTGATTTGTGGTCTATCATATGGTCTCTCTTAGAGAATGTTCCATGTACTGATGAAAAGAATGTATATTCTGCAGTTGTTGGGTAGAATATTTTACAAATATCTGTTAAGTCCATTTGTTCTAGGGTATAGCTTAAGTCCATAGCTTATTTGTTGACTTTCTGTCTTGATGACATGTCTAGTGCTGTCAGTGGATTATTGAAGTCCCCCACTATAATTGTGTTGTCATCTATCTCATTTCTTAGGTCTAGTAGTAATGGTTTTATAAATTTGGGAGCTCCAGTGTTAGGTGCAAATATATTTAGGATTGTGATATTTTCCTGTTAGACTAATCCTTTTGTCATTATGTAATTACCCTCTTCGTCTTTCATACATCGTTCAACTCCCTAAATCCATTTCAGCACTAGATAAGGTTAAATTCTTCTCCCATGATCTAGCTTTTTAGGTTCCCCACTAGTGATGTGTGTTCAGAGGCAGACATTTCCCCCTCTCATATGCTGGGAACTCACAGTTTTTTGGCTGTCTCATGGAGTTTGCAGCGGCCAGCTGCTACTTTCAAAGGGTCTGTGGATTCTTGCCTTTTTCTTGGTATATTCCTGTGGTTGTTCTTGGAGCAAAAAGTTCACAATGTGAGTTTCCACATGCTTTTCTGTCCATCCAAGTGGGAGATTTACATTAGTTCTGTCTCCTACCTGCCATTTTTCTGGTCCTCCTCTTTCATTTCTGGTATTAGTTATTTGAGTCTTCTGTTTTCTTTCTTGGTATAGTTAAAAGTTTGTCAAATTTTTTTGATCTTAAAAAAAAACACAACTCGTAGTCCTTTTATTTTTATTTTTACTTTTTCTATTTTCTATTTCATTTATTTCTGCTCTAATATTTATTATTTTCTTCCTTCTACTAAATCTGGGCTTAGTTTCATTTTATTTTTCTAGTTCCTTGAAATATGAAGTTAGATTGTTGATTTGATATCTTTCTTCTTTTAATGTAGGCATTTATTACTATAAATTTTCCTTTCACTACTTATTTTACTGCATTCCATAAAAATTTTTGTATGTTGTATTTTTATTTGTCTCAAGATATTTTATTATTTTCCTTGTGATTTCTTCTTTGACCCATTGGTTGTTCAATAGCGTATTGTTTAGTTTCCACATATTTTTGAATTTTCCAGTTTTTTTCCTTTTTCTATTGATTACTACTTTTATTCCATTGTGGTCAGAAAACATCTTTGTTATAATTTTAATTTTGTTACATTTGTTAAAACTTGTTTTGTGGCCTAACATGTGATCTATTCTAAAGAATGTTCTATCTTTGTTTGAAAATAATGTGCATTCTGCTGTTTAGTAAAGCATCTTGTATATGTCTGTTAGGTCCAATTGGTCTATAGTGTTGTTTAAGTCCTCTATTTCCTAATTGATCTTCTGTGTGTTTGTTCTATCTGTTATTGAAAATGGGCTATTGAAATCTCATACTATTATTGTATTACTACTATTTCTCTCATCAGTTTTGCCAGTCTTTGCTCCTTATATTTGGCTACTCTGCTGTTAGGTGTGAACAAATTTGTGATTCTTCTATCTTCCTGGTGAATTGACACTTTTATCATTATATAATGTCTTTCTTTGTTTGTTATTACAATTTTTGACTTAGTCTATTTTATCTGATATAAGTATAGACAACCCAGCTCCTGTAGATATTTTATTTTTGGTTAACATGGGGATTACATAAAATATATTACAATTATAATAATCTATTTTAAACCAATAACAATTTAACTTCAACTACATATAAAAGTCTATTCCTTTACCCTTCCCCCTCCACTTTACATTATCAATGTTACAAATTATATCTTTTTATATTTTGTATTCATTAACATAGTTTTATAATTATCCTTATTGCTTAAGCTCTTATATTTTAAAATTATATACCTGGATTAACAGTGATTTATGTACCATCATTACAATATTATAGAACTCTGTACTGATCTATTTATTTATCTTCACAGAATTTTATATTTTTGCATGCTTTTTTGTTGATGTTTAGTGTCCTCTTGTTTCAGTTCGTACAACTCCCTTTAGCATTTCTTATAAGGCAGGTCTGATGGTGAACCTCCCTCAGCTTTCGTTTAACTGAAAAGGACTTTTTTTCTCCCTCATTTTGAAGAATACTTTTGTCAGATTTAGTATTTTTGGTTGGCAAGTTTTTTTTTTAATTTCTGCACCTTAAATATATCATCCCAATCCCTTCTGGCCTGTAACATTTCTGCTGAGAAATCTACTGACAATCTTATTGGTGCTTCTTTGCACATGACAAGTTGCTTTTCTTTTGCTGCTTTAAAGATTCTTTCTTTGTCTTTGTCTTCTGACAGTTTGATTATATTGTGTCTCAGTGTGGATCTCTTTGGGTTCATCATAGTCGCAGTCCTTTGAGCTTCTTGGATTTGGATGTTCATTTCCTTCCTCAGATTTAGAACGTTTTCAGCTATTATTTCTTCAAAGATGCTCTCCTCCCCTTTCTCTTTCTCTTCTTGCACTTTTTAAGGGATGAGCAGTTTGAGGCTGACAGAGATTAATTTCCCAAAGATACACAGTGATAATGTTGCAGAACTAAGTCCTGAATGAAAGACAATCTGAATCATGGACTCTGTGCTTAGTTAGCATCTGTACCCCATACTGCAGCTGGAAGTCAAGGAGATGATGAAGAACCATACAATCTGGGGCCATTCAGTGCAGGAGCAAAAAGGACTATGTCACTGAGTCAAATGGGAAAAAGTCTTCTTTTCTACTTGGTATTGTATTTACTTAGGAAAATTAACATATAGATAATTTTAGAATGGTTTACATTAAAATACATGTTTTATATGTAAATATGCTTTTAAAATTTAAAAAAGGATAAGCTTTAGTTTTTTAAAAATCACTTATGTGAGAGGTGCTTTTTAGCCTAGCTCTATCTCTATCTCACCTTATAACCTGAAGCAAGTCACATTGCCAGGAAGTGTTGACCTTGGATTTGAGCCTGACTTCTCAGCCCTAATGCTCCTTTACAGGACAGGAGCCATGTGAAATTAAGCTTTACAACACTTATATCATACTATAGCATGTGGCCTGGCACTTAATAAGCCCTGTATCAAAAAATGCAGATACTCCAAAATTGGAAATAGTCACCTGTAGGACTTACGTGGCCCAACTCTTAAAGTATTTTCATGGCTGTGGTGGTGTTAGGAGCACAGAGGTTGGTGGAGTCCTCACAGCTATCAGGGTAGAATAAGTCTTAGGAAAAAGGAAAAATGCAGAATGGGCAAAATACCTGAAAGACAGGACCAGAAGACAGGTGGGAGAGCTATCCCTACTTGCTAAACTGGTGAATCTGGAAAGGGGACATGTAAATAAGGATAGGAATCACTACAAGTTCTTGCACATTTCTTTCTTTCCTCTGTCTTGTTTCTTCCTTCTTTCTTTCTTCTTTCTTTCTTTCTCTCTTTCTCTCTCTTTCTTTCTTTCTTTCTTTCTTCCTTTCTTTCTCTTTCTTTCTCTTTCTTTCTTTCTCCTATCCTTCTAATCACTATAGAAAAATATGAGGAAAAAAATAGGGGGAAAACAAAGATTACGAGATATTCTCACAATCATTCTTACTGAGTTACACTCATTAACTTCCTTGCTAAATGGTATCCCAAATCTCCATATTCCAGTTATTTTTAAACATTTATCATTCACTACTTTTTATAACAACATTATAACATTAATAGAAATCAAAAACAGACTACTGTACCTGCAGTCCCACCAGCTATATGAATCAAACAGGATCTCATAATCAGAGACAATCAGTTTTTGAGTCCTGATTTTGCCACGCCCTAGCAATGTGGTCTGAAGCTGCTCAGCTTCACTAAGCTTCACGCTCATCCTGCAGAATGAGCATGACAATAATGCCAACCACCCAGGGTTTTTGTAAGCATTAAATGAAATAATGTACTTAAAAGTACCTCATAACTGTAATTTACTGGGTACTTTGGTTATAATTACTTTTGTCTTTTATATTCTCTTCCCACTCTTGTCCATAAGCACATAGAACTTTCCCAGCTGCGATTGTTTTACACGTAAATTCGTAACTTGCCCTTTGCTCTTATCATGGACTTGCTTGCTTGTTGCTATATCACCACTCTCATCATTTTTAAGGTTGTAGGCTATGTTAAGTGGATGTACCAAATGTACCAAAATGCATTAAATCATTTCCCTCACTGTTGAGTAGTGTATCTATTCGTGAAATTTTACTATATAGATAATCAAAATGAGCATCTTTTAATCGTTTGTAAGTTTTTGAACATCAACAGGACATTTAAACTCAAAGTCTCTAAGGGCTTAAGAAGTTTTTCTTCTGAGTGTGTAAATGGTCAACATCAGGCTTGCTGCCAGTAAGGCTTTCATGAGCCAGAGCTGTTCTGCCACAAAGACAGTACTGAAGGACCCATAAATTGTGCTCGTGCCCCTGCAAAGACAGGAAACAAAGACAGAGTAGGGCCTGGGCAATGATTTCTCAGTGTGACTGTGTGAGTTACTATGCATATTGCTGGGAGCAATTATTTAGGAATCGGAATAGATGTAAACACAGCTTTCAAGCATCACAAGCAAAAGTCCTTGCCCAAAGAGGTTACTATTTAAAATCATCTAATTTGATGTGGGAACAAAGAGCAAAGCCACCCAGGCTTCCAGTCACAAAAAGTCTGGACATGAAATTAGTGCCATCAGAGAGGTCTTGCTAGGAGGCAGGTCTGGGGCAGGTCAGAGTTGGAAAAATGATCAGAAGGAAAAGAGGCCAAAGTCAAACACCACTCAGGAGGAAGGAAAGGCTAGGAGAGCAGAGGCAGTTAGGTAAAGCAAGAGAAATCAGAATCTAACCCTAGGGGAAGAAGCTCCTTCAAAGCTACCTCATTAGGAAAGACTAGGTGGAGTGGAGAGAAATGGCCTCTCCTTTTAATGGAAAAAACAAACAAACAAACAAAAAAAGATGGTGACTGACTTCAGGAACAGGAAGTGGCCCCAGAGGACACAGATGCTAACCATCATATAAACCCAGGGAAAAGCCAGACTCCCTCCACTGTGACACATGGAAGAGGTGACGGGGAGTGGATGCAATCACAGACTAATTTGACAGTGTCATTTCCCTGCTTAAGACCCTTCAAAGGTTCCCCTTTGCTTTTAGGACAAAATCTGATTCTATGATATGGCTCACAAGGCCCTGAATCTTCTGACCCCTCCCTCTTGCCAGCTTCATGTCTTCTGACTGCCCGTTGTTCTGGTTCAAAGCTTGCTCTCTCAGTTCTTTGAAAGAGTTTTGCTTTCTTTCACTTTCAAACCTTCTTACATCCTGTTCCTTCTGCTTGCAACACTCTCCCTTCCCACTTTCCTCACCTAGCTAATTCCTATTCATCATTAGAGTCTCAATTTAAATGTCACTTTTTCCTGGAAGTATATGTTTATGCACTCCTTGGCATTCTGTGTATATTCTGTAGTGACACTGGCCACACTCTTTAGTAACTGTTTACTTTCCTGTCTCTGCATAATCTGTAAGCTCAAATGAACCAGGTACTACATCTTTCTTCGTCCTCGCTAACTCCCTAGTGTCTGGCATAGAGTAGGTACTTGATAAGTATTTTGAATAAAATAATAAATAGATGCAAGCAAATGAACCAATTACTTTTAGTTCATTCACCATATACTGAGTGCATAGTCTGTAGAAAGCTTTGTTCTAAAAGTAGTTAACAAGACAGCATGGTCCCTGTCCCTGTTTGAGCCCTCTGTCTAGGCTGCTAGGAGCATAGACAGGCACACAAACAATCCAGATATAATGAATAATCCAAGAGAGATGCAGAGTGCTCTTAGTGAATGGGGCAGGCAGTCATGTCAAAGAGGAAGACTCCATGGAGACGAAAGGATGGGAGTTTGGCCTTGGAGGTCCAGTAATGCTTTAGCAGACAAAGAAGGGTGAGGAAGTGTGTTTCTGGGAAATAGAGTAGCTACAGCAAAGTCGTGGAACCAGGAAAGAATGGAAGATGTTTGGTGGACAGCGGGCAGGCTGGGTGACCACTGTCAGAGATATGTAATTGAGCTGTGAGATGAGAATGGAAGGCAGACAGTGGCCAGATCACAGAGGGTCATATTTGCCAAGCTGAAGAAAATGGACTTTAGCCCATAGTCAATGGGGAGATATATATATCATGTTTGAGCACGGAAGTCACAGGAGAAGAGCTGTTCTGTGGTTGATGGGCTAACTGCCAGAGGACAACAGCCTGCATGATTGGGGAATCCTCATTTTGTAAGAACCAAGCCTGGGAGAAAATTTTCTAAGAAAAACCTGCATTTCATAGTTTATAGTATAAAACTGTATAAATGTTTATCCAATTACAGAAGATATAGAAAGAATGTTGGCTGAATCCTGGAATACTTGAATGAAATGGGCTCATTTGGGGCCAAACTTATGATATGCATTTACCTGGCATATACCAACCAAACAGAATGGCTGCAATATAGGCACAGGTGAGAGGTACAAAATGGCTGCAGTGGGAAGGATGAAGGACAGGAAGACAGGTTAAGGTTCTAACTTCAGCTCTGCCTCTGGCTTGCTGTGCAACCTTAAGCAAGTTCCTTCTTCCCCTTGGGTCTCTGTTTTCTCTGCTAAACACTTTTCATTCTAATGTTGTATAGTCAGATGGGAATCTCAGAGTACACAGTTTAATTTCAGAAGATGTCCCATCCCAAGGCTGCTGTTAGCCTTTGTGAAAATAAAAGAAGAAGTGCCCCTCCCTCTAGACACTTTACTTACTTTAGTTAGACAACTTCTCTAAGAAATATACAAATCTTTTCCATCTACTAAGTGAGGGGCATCCCCTAGAGCTGTACAGTGCACAACCTACACAATTGTCTGGCAACCCTAGACTCATACAGTACTCATGTCCAAAAAGAGAGGCTGAGAAAGTCATTGGGCTGACCCAGTAGACACATATTACTGTTTTAGACCCGATGAGGAAGAATATGCCTTTTGAGGTGAGCGAAGTAGATTATAAAAAGCCTGTCATAAGCAAGAATAACAATGACTCCCATCAACAAGGCGATCGTGGCAGTCCTGCAGTCTTCCCTTCTCAATCCACCATGCAAAACTTTCTGAAAATGACTTTAGCCAGAGACTTACAAGCGGATGTGGGGCTGGGGGCATGAGGATTAGTTGAATAGCTTTGGGTGGCAGAAAAGGGATGCCTTTCTGGCTGGCCCCTATGTAGATGATGACAGCTACTTGAGCATGTCCTCTCAAGCAAGATTTCCTCAAAATCATTTCAAAAGGAGCCTTACACTGTGGGGACTTTCACAGACACTTCAGACACTCAGACACAGACAGCAACAGTGGACTTGGCATGTAAGTCTACTGAATATTTTCAAGGACTGGTGTTTCTTCCTCCACAGAAGAAAGCTTTGTAGCACGCGATGAGTACATTTATCTAGGACTAACTTATTTATCAGCAACTAAAACATGAAATTAGCCAGTCCTTAAAGGCGATTTTGTCTTTCTCTGCCTGATGCTTTAATAAATCATCCCAATCAAGGTCGGCAGGCATTGGGGGAAGGTACCACATTTGCTTTTCATATTCTCACATTCTGCATGAACAATCATTTTCCATTCAGGGCCTGTGATGACCCCCTTGAGACCGTCTGCATGATCTTATGATTTCTAGTTTCTGGGGGACTGGCCCTGTATTTGCCTTGGCAGACTATAACAGAAAACTTTCTTTCCTTTTTTTGGTTTCAAAATGTAAAATCCTGGGAATGTTTTAGAAACAGGCCTCTGACCAAGACAATGTTTCCACTGTAATAGAACATAACAGGGAAGGTTCTCATGAGCAGAATCCTTCTCCTTCTCTAGCCATATTTTTTTTAAAGAGTGAAACAGACTTTATGTGGTAGGTCATATTTCTATCAATCTCTCCTGCTGCCATATGTATGAAACACATTCCTCTTGTGTTGAAGGCCCAGAAGCCCCAGAAGATGCCATTTTTTTTTCTACCAAATAGTAAACTTACATGCTTCTAGGAGAAAGAAGGACTTAGATAGGATGGGGATGGTCCAGCTAATGGTCCAGCAATGGTCAATAATGGTGATGGTGACAGTCATCCTAAGGTCTAAGGTCAGAGGGGTCTTTCTCCTGGGCTGAGGGGGTGTGAAGGAGGACCTATAAGATGTGAACCTTAGCAATCTACTTAGGAAGATAGGCAATGTGCAAACTGGCCCCGGGCTCCCAGTGCTAGGCTAGCCATAGGTCTCTAGTAATTAGCCTGTTCTGCAATGGAAGGAGTGCTCCTGAGGATTTTAAAAACCAACAAGATATGAAAATTACCCACCACATTTAGGTTTTTGGTCTTCCTAGGTAGGCATTACATTAGCTGAATCCAAATTTCCTCATTGGGTATTTGTATTTTCTTCAAATTTTTATGCTGTACAAAACAAAACAAAACAAATGGGCATTCCTGACACCGGGATCTGGAAATGAGGAAGCACATTAACAACTATCATGATCTTAGAGAGCACTTTTTTTAATTTTAAAAATAATTGCTAAATTTTCGTGATGTCTTCAATAATAATTTCATGAATCAAGCCACCATTTATCTCATTTGATAGCCAGTTCCACATTTTACCTGAAAAAGGAAGCCATGAGGAAGCTCAAAATTTTGCTGTCTGCTAACTTACATTTTTTGCTTTTCCAAAATATTAACTCTTTGTGATGCTTTTAACACAAATGAAGAGAATAAATTTAGCTTTGACATTTTATCATGAAGTTAAGATACTAAAGGAAAATGCCAGAGTGCCTATTCTGGTGAGAAGGAGAGATGAAGAGGGAGAGAAAGAGAGAGAGAGGTGAATCTTTAAACTTTGGAGCCTCAGTTTTTCACTTGTAAAAACAAGGCTGTTAACACAGGTGGACGGTGGTGATTAGAACCAATGTATGGTACCTCTTCTCAGCGGCAGCCTGATTCATGACACCAGCTCTGAAGGAACTAATTAAAACAAAAAAATGGGACATCACTGTCTAACGATCATCTCAGTCGTTTTTTGAGGACCTACTATGAGTCACATGCTGGACTGGGTATGCATCATCAAGCCCTCTCAAGTCCTTTATGGACCAGATGAGAAAGACATAAACCAGCTAAAACCTTCTCTGGTTGATGCTTCTTCACATTAACTCCACGAAGTAGATATTATTATTTCACCCAATTTATGGATAAGGAAACTAAGGCTGAGGCAGGTCAAGCAATTGGCCCAAGATCACAAGTTAGTAACTAGAAAAGCTGTGCTTTTAACACAAAACCACGGAATGCCAGATTATCTGCTTTTCCCAGAATTGGTATGACTGAAATTTTTCAATGGTGTCATAGAATCAGAAATATTACAAAATATTACAACTGGAAGGGATCTCAAGAAATTATCTAACCCACCCATCTCTTTCCACAATTGAGAAAACTGAAGCTCAGATTGAATAAGTGATTTGACCTCAGTCACATAGAAAATGATTGGCAGAGCTGGAACAAGAATGAAAGTTTGCAGGTACAGGAGGGATGTTCCCTGGGGGAGCAGCTCTCCTCCATAAGACCACACTGCTCAGAAGAGAAAAAGGAGGGAACTAGCAGCCTAGACTCCTGCCACCTGGCTCAGGGCCTGTCCTCTTCTAGCAGGGGTTCTTGACCTGCAAACTGTGAACTTGGATTGGAAAAAAGTTATGTTGTTAATTTCACCAGCTTCTAAGTAGATTTAGAATTTCCCCTAATTAATGAATATAGGTAATAAACCACAGCAGTATTAGCAGTACTTTTGACATGTTATCAAGATAAATTATAGATATTTGCAAATCTATATCTAGATTAGAGTAGTTGAACATATCTCAAAATGTCATTTATACTCACTACTCTAAAACTGTAGTACTTGTTCATAGCAAGGAGTACATATGTTACTGTATTACAAATTTGTTTGTAAAAACATTTTATAACTATATTTCAATATTATTTGTGTCTTTTGTAACCTCATTTATTTTATTATATTCATTTAAATACCATTTTCTGATATGGGCCTATAGGATTCACCAGACCACCAAAGGGGCCAGGGTACCAATACAGGTTAATACAGGTTACCTGCCACATAGTAAACAGTGCTCTCATTCAGACAAGGTTAACCTCTAGGTGGGAGGACAACAGCAAAATCCTGTCTCACCAATAAATAACATTGTCTTCTAAATCTCCAAATGTGTGTCTAATGACATGCCCCAAAATGGACCTGAAATCAGTTCTTCCCATGATTGGATTTCAACTTTACCCCCTTCCCTAACTAAACACAGAAGAAAGATCGTAATGAGCCAAGAACAGCTGAGGGACAAAGAAAGATCTTGCCCCTGCTACAAATGCTTTTGGAAGGCAGAGAGCTGGCTTTTCATACTCAGATCACAAACTCACCAACTAGCAACAGAGTGTATGTCCCCACTCCAAAAGTTCTGGAACACACAATCGCTGGGATCACAGAAGGGAAAAATGGGCTGAAGTAATTCTAAGAATTTCTCACTTAGGAGCACATAAAATGAGCAACAAAGTAATTAAGGGACATATCATTTAAAGGTCCCTGTTAAACTTTCTCTCTGGAGTTAACTGTGATTCCCAAGGCAGTCTGATGCTAGAGATGGCCAGAATATACCTGTAAATATTCAACTGCTGGAGCAATTATGAGAGCTAGCTGACCATTCCTCATTTGGGGAAACAACTGCCTAATTGCATCCTTAACTAAGTATTTGCAGATACTGTCAATACATGCAAAAGAGAAGGTCACTAAGAGCTATGACCATGAGCCTCATTATCACAATATGAAGTCCTTCTACAGCAACAGTGAGGAGACCCAGAAGCCAGCAGCTTTCCTGTGGATCAGTCATCCTGGTTGGACAGAGAGGAATGAAATAAGATAGGAAAAGTGAACAAACTATGTTATTCTCCAAGGCCCTGAACCAGGCTTCTGGAATGGTCAGCCTCAATCAGGCTTATTTAACTGCAAGAGAAGTGGCCCCAAGGTACCACATGAGGAATGAGACAGCGAGGGCAGCTGGCTCCCCTATTTTCAGACCTGTCATGATACAGTACTGGTTGAACACTTGTAAAGTTTGGTCAGACCCTCCAAAGCAACCCTGCCTTCATTAACGATGCATCACATGGATTGAACTGTGGCCATTGCTCTGAATTGCTACATCTGCCCACAGAGCTGACTGAAGATGTGACTTTTTAAAAACAACTGCAAAGCTCAAGATTTGGCTATAAAAACTTCTCTTCTCTTTTATAATCATCAAAGGAATTGGGGATGGGTTTCACTTGACTGTGTCTGTCAGTACCATGATCACACTCACCTGTTGGTCAGACAGCTGCTTCCTGTTCACCCTGACAAATCAGAGACTCAAGAAATGCCAGAGGTGGGAGGGCCTTTGGAGCACATGAAGGCCCACTCCTCATGTATTTTTCAGATGAGGAAGTGGAGGGAGAGAAGAGGCTTGTTTGAGATCACACAGAAAGTTAGGGAGAGAACTGAGACAAGAATCCAGTCCTCCAGGGGCAGTGGCCAGGGTACCACCTGCTTGTCAATTGCTCCTTAATATGAAATGTACATAGATGACCCCTGAAAGTAAATAATGTGTGTGATAGAACATTGACGGATCCAAGACAAGTCGCTTCTGGCTTCCTCTTCCTCCTAAACCTATCCCAAGGAGCACTCAGCTGCACCCCAATTCTGATTAATACCTGGCAGATAGAATTCCCTGTACCTGCGTTGTCCCCAATATTTCCTAAAGTGAATGCCATGGGAAAAAATGCATAAACTAATGATGGCTGGAGATGGTAGAATCTTGTGGCAGCCAAAGCCATAAAAACAGAGAACAACTATTTTCTAGGTATAAATATAAAACTCCTCTGGGAATTTATCTGAAGGAAAAGTGTTTCTGTAAAACTGAGTTATAATCTAAATTATATTATTTGGAGCTATGTACATGTGGACTAATAAATAACACATAAAATAAAACGGCACTTTATGAGGAAGACTCATCCTGTATTTCAAGTATTTTCTCACTCTAAAATTTGTTATTTAATATGGACGCTTTTTGCCACAAAATGTCTAGAGTTTATTCAATATCTTTTATGTGCTTTACAAGGTCATTAGAGAATTTATTTGCTCTTTCCCTTACAGATTGGAAGGTGGGCAGTGATATATGAGGTTTCACATTTTATTTATTCACCAAACTGTTCCAGATGTGATCCCATCATTTATCCACTGACACATCAAACCTGCTGGGTGCCCTGCACACTGACCTCCTCCCAACGTTTTCTTTCATGCTCTTAAAGTTATAGCAGGGCTCACTTCGATGGGAAGACAAGAGAATTGCTACTTGGGGAGAGGTGGTGGCAAGAGGGAGATGATCAAACTTCAGTAATAAAACATTTAATTGCTTGGCTACAATTTGGAAACAATATCCAGGTGGAAAACTGACCCAATACCTTTCACCTAAACCACTGCTTCCTGCTTGCCCTCCACACAGGGCTGCATGCCTCAGATTTGGAATGTGCAGAATCTGAATAAATGGAATTGAGCAGGTACTAAATCATTTCCCCCTTCTGCAAGTGATTTGTCACCATAATAAGCATTCTGAGGGTGATAGACCTTTTATTACTACACACTGTTAAGCAGAAAGGAGGCTGCAATGTATTCCTGGCACTCTTTAGGAAAAATAATTACCCCATGCAGACATTATTTAAAATATCGATTTAACAGAAAGAGTTATATTTAAACCCAAGTGCTTATTTAGTACGAAATATGAAACATTGTTATGTTTGCATTGGAGAAGATAATGGTGACTCATTCTATGCCACCACAGTCTCTGAGATGCAATCCACATTTTCCAAAACAACCTCTCACATATTTTGGTAGGGACAAAGAGAGAAAGAGGCTTCCCAAAAGAGGGTTTCTCATTTGGGAAGCCTCTCCATAATGCCAGTTTTATGTATACTATAAGCACTCATGCTGCCATCTAACATTTGAAAAGCATTTTATAATTTGCTTAATGATGTCATATGCTTTATCCTGTTTGATCCCTACAACAGCGTTATGAGGATTTCAGGGCTGATGTTATTAGTCCCACATTCCAGAGGAAAATACCGAGGCTCAGAGAGACTGAAATGATAATGAAAAAGTATACTATATATCTAGAATTAGCACTGTAGCCAGTGTTGCCAAACTTAGTAAAAGTAATTTAGCATATTACATGGTACATAGCTGTACTAAAATATTATTCATTATTTATTTGAAACTCAAATTCAACTGTGTATTGTGTATTTTATCTGGTTACTCTAACTGTAATGGGATGCCAAAATGAGAAGTCCTAATCCCTTCTTGCCTCTGGTTAGAAAAGTGTGGGTGACTGGCCCACAGTCCCATGGTAAGTAAATGGCAAAGTTGGAAATTCAGGTCATTTATTTCACCTCTTAGCTGAGTACCGACACTTGGGACCAGAGGCAGGAGAATGGGCACACGCTGTGGTGTTGTGACAGGATGTCAACATGCTCAGGCCAACAGAGGTGACAAACAGTTCTCTCAGGCCCTTGGAGTTCCTATGAACAGCTAATGCAATGATCCAAGGGCCTTCTCTGCCTGGAATCACCCACACCTATCCAAATCCAAACTAACTCAACCTAACAACCACAGTATCAAAATGGACGGTTCTCTTAAAGTGGACATAAGAATATATGCTCAGTCTCAACCCAAAATACAGAAATGTACATCAAAGCAATGCAATACCATTTTTCTGCTTATCACATTGAAAACACACTACACTATATTATACTTGGTGTGGATAAGAGGGGGAGTAAGAAAATGACCTCTTTTATACTGTTAGTAAGAGTATAAATAGAGATCATCTTTCTGGAGATTGATTTGGCACTATCCATGGCAATGCAAAACTCACCTACAATTTGACCCAGCATTTTCTAAGATATGACAACAAAAGCACAAGCAACTAAGATAGCTGATTATATGTGTCAAGTTGACTGGACTAACAGATGCCCAGATAGCTGTTTAAACATTATTTCTAGGTATGTGTGTGTGATATTGTTTGGCTGTGTCCCCACCCAAATTTCTTTTTTTTTTTTTTTAACTAATGTCATTTATTTATTTATTTTTTTTAATTTACTTCTATTTTTTTTTATTATACTTTAAGTTTTAGGGTACATGTGCACATTGTGCAGGTTAGTTACATATGTATACATGTGCCATGCTGGTGCGCTGCACCCACTAACTCGTCATCTAGCATTAGGTATATCTCCCAATGCTATCCCTCCCCCCTCCCTCCACCCCACCACAGTCCCCAGAGTGTGATATTCCCCTTCCTGTGTCCATGTGATCTCATTGTCCAATTCCCACCTATGAGTGAGAATATGCGGTGTTTGGTTTTTTGTTCTTGCGATAGTTTACTGAGAATGATGATTTCCAATTTCATCCATGTCCCTACAAAGGACATGAACTCATCATTTTTTATGGCTGCATAGTATTCCATGGTGTATATGTGCCACATTTTCTTAATCCAGTCTATCATTGTTGGACATTTGGGTTGGTTCCAAGTCTTTGCTATTGTGAATAATGCCACAATAAACATACGTGTGCATGTGTCTTTATAGCAGCATGATTTATAGTCCTTTGGGTATATACCCAGTAATGGGATGGCTGGGTCAAATGGTATTTCTAGTTCTAGATCCCTGAGGAATCGCCACACTGACTTCCACAATGGTTGAACTAGTTTACAGTCCCACCAACAGTGTAAAAGTGTTCCTATTTCTCCACATCCTCTCCAGCACCTGTTGTTTCCTGACTTTTTAATGATTGCCATTCTAACTGGTGTGAGATGATATCTCATAGTGGTTTTGATTTGCATTTCTCTGATGGCCAGTGATGATGAGCATTTTTTCATGTATTTTTTGGCTGCATAAATGTCTTCTTTTGAGAAGTGTCTGTTCATGTCCTTTGCCCACTTTTTGATGGGGTTGTTTTTTTCTTGTAAATTTGTTTGAGTTCATTGTAGATTCTGGATATTAGCCCTTTGTCAGATGAGTAGGTTGCAAATTTCATATTAAATTGTACTTCTGATATTCCCCACGTGTCATGGAAGGGACCCAGTAGGAGGTAATTGAATCATGGGGGCAGATTTTTCCCATGCTGTTCTTGTCACAGTAAATAAGTCTCATGAAATTTGATGGTTTTATAAAGGGCAGGTCACCTGCACACACTCTTGCCTGACCCCACGTAAGATGTGCTTTTCCTCCTCTTTTGCATTCCACCATGATTGTGAGGCCTTCCCAGCCATGTGGAGCTATGAGTCCATTAAGCCTCTTTTTCTTTATAAATTACCCAGTGTTGGATATGTCTTTATTAGCAGCGTGAGAACAGACTAATACAGTAAATTGTTACCGGTAGAGTGGGGTGCTGCTATAAAGATACCTGAAAATGTGGAAGTGACTTTGGAACTGGGTAATAGGCAGAGGTTGGAACAGTTAGGAGGGCTCAGAAGAAGACAAGAAAATGTGGGAAACTTTGGAACTCCCTAGAGACGTGGAGGGCTCAGAAGACAGGAAGATTTGAGAAAGTCTAGAAATCCCTAGAGACTTGTTGAATGGCTTTGACAAAAATGCTGATAGTGATATGGACAATGAAATCCAGGCTGAGGTGGTCTCAGATGGAGATGAGGAACTTGTTGAGAACAGGAGTAAAGGTCACTCTTGCTATGCAAAGAGATGTGACATTTTGCCCCTGCCCTAGAGATCTGTGGAAATTTGAACTTGAGAGAGATGATTTAGGGCATCTGGTGGAAGAAATTGCTAAGCAGCAAAGTGTTCGAGAGGTGACAGAACATAAAAGTTTGGAAAATTTGCAACCTGACGATGCAGTAGAAAAGAAAAACCCATTTTCTAGGGAGAAATTCAAGCTGGCTGCAGAAATTTGCATAAGTAACAAGGAGACAAATATTAATCACCAAGATGATGGGAAAATGTCTCCAGGGCATGTCAGAGACCTTTATGGCAACCCCTCACATCACAGGCCCAGAAACCTAGGAAGGAAAAATGGTTTCATGGGCCAGGCCCAGGACTCCCCTGCTGTGTGCAGCTTAGGGACTTAGCGCCCTGCATCCCAGCCACTGCAGTCATGGCTAAAAGAAGCCAGGGTACAGCTCAGGCTGTGGCTTCAGAGGGTACAAGCCCCAAGCCTTGGCAGCTTCCACGTAGTGTTGAGCCTGTGGGTATACAGAAGTCAAGAATTGAGGTTTGGGAACCTCCGCCTAGATTTCAGAAGATGTATGGAAATGCCTGGGTGTCCAGGCAGAAGTTTGCTGCAGGGGTGGAGTCCTCATGGAGAACCTCTGCTAGGGCAGAGCAGAAGGGAAATGCAGGGTAGGAGCCCCCACACAGAGTCCCCACTGAGGCACTGCCTAGTGGAGTTGTGAGAAGAGGGCCACTGTCCTCCAGACCCCAGAATTTTAGAGCCACCAACAGCTTGCACCATGCACCTGGAAAAGCCACAGATGCTCAACCCCAGCCCATGAAAGAAGCTGGAAGGGGAGCTGTACCCTGCAAAACCACCGGGGCCAAGCTACCCAAGGCCATGGGAGCCCACCTCTTGCATCAGCGTGACCTGGATGTGAGTCACGGAGTCAAAGGAGATCATTTTGGAGCTTTAAGACTTGACTGCCCCCGTGGATTTCAGACTTGCATGGAGCCTGTAGTCCCTTTGTTTTTGTCAATTTATCCTGTTTGGACTGGGAACATTTACCCAATGCCTGTACCTCCATTGTATCTAGGAGGTAACTAACTTGCTTTCTATTTTACAGGCTCAAGCTGGAAGGGACTTGTCTTAGATGAGAGTTTGGACTTGGACTTTTGAGTTAATGGAGGAATCCAGTGGGAGGTAATTGAAATATGGGGGCAGGTTTTTCCCATGCTCTTCTTGTGATAGTGAATAAGTTTCACAATATCTGATTGTTTTATAAAGGGCAGTTTCCCTGCACACACACTCTTGCCTGCTGCCATGTAAGACATGCCTTTTCTCCTCCTTTGCCTTCTGCCATGATTGTGAGTCCACCCAAGCCGTGTAGAACAGTGAGTCCATTAAACCTCTTTTTCTTTACAAATTACCCAGTACTGGGTATGTCCTTATTAGCAGTGTGAAAAGGAGCTAATACAGTGTGAGAGTGTTTTTAGAAAAGATTAGCATTTGAATTGCTAGACCTAGTAAAAAATATTTTCTTCAGCATTGTGGGTGAGCATCATCCAATTTATAGACAGCCTAGATAGAACAAAAAGGCAGAGGAAGGGCAAATTGACTCTCTGTGCTTAAGCAGAGACATCCATCTTCTCCTGCCCTTGGACATGGGTGCTTTTTATTTTCCATCCTTTGGACTTGTACCAGATCTTACACTATTGTTCCCCAGTTCTTAGGCCTTTGGATTTCGAGTAGGATTTACACCCACTCCCCATTCTTAGGTCTTTGGAATTGGAATAGGACTCACACCATTGGCTCCCTGGTTCTCAGGCCTTTGGGCTTCAACTGTAACTATACCATGGCTTTCCATAATCTCCAGCTTGCAGACAGTAGATTGCAGGACTTCTCAGACTCCATAATTACACAAGCAAATTCTGCATACTAAATCTCTTTCCATATTTCTAAATATATCCCATTGATTCTATTTCTCCGGAAAGCCCCAACTAGTACAAAAGAAACCCATTTCTTCAGATTTCAATCAAAATATGTAACAATCTTTTTTACTTTTTGTAGCTAAGTCATTTTATCAAAAGCAAAAGACAGCTGGACTGTGTAAGTGGTAAATTTGGAGGTGTCAGCTTGAGGAGACCATGAAGAGATTTTGAAGGGCTGACACTATTATGAATTGATCAGGAAAAATTTTTTTTTTTTAATTTTCCAGTTACATGGTTAACCCTAAAGGCAAGAAAGATATAACCCTGCTAGTATAGCTTGTTATTTTATGAGGTAAAAGATGAATGGCTTTAATGAGCAAGCATTGAAACGTTTGAACTCTCCTTCAAAGAAAAGGGAAAATGAAAAGTAGTTGTTAAGCACAGACAACATGCAAGGAAGGCACTGCAGTAGACCTATGGCCCTAAGAGTCTGTGACCAGACACCATTTCCATGCATCTATCCACCAGAGTCCTAGTCTTGCTCTACCCTTAGGAGATCAGAGACACATGTCCAAAGTGCAAATCAAAAGAATATAGTAGAGTGCAAAGAGCTTCAGCCTAAGATTTACATTAGAGATTTACTGCTTGGATCTCAGGTAAGTGCTTTAACTTCTCTAGATCTTGATTTCCTAATCTGCAGCATGGGAATAATAATGCTCGTCTTATATCTCACAGGGCCAATACTGTGTTAAAAGTAGAAATAACAGGTGAGAATGTTGACAAAAGTAAAACCATAACATAGATGCCTGGTCCTGTAGTAATGAGGCTTGGACTGGAGAAGACATTAAAGGTATGTCTCAATTCTGCATGGGCTGGCCTCATGATCTTAGAAAATTATTCCATTGCTTTAAGGACTTTCTGGATAGGAGAACAGAAGAGCCTAGTTTGGCTACTATTCAGTCTCAAATATGTGTAAGGCATTGGTTGTTAACTTTGTAAAAATAGTGATTTCAACCTTGCACTCCTATGTCCTCAGAAAAAATTTTCTGAGAGCTAAATTGCCGTGGATTGCAGATGATGCCACGTATAAGTGGTAGGTGTCTCATGTTTGAGGATCTCTCGGGATATGTTGAAGGCTAGAGTGGCATGTTCACTCCTCCTACTCATATGGCCCCTCTCAGCAAAAAGCCCATAGAGACAGCCTCTTTGGATGAGCATATCTAGCATTTTCTTTTCATGTGTTATAATTAGACTGTAATGATGTATCACAAACTGGATTTTTAAAATTATACCCTTAGTTTTGAGTAGACAAAAATGCTTTAAGTGTTGCATTACTTTTATATCTGCTTCACGTAAGTCACCTTTCTATATAAATTTCTTCTCTAAAGACATGATTCTTCATTTGTTGTCTGCTCAGGAATATTTTGTTCTTTGCAGTTGTCTACATTGTATTTAGCTTTTCATTAGTTTTTACTCTGGTCTGAGTAAAATAGAAGTATATTTTGCAATCTTTTTTTCTTCTTCTGTTTACAGGTGTTTTTATTTTGTCATCTTGGTAACAATATTTTTCAGATCTATTTGTAATCTTTTAATATCCACATAGTTTCTTCTACCATTTAAAAATGTAAAAATTCAACTACATGCTGAATTTCCTGAATTTAATAGATATTCTTTAGGAAATAATTTCAGTAATAAACCACTAAGCATGCCTCCCCAAAATGTAGGACTTTAGCTGTTTAAATTTACTTGTTCTTGGTTCTATGAATAATATTTCAGAGTATCCCCAAAAGCTCTCCAGCCAAGGTGCTCTGAGGTTGCAGGGGGCCTATGTTCATCTCAGGGCTGTTGTGAGAATTACATGCAGCCATGAAGGGACAGTCTTTGTCCTCTATCCACATGTGAGTAATCATTTTTATCCATGCCGCTCATACATTTGGCAAGATAAATCAAACTTTCAATTTTGGAAGACCAAAAATGGTGGTATCAAGGAATACATCACCATGCTGTTAAACCCAGAGTGATGTACACCCCTCTCAGAAGGCAGGTGCCAGATTCATAATGTGAATAATCCTACTTATTACTGCAGAAACATCATTTGTTTGATTAGAAGTTGCTGCCCTAGTATTATGTAATACACAATATATGCAGTTCATTGCCTTTTTAAAATTTGAAATTTGTAAAACTCTGAACCACACCTGGCTCCAAGAGTTTCAGGTAAGGGATAGTGGACATGTAGAGTATAGTGATTTAAAAGTTGGGCTCTGAAGCCAGACCTCCTGCCTCTTTTCTCAGCTTTACCATCTAATAGCTGTGTGGCCTCCGGTTAGTTACTTTACCTCTCTAAGCCTTGATGAAAATAGTGGAACCTAGTTCACAGGGCTATAAAAATTGAGTGAGGGAATAAACATAAAGTACTTAGAAAGCGCTTGATGTTAAGAATAATGATCTGGGGACAACTGACATAAACCTGGACTCCCCAGGAAGCCAGGCTCCTACACCACAGGATATATCAGCCATCATCAAAGAGGTGAGCTCTAGAGAATCTGGCGACACTGGTTGCTGGAAGAGAGTGAAGGGAAACATTTACTGATAAAACTAAACCTCACTGCCATCACTTAGGGTCGCAATGTTTGATACCTGACATGTTCTTTCAAATCTAGGCTTGACTTTGCTATCAACTTACATTGTGAGCTTGAGCAAGCGACTCACCCTCTCTGGACCTTTGGATCATGAACGAGTAAATTAGATGATTTCCAAAGGCAGTCCAGCTGGAACACATTGACTCCAATAGGAACGTACACCAGAAGAACAACTCTGGTTGGGGATTTGAAAACCTCTCACTTGCTAATTCCTGGGGCCTAAGGCAACACAATCCTTGTTTTCATAACCCAGAGTTATGTCCAGGGCCAGACCAGAGCAGCAGATGGACAGACCTGACTCCTAGACGTTTGTAATTGATCAGGACACACTGTAATGAAGTAATTTTCTTGTCTTCATTCTCCATGTCAGCAGGGGCCTGTCTGCCATGTAGGAAGGGTGACAGAGTAATCTGAGCCGCCGCTGAAAACCTGCTTTTTCTCCACAGTTATTTCGCCTGCCACGAGCTGTGGCAGGCAGTGGGAAAGAGTCCAGACAAGCAGGGGAATTTGGATGCTCTCAAAATATCATACAGGAACTTTAAAAATTGAACTGATTTATGCTTTGTAATGCTTTCAATAATGTGTAAATGAAGTTAGAACTTGAATCTGAATTTAAGGAAAAATTTTATGTTACCAGACATGAAAGGGCCACAGAAAAATCTCATTGTATGATAACGCTCTCTCCGCTGTACCAAGAATTGCACTTTGCATAAATAATGGATCCTGGGGTAGAATGTGTAACATGCATTACTTTTCAGCATCAAAGAATGCTCAAAATTACCTGGAGGTCTGAAAACTCCTCTGGGGCTTATGAATTCCTGGGTTCAGGCAAAGGCCTTGCCACTATAAATCTGGCTTACAAGCTCTCCAAGCTCAACGTGCTGCCATGGAAACTTGACACATGCCTCAACCTTCTCAACTGAGGTATGGGCATCATAGGCTTATAATTTGCCCCAACCCAGACTCTGGATTAAGAAATAATCCACAGTCTCAGTAGGGATATATGTGGAAGATAATACTTCTCCACCCAGGGACCCTGTGCCAAAGGTCAAGTTGTGTGACTCAGAGTAGCTGAGGCCCTAGAATGCCTCCCACACATACATTCTCTGAGCCAGTGGCCCATATTTTCCCCCTAAGGTTTTATTGTCTTGCATTTTTTTAATCTCAGAGAATTTTACAATAGCTAGGTTTGGGACAAAGAACATAAACATGGCTCCAGCAAAACCAGTTGCATATGGTATTGAAACAAAGACTCAGGGAGGAAAAATGCAACACAGACCTGAGTGTTGTAGCCTGTTTGCTAGTGTAACCTTCTCTGCCCATTGGGAACAGCTGGAAAAGGTCTCCTGAAACCCAGAGGCCCTGAGTTGGTCATAAAAATCCAGTTAATTTGTCTTCAGTCTGATTTGAGGTGAGTATGACAAACATCTCTGGGAGCATCGTGCTTCTGCCTACCAAAATCTTCAGCACAGCATTTGTTGGTCTTATGGAAACCTGCTAGTGGGGTCTGCTTAGCATATCAAAAGGCAAAGGGAATTTGACACTTTCATTACTAAAAGCTTTTTCTAGAAGTTAGCGTTATGTATGCCTAGTTCTGAAGACTACTAGATATTGTTTCACAGTTGAAATATCATAAGTAAAAATACTAGGTAGAGTATAAAGTATTACATGGTATAGAGATGTCACATGGAAGTTCTGAAATTGTACAGTTTATTCCAGTTGGGCCACATCATGAAACTGGAGAGGTGTGATGGGTGCAGCATGAACCAGGACAGAGGAAAGCAGAGAGAAGGTGCTCCACACTGATGAAGCAGCCAGAGGAATGGGCCTTGGCAGTGGAGGGGAACATCTGGGCTCAGGCTCTAGACACGGTAAGTGTGGCTTTGCCTTGGCTGGGGCCAGTGGCAGGTTAATAATTTTGTGTTACAGTAAGGATTAGAGCACAGGTTATTACCACAAACATACTAGTGAGGCAGGCCTGGCAAAGAGAAGACTAAAAAGGGGCAAGCTGCTGTCAAGGAGTCCATGTCTGGGACCCCAGACCCATAACAACATTCTGGGGCTAACCCAAATCACCTGAGGCCCCAGTCTCATGACCAGTGGTCTATTTTTATGCACAAAGATTGTAGTCCCACTTACAACCAGCCCATCCGGTGTTAGAATGGTGATTACTAGTGTCATACAAGCCTGGCATAAATACAGAACTTGTGCTTTTTAAAGCATATCTTCATCAATAAATTCATGTTTGCCTTCACACAAAAACATTTTAGGCAAGTAAGGCGGTTGTTAATCTTCACCTGCATAGAAAGCGAAAGTCTTACCTAAGGTCACCCAGCCAGCCAAGAACAGAGGAAAGTGGCCTATCCTCTGATCTCAGGTTTTTCGCCAGTTTCATGCCCTTTTTAAGGACTGACCCATGCAAATTTAGCCAGGTTTCTACTGGTGAATAGCTCATTTCCATAGGGCCTCCATATACTGGGCTGCTTAGGACCATGGCCCCTCCATTTTCCAATAGGTCTGCAATTTAAAAACTGGATTGTGATGAGAAGCATCTGGAGTCTGATAAAGGCTAATTACAGTTAAGAAATATGAAAATTGAGAACTCAGGAGAAGATCAGCTTCTACTACTGCCTGGGCAGAATAATCAAGAAATTAGCACAAACTGATGGTGACCATAAAGAGACACTAGAGGATAATTGAAGTATTAACATTAAAGATATTCTGGCAAGTGGTTTGTCCCTTGAGAGTCCAGGCCGTCTTCCTTGCTACAGGACATAATACGACTGAAGAGCTTTTCAACAAAGCAATGGGGGCTCTGTAGGAGGGTTGCCTCATAAGCTTGGGCTGAGGCTGGGGCAGAGGGATGCTGGTTAATGAGTAGGCTTTTCTGCATGAAGCATGAGGACCCTGGTTGGGCCCCACACTTTCAGGGTTGCTCTAACAAAGTAAAGCAAGTACAGAGAATGGCAATCAGAGAGAAGGGTCTGAACTCACAGCATGGGAAAACCTTTAGAGATGGCCAGGCTTTTTGTTGGTTGGGAAATGGCTCTAGATGAATACAGTTGGCATTTTCAGTTATTTTAGTGAAGACATCATGAGGAGAGGAGATTGTACATAGTCTCTAGACTACCAAAGGAATAGCTAAAACTACATTTAAAACATTTTTAACCAAACATTGTTGAGCTCCTTTCACGCGCCATACAAGGGACCTACGGTTTCCATACATGGTCTCATGTAATCCTCAGACCACCCATGAAGTAGGGTCCGATCTGCAAAACAAGGTATTATTCTTCTTTTATAGTTGGTAAACAGACTCAGAGAGACAAAGTGGCTTCCCCAGAGTCAAATGAAGGAAGACTGAATCTTGACATTAGTTCTGTCCTGCTCCATATACACTACTTCACACAGATCTTAATTTGACATAAGAAACACTGAACATTTAGACATATGCCACAATAGGACTCATGCTTCATGAGGTAATGAATTCACTATCATTTGAAACATTCAAACAGAAGCTGGATAACAATTGACAGATAATTCAGATATTATGTACAGGTTGGAGCATATGACCTCTAACATGCCTACCAACACTGAGCAGTTGGACTTAGCCACCTCTAAAGCATGTGTGAAGTAGGTGGGGTACACGTTGTAAATAAATCCCTCATTGATCCCCAGTAACTAGAAAAAAGGGAGATCGATGACTCACAAATCATTCTAAATCCTTCTTTTAGCCTTCTAATCCAGGGGCTATTCACTACCCACTTCACAAAGTTCCCTAATTTGACAGCAGCCTCCTGTTTTCTTACCCTTTAAAATAATGTAGAAAAATATCCATAGAAGAAAAGGGGGACAGATGTGATGTGTAGCTTAACATGGAGAACAATTTGCAGAAAGGTCCAGGGGAAAAAATAAGGTGGCCCACCATGACACAGTAACTGTCAATATTTTCACCAATTGACCATTTTCCAGAAGGCACAGGATCTTACTCAAGCTAATAAATTATAATCTTTGTTCTCAAGCTACATAATGCAATCCTTAAGAAGAGTACCTTTCACTCTAAACTATACCCGCCCCACCATCTGGTCGTCCTCCCAAGGAATTAGGCTCCAACATATCCATCCAATCTCTGGCAAACCTTGACTCTGTGAACTCTGAACATGCTTACTGGCTGAGCTTTTATGTGCATTCTAACGCAATGTCATTTGGTAATATGATCAAAGCAGACACTCTTAAATAATTAACCTTGGGAATACAAGTATATGTGGAGAGACAATCAGTGTGTTATATCTTTATACCCTATCTATTTCTCCAGAAGGATTTTAGGCAGCCTAAGTATGATATCTTAGTACCAATACAATAAAACAAAATTATTAAACAAGAATAAAAAATAGAAGGGCCACGTATTAAGGAGTTAAGGGGAGAAAAAAAGGATTATATGGGAAGATCTGGGAAGATCTGGGTCAGAGACTCCAAATGCAGATGCCTAAAGGGGCCAGGCAAGTAAAATAAATGTGTGGGGCCAGGTTTGAGACAATTGAGATAAGTAGGGCCTGTGGAACTGATGAATATATATATATGCTCAAAAGCTATGTGTGTTCATGAGTCACTTAACAATAAGGATATGAACTAGAGTCACTTAACGATGGAGATATGTTCTGAGAAATATTTCATCAGGGAATTTTTATCATTGTGCAAACATCATAGAGGCTACTTACACAAACTTAGGTGTAAGTAGGTGGTATAGCCTGCTACATATCTAGGCTATATTGTATAGCCTATTGCTCCTAGACTAGGGAATAGCATTGAATCTATAAATTACTTTGGGCAGTAAGGCCATTTTCATGATGTTGATTTTTCCTATTCATGAGGATGGAATGTGTTTCCATTCGTTTGTGTCCTCTCTTATTTCCCTGAGCAGTAGTTTGTAGGTCTCCTTGAAGAGGTTTTTCCTGTCCCTGGTTAGCTGTATTCTTATTTTATTCTCTTTGTAGCAATTGTGAGTGGGAGTTCATTCATGATTTGGCTCTCTGCTTGTCTATTGTTGGTATATAGGACTGCTTGTGATTTTTGCGCATTGATTTTGTACCCTGAGGCTTTGCTGAAGTTGCTTATCAGCTTAAGGAGTTTAGGGGCTGAAATGATGGTGTTTTCTAAATATAGGATCATGTCTTCTGCAAACAGAGACCATTTGACTTCCTCTCTTTCTATTTGAATATGCTTTATTTCTTTCTCTTGCCTGATTGCCCTAGCCAGAACTTCCAATACTATGTTGAATAGGAGTGGTGAGAGAGGACATCCTTGTCTTGTGCCAGTTTTCAAAGGGAACACTTCTAGCTTTTGCCAATGTAGTATGATATTGGCTACAGGTTTGTTATAAATAGCTCTTATTATTTTGAGATATGTTCCATCAATACCTAGTTTATTGATCGTTTTTAACATGAAGGGATGTTGAATTTTATCAAAGGCCTTTTCTGCATCTATTAAGATAATCATGTGTTTTTTTGTCATCGGTTCTGTTTATGTGATGGATTATGTTTATTGATTTGCATATGTTGAACCAGCCTTGCATCCCAAGAATGAAGCTGACTTGATTGTGATGGATAAGCTTTATGATGGACTGCTGGATTTGGTTTGCCAGTATTTTATTGAGGATTTTCGCATCAATGTTCATCAGGGATATTGGCCTGAAGTTTTCTTTATTTGTTGTGTCTCTCCCAAGTTTTGGTATCAGGATGATGCTGGCCTCATAAAATGAGTTAGGGAGGAGCCCCTCCTTTTCAATTGTTTAGAATAGTTTCTGAGGAAATTATACCATCTCTTCTTTGTACCTCTGGTGGAATTTGGCTGTGAATCTGTCTAGTCCTAGGCTTTTGTTGGTTGCTAGGCTATTTATTACTGCCTCAATTTCAGAACTTGCTATTGGTCTATTCAGGGATTCGACTTCTTCCTGGTTTAGTCTTGGGAGGGTGTATGTGTCTAGGAATTTATCCACTTCCTCTAGATTTTCTAGTTTATTTACATAGAGGTGTTTATAGTATTCTCTGATCGTAGTTTTTATTTTTGTAGGGCCAGTGGTGATATCCCATTTATCGTTTTTACTTGTGTATATTTGATTCTTCTCTCCCTTCTTCTTTAGTAGTCTAGCTAGAGGTTCATCTATTTTATTAATTTTTAAAAAATGCCTCCTGTATTCATTGATATTTCGAAGGGGTTTTTGTGTCTCTATCTCCTTCAGTTCTGCTCTGATCTTAGTTATTTCTTGTCTTCTACTAGCTTTTGGATATGTTTGCTCTTGCTTCTCCAGTTCTTTTAATTGTGATGTTAGGGTGTCAATTTGAGATCTTTCTAGCTTTCTGATGTGGGTATTTAGTGCTATAAATTTCCCTCTTAACACTGCTTTAGCTGCATCCCAGAGATTCTGGTACATTGTTTCTTTGTTCTCATTGGTTTGTTTCAAAGAACTTCTTGATTTCTGCCTTAATTTCATTATTTACCCAGGAGTCATTCAGGAGCAGGTTGTTCAATTTCTATGTAGTTGTGTGGTTTTGAGTGAGTTTCTTAATCCTGAGTTCTAATTTGATTGCACTGTGGTCTGACAGACTGTTTGTTATGAGTTCAGTTCTTTTGCATTTGCAGAGGAGTGTTTTACTTCCAATTATGTGCTCGATTTTAGAGTAAGAGCCATGTAGCACTGAGAAGAATGTATATTCTGTTGATCTGGGGTGGTGAGTTCTGTAGATATCTATTAGATCCACTTGATCCAGAGCTGAGTTCAAGTCCTAAATATCCTTGTTAATGTTCTGTCTCGTTCATCTGTCTAATATTGACAATGCAATGTTAAAGTCTCCCACTGTTATTCTGTAGGAGTCTAAGTCTCTTTGTAGGTCTCTAAGAACTTGTTTTATGAATCTGGGTGCTCCTGTATTGGGTGCATATATATTTAGAGTAGTTAGCTCTTCTTGTTGAATTGATCCCTTTACCATTATGTAATGCCCTTTTTTGTCTTTTTTGTTATTTTTTGGTTTAAAATCTGTTTTGTCACAGACTGAGATTGCAACCCCTGCTTTTTTCTGCTTTATATTTGCTTGGTTAACTTTCCTCCATCCCTTTATTTTGAAGCTATGTGTGTCTTTGCATGTGAGATGGGTCTCTTGAATAAAGCACACTGATGGGTCTTGACTTTTCATCCAATTTGCAAGCCTGTGTCTATTAATTGGGGCATTTATCCTATTTACATTAAGGCTAATATTGTTATGTGTGAATTTGATCCTGTCATCATGATGCTAGCTGGTAATTTGGCACACTAGTTGATGCTGTCTCTTCACAGTGTCATTAGTCTTTATATTTTCTTCTGTTTTTCAGTGGCTGATACCAGTGTTTCCTTTTTATATTTAGTACTTACTTCAGGAACTCTTGCAAGGCAGGCCTGGTAGTGACGAATTCCCTCAGCACTTGCTTGTCTAAAAAGGATTTTATTTCTCCTTCACTTATGAAGCTTAGTTTGGCCAGATATGAAATTCTGGGTTGAAAATTCTTTTCTTTAAGAATGTTGAATATTGGCCTGCACTCTCTTCTGGTTTATAGGGTTTCTGCTGAGAGATCTGCTCTTAGTCTGATGGGCTTCCCTTTGTAGGTGGCCTGGCCTTTCTCTTTGGCTGCCCTTAACATTTTTTCCTTCATTTCATCCTTGGAGAACCTGATGATTATGTGTGTTGGGATTGATCTTCTCGTTGAGCATATTAGTGGGGTTCTCTGTATTTCCTGAATTTGAATGTGGCCCTGTCTTGCTAGGTTGGGGAAGTTGTCCTGGATAATATCCTGAAGTGTGTTTTTCAACTTGGTTCCATTCTGCCCATCTCTTTTAAGTACTCCAATCAGTCATATATTGAATCTTTTTACATAGTTCCATATTTCTTGGAGGTTTTGTTTATTCCTTTTATTTCTTTTTTCTCTAATCTTGTCTACCTGCCTTATTTCAGTAAGATAGTCCTCCATCCCTAATATTCTTTCTTCTGCTTGATCAATTTGACTATTGATACTTGTGTATGCTTCACCAAGTTCTTATGCTATGTTTTTCAGCTCCATCAGGTTATTTGTTTCTCTCTAAACTGGTTATTCTAGTTAGCAGCTCCTCTAACCTTTTATCAAGGTTCTTGGCTTCTTTGCATTAGCTTAGAGCATGCTCCTTTACCTCAGTGAACTTTGTTATTACCCACCTTCTGAAGCCTTCTTCTGTCAATTCATCCATCTCATCCTCCATCCAGCTCTGCACCCTTGCTGGAGAGGTGTTGCGACCATTTGGAGGAGAAGAGGCACTTTTGCCTTTTGTGTTTTCAGTGTTTTGTTGTTGTTGTTGAGTCTTTCTCATCTTCATCAGGTTGTCTACTTTCGATCTTTGAGGATGCTGACCCTTGGATGAGGTTTTTGTGGGGACTATTTTTTGTTTATGCTGTTGTTGTTGCTTTGTTTGTTTGTTTTTCTTTCAATTCAGGTCCCTCTTCTGTAGGGCTGCTGTGGTTTGCTGGGGGTCCATTTCAGGTCCTATTCCTCTGGTTTGCTCCCATGCCTGGAGATGTTACTTGAGGAGGCTGGAGAACAGCAAAGATGGGTGTCTGTTCCTTCCTCTGGGATCTCTGACCTCGAGGGGCACCAACCTGATGCCAGTAGGAATGCTCCTGTACAGGATGTCTGACAGTCTCTGTTGGGGTTTCTCACACAGTTGGGTGGCTCAGGAAGCAGGACCCATTTAATGTGGCATTTTGGATCTCCTTTGGTGGAGGGGGTATGCTGCACTGGGGGGAAACCCACTCATCTGTGCGCCTGGATTCCTCAGAGCTAGCAGAAGGAAAGACCAAGTCTGCTGATCCGTGGAAACTACGGCCACCCCTCCCACTAGGTAACCAGGCCCAGGGAGATCGGAATTCGTCCCTGAGCCCCTGGCTGGAGTTGTAGCTCCTGCAGGGAGGCCCTGCAGCCCTGGTGTTGGCTTCTGCCCCTCCCCCAAGGAGCTCGGACAGCTTAGATTGCAGGCAGCCACAGCAGTGGTGATGGTCACCCCTTCCTTGGGGAACTTGGAAGGCTCAGGCCGATTCTAGTCCAGTGGCTGTTGAGAATCTGCGTGGCTCCATGGTTAAGATACAAGGCCCCAGCAGTGTGGGATCCTGAGTGGGATCTTCCGATCTGTGGGTTGCACAGTTCCACGGAAAAAGCACAGTTTCCCAGTCTGGGTAGCATGCTCACTCACCACCTCCCTTGGTTGGGGGTGGGGGCTCCCCTGCCCCCCGTGGTTCTCAAGTCGGTGGCTGCATGTCACTGCTCTTTCTTCCTCTCTGTGGGTCACATCAACTGCCTAGTCAGTCCTAATGACAGAACCCGGATACCTCGGTTGCCAGTGCAGGATTTGGACCCTGTTTTGGATTTTTTTGATTGGAGCCTCCGATCACTGTTGCTTCTAGTTGACCATCTTGGCCCCGCCCCACCAGCTCCTGGTTTTTTATACCTTATAGCCAGTCAGCAAAACCATGCGAGCTCTACCTTCAAAATATATTCAGAAGTTGAACCCTTCTCTTTCCCTCTATTGAAACCACTCAGGCCCAAGCTGCCATCTTCTCTGGTTCACTTTATTGCAATAGCATCCTAACTAGACTCACTATTTCCATTCTTCCCCCAAACCACTTCAGTATAGTTTCAGTATAGCAGGCAGAATGGATCTTTCAAAATGTGTCATGTTTTTTCCATCACTGACACTTTCCACAGGCTCTTCATCTCATTCAAACTAAAAGTCAGTCTTTACAAGGGTCTAGAATGCCCTCCATGCTCTAGTCCCTTGTTGCCTATCTGACTTCGTTTGCTATCATTCTCCTCACTCCCCTCTGCTGTTCTGCAAACAAGCTGGCCATGTGACTTACTCAGGGCCTCAGCAAGTGCTTTTCACTCTGCCTACAATTCTCTTTCCTCAGATATTCACGGGGTTTTCTCCTCCCTTCAGTTATGTTTTTACTCAAATATTATTTTCTCAGGGAGTCCTTCCCTGGCCATCCTGTTTAAAACTATCATCCTCCCCTCTCCTAAACTCCTAATTTTCCTTCCTGGCATTAATATTCCCAGTAGCACTTTTTACCAGCTAACATACTATATAAGTGACTTATTTACTTCACTTATTGATTGATTATCTGCCTAGATGGGGGACAATCCAATCCTACATTGGGCATTGGAAAATAAACTCTCACAAGGGCAAAGATATAGGAATCTTTGTTTATATCATGACTCCATTCCCAGTGTCTATCATAATGCCTGACATTTAGTGGATGCTTAAAAAATATTTGTTGAATCATAAAGGATGAATAAATTCTTTTTACTGTTCCTTGATGCCTCAGCAAAAATAATAATTATCAGTAAATGTTACTATTTATCGAGGATCTGACACTCAGGTGCTGTATGTACTTTATCTCACTTAATCATCCAAATATTCCTGCAATATAAACTGTATTATGTATATTTCACAGAGGAATAAAACTGCTAATAGACAGAATACAAGGTAGGAGGGAGGATAATAACAGCAAACAGTTACTGAACATGCACTACTAAGTGCTGGCTGCCATTCTAAGAGTTTATTATGCTGTCTCTCATTTAATACTCTTAAAGTGTTATTATTATTCCAATTTTGCAAATAAGAAAACTGAGTCATAGAGGTTTTGAATGACTTGATCAATGTCACACAACTGGTTAAAAATGGCCCTAGGAGTCACACCCAAGCATCAGACTTCAAGGCTCAGGCTCACATTTACCTATGTAACAAACCTACACATGTACCCCTGAACTTAAAATGAAAGTTGAAAATTAAAAAAAATTAAAAAATGAAGAGTTACATTTTGGCCATGCAGGATGTAGGATGCTTATGACACATCCAAGGGGAAATGTAAAGAAAACAGTTGACTATGCAAGTCTGCAGCTCAGGGAAAAAAGTCTAGACTAGAAATACCAGTTTGGAAGCCATGAGCATAAAGTTGATATTTAAAGCAATGAGAATGGATGTAATCATGGCTCCTTGTGTGTCTGTGCTATGCACAGATATATTGCAGCAAAGGTTGACTGGAGAAAGAAATAATACATCCCAAATGTATAAATAAAGCTTTCCTTGGAGATGAGCATAGTCCCAGCCTGTAGGTGATATTCTGGTTACTCCATGCTGAATTGGGTATAGATCCTCTTTCTGTCAACATTGAAGAGCACCTCTCTTTCTTTCTAACCCTCTCTTGGGACCACGAGTTTGAATTATCTGCATTACAGTTCTGTCAAAAACCCAGAGGAAGTTGTTGATATTTGAGAGTGCCAGTTTTACGGAATTCCTCCAAAATTTCAAAGCTTTATCCTCCTTTCATACCAGCGCACCAGGAAGCTACAGACCTGGTCTCTATCACTCTGCTCCCAGTGGAACTGCCTTTACAAAACTATAGCTTAACATTATGCATTTGGATTTTCCTGAGGGCCCACATAATAGATACCATATGTAAAATATCAGTACTTTTCTTAGGTAAAACTCTTGTTAGGTATATTATCCATTGTGTCATACAAGTTCCCTTAAGCAAAGACTTAGGCAACAATTTTTTCTTAGAGTTCTGAAATTTAAAAAACAAGTTTTCTCTCTTTATAGGCTAGTCTACTTCCTTTTGTGAGCAGCTGAAGGTCCTCTAGGCCATGATTTGTC
Organism: Homo sapiens; assembly: GCF_000001405.40. Classification (NCBI taxonomy): domain Eukaryota; kingdom Metazoa; phylum Chordata; class Mammalia; order Primates; family Hominidae; genus Homo; species Homo sapiens. Next base: position 149,232,888 of record NC_000023.11, read on the forward strand.
CATCTTTGCCTTGTCTTGTAGGAACTTCAGGGTTAAATCCTTGCTTATCTTTAACAGTTTCTCTTCATCTGCATCAGGAGTCATAATCTGGGGTGCAAATGATGCCTACTGATGAATTGTGTACAGCTGGCTTTGTGTTTAAAAAAACTGCACTCATGTGTCACATAATATTTTGGTTAACAATGGACCACATATAAGACAGTGGTTTTATAAGGTTATAATAGCATATTTTTACTGTACCTTTTCTATATTTGGATACATTTAGATACACAAATATTTACCATACTGTTACAGTCGCCTACAGTATTCAGTACAGTAAAATAGTATACAGGATTGTAGTCTATGAGCTATGCTATTCCCATCAAACTACCATTGACGTTCTTCACATAATTAGAAAAAAACTGCTTTAAACTTCATATGGAGCCAAAAAGATCCCACACAGCTAAGACAGTCCTAAGCAAAAAAGACAAAGCAGGAGGCATCACGCTACCTGACTTTAAATGATGCTACAAGGCTACAGTAATGAAAACAGCATGGTGCTGGTACCAAAACAGACATATAGACTCATGGAGCAGAACAGAGACCTCAGAAATAAGACCACACATCTACAACCATCTGATCTTTGACAAACCTGACAAAAAAAAGCAATGAGGAAAGGATTCCCTATTTAATAAATGGTGCTGGAAAACTGGCTAGCCATCTGCAGAAAACTGAAACTGGACCCCCTTCCTTACATCTTATACAAAAATTAACTCAAGATGGATTAAAGGCTTAAATGTAAAATCCAAAACCAGAAAAACCCTAGAAGAAAACCTAGGCAATACCATTCAATTCATAGGCATGGACAAAAATTTTATGATGAAATCACCAAAAGCAGTTGCAACAAAAGCTAAAATTAACAAATGGGATCTAATTAAAGAACTTCTGCACAGCAAAAGAAACTATCAGAACAAACAGGCAACCTACAGAATGGGAGAAAACTTTTACAATCTATCCATCTCACAAAGGCCTAATACCAGAATTTACAAGGAACTTAAACAAATTTACAAGAAAAGAAAACATCAAAAAGTGCGCAAAGGATATGGACAGACACTTCTCAAAAGAAGGCATTTATGCGGCCAACAAACATGAAAAAAAGCTCAACATCACTGATCATTAGAGGAATGCAAATCAAAACCACAATGAGATACCATCTCATGCCAGTCAGAATGGCTATTATTAAAAAGTCAAAGAACAACAGATGCTGGCAAGACTGTAGAGAATTAGGGAACGCTTTTACATTTTTTGGTGGGAATGTAAATTAGTTCAACCATTTTGGAAGATAGTGTGGTGATTCTTCAAGGATCTATAACCAGAAATATCATTTGACCCAGCAATCTCATTACTGGATATAAACCCAGAGAAATATAAATCATTCTATTATAAAGACACATGCACATGTATCTTTATTGCAGCACTATTCATAATAGCAAAGACATGGAACCAACCCAAATGCCCACCAATAATTGACTGAATAAAGAAAATGTGGTACATATACACTATGGACTACTATGCAGCCACAAAAAGGAACGAGATCATACCTTTTGCAGGGACATGGATGAAACTGGAAGCCATGATCCTCAGCAAACTAACACAGGAACAGAAAACCAAACACTGCATGTGCTCACTCATAAGTGGGAGTCGAAAAATGAAAACACAAGGACACAGGGAGGGGAACAACACACACCAGGACCTGTGGGGGGTGGTGAGGGGAGGGAGAGAAGGACAAATAGCTAATGCATGCAGGGCTTAAAACCTACGTGACAGGTTGATAGGTGCAGCAAACCACCATGGCTCACGTATACCTATGTAACAAACCCAACCTGCACATTCCGCACGTGTATCCCAGAATTTATAGTAAAAGAAAACTTAAAAAAAAAAAAAAAAAAAGCAGAAGTCAAGGATGATTTGAAATGTTGGAATCGGAAAGAACTGGTCCCAAATCCAGCTGCTGTGTTTGAATCCAAGTGGCAAATTACAGTCACTGCAGCAGGGGCCCAAAAGCACCTAGAACTCTGAGAGGGGTAAGTCTTCCCCATTTGGAACAGCTTTGGTCCCAAGAGGGTGGGGAATTAAACAAGAAATCAATAATACAAAGACATCAGGAAAACCTACAAATTTAGAAAAAAATGCAATTTAAAATATTCCATAAACCAAAGAAAAAGTCTCAGTAAAGTGTTAAAAATATATTTAACTGAATAAAAATGCAAATACAACATATAAAAATCTGTGGGATGCAGCCAAAGGTGCACATAAAGTATACAGCGCTGATTATTTTAGAAAATAAGAAAGATCTCAAATAAGCTTGCACTTCAAGATACGGATGTGACCAACAAACATATGAAAAAAAGCTCAACATCATTGATTATTAGAGAAATGCAAATCAAAACCACAATGAGATACCATCTCACTCCAGTCAGCATGGAGATTATTAAAAAGTCAAGAAACAACAGATGCTGGCAAGGCTCTGGAGAAATAGGAACACTTTTACACTGTTGATGGGAATGTAAATTAGTTTGACCATTGTGGAAGACAGTGTGGTGATTCCTCAAAGATCTAGAACAAGAAATACCGTTTGACCACGCAATCCCATTACTGGGTATACACCCAAAGGAATATAAATCATTCTGTTATAAAGATGCATACATGTGTATGTTCCTCACAGCACTATTCACAATAACAAAGACACGGAATCAACCCAAATGTCCATAAATGATAGACTTGATGAAGAAAATGTGGTACAGATACACCATGGAATACTATGCAGCCATAAAAAGCAATGAGATCATGCCCTTTGCAAGGACATAGATGGTGCTAGAAGCCATTATCCTCAGCAAACCAACGCAGGAACAGAAAACCAAACACTGCATGTTCTCATTTACAAGTGGGAGCCGAGCAATAAGAACACATGGACACAGGAAAAGGAACAACACACACTGGGGCCTGTTGGGGTGGGGATGCAGTTGGGGGGCTGAGCATCAGGATAAATAGCTAATGCATGCAGGGCTTAATACTTAGGTGATGGGTTGATAGGTGCAGCAAACCACCGTGGCATACATTTACCTGTGTAACAATCCTGCACGCCCTGCACATGTATCCTGGAAATTAAAATAAAATAAAATTTTTAAAAGATATGAAAAAAGCAAAAGCAAGCGGAAGAAAGAGGATAGTAAAAATAAGAGCGTAAATCAATGAAATTTAAAACTAACAATAGAAAAAAACAATGAAATAAAAAATTTAACAAAAATCAATAAAATTGATATCACCCACAGCAAGACTTATTAAAAAAAAAAGAGAGAAGACACAAATTAATATCAGAAATAAAATGGGGAATATCCCTAGAAACCCTACAAACAATAAAAGTAAGGGAATCATATGAACAACTCTATTTATATATATTTGGCAATTTAGATTAAATGGACCAGTTCCTTGAAAACCACAAGCTAACAAAACTTATTAAAAAGAAATGCATAAATCTATATAGTACTATAGTTAATAAAGAAATTGAATCTGTAGTTTAAAACTTTCAAAAAAGAAATGAAAAATTTATTAGCGAATTCTATTAAGCACTCATACAAGATATAACACCCATTTTACATAATCTCTTCCCAAAATTAGAAGAGGAGGAAACACTTCCTGATTCATTTTATGAGCCATTATGTCTGCGATACCAAAGTCAGACAAACTAATTATAAGAAAAGTACAGACCAATACTCCTCATGAATGCAAAGTTCTTCAACAAAATATTAGCAAATAAAATTCAGCAATATGTAAAAAGAATTATATGTAAAAGGAATAATAATAAAGAAATTATAACATTGGTTCTATATTCAATCAATGAATGTAATCCATCATATTAACAGTATAAAGAAGAAAACGTAATCCTAACAACAGACGCAGAAGAAGCATTTGACATAATGTAATATACATTTACAAGAAACACTTCCTCAACTGATAAGGGCATCTATCAAAAAGCCTACAGCTAGCATAATGTTTAATGGTGAAAGACTAAACGCTTTTCCCTTAAGATTTAAAACAAGGCTAGAATGTCTACTTTCACCACTCCTATTCAATATCTTACTGAAAGTCTTAGTGCAATAAAGAAGGAAAAAGAACTAAGAACCATACAGATTGGGAAGGAAGAAATAATATCATCCCTATTTTATTTGGCATGATTGCTTATGTAGAGCATCCTAAGGTATCTACAGAAATCTCCTAGAACTAATAAGTGAGTTAATCAAAGTCACAGGATAGAATATCAACACACAAAAATCCAACATATTTCTAAATACTAGCAATGAAGATTTGGAGACCACAATTTTTTTAAATGCCATTTACAATAGCTAAAAAATATGTAGGTATAAATGTAGCAAAACATGTATAGAATGCGTATGCTTAAAATTACAAAACATTGACGGAAAACAAGACAACCGAAAGAAATGGAGAGACAAACTATGTTTACAGATTGGAAGACTCAACATATTAACAATATTTCCCAAAATTTTTCTATATATTTAATAAAATTCTAACTAAAATCCCAGCAGGATTTTTAATAGATACAGACAAGGTAACTCTAAAATTTATGTGGAAAAGAAAAGGAACCCAAATAGTGAAAACAATTTAAAAGAATAATGTTGAAAGACACACTATGCAGTTTTACAACCTATTATCTGCATATAGCTACAGTAATAAATACAGTGTGATATTGGTAGACATACAGATCGATGGAACAGAATTATGTCCAGAAAATGATCCACACAAATAAGTTCAATTGATTTTTGACAGAGGAAAGATAGTCTTTTCAAAAAATGGTTTTACAAAATTTGAACATGTATAGGAAAAACAAACATCTTATTTTACCTAACTTCACACCTTATAAAAATTAAATGGATCATCAATCTAAATGTAAAACATGATATTGTGAAAGATTTACAAGAAAACACAGGAGAAAAATTCTGTAAGCTTAAGTTATGCAATGATTTCTTAGACATGACCAATGGACTGATGCATAGAAGAAAAATTGATAAATTGGACTTCAGCAAAATGAAAAATTTTGCTGTGCGATACACTGTAAGAAAATGCAAATACAATCTAAAGACTTGTGAAAATATGTTTCAAATTATATATCTGATAAAGGACTTGTACTGAACATGTAAAGAGACTCAACAATAGTTCAACAATAAGAAAACAATGCAATTAGAAAATGGGTTAGAGACCTGAAGAGAAACTTTACCAAAGAGGATATATGAAAGATGAATGTGCATATGAAAACATGTTCAGCGTCGCTAGCTATCAGGGAAATGCAAATTAAAACCACAATGATATATCACTACAAACCTATGAGAAAGGCTAAAATAAAAAATACTGACAAAGTGTCAGTGAGCAACTGGAATTCATATACATTGTTGGTGGGAATTCAAAATGGTACAGCCACTCTGGAAAACAGGTTGTTTTGTTATAAAGTTAAACATGCACTAAGCATATAACCCAGCTATAGCTCTCTTGAACATTTTTCCCCAGAGATATTAAAACTTATATCCACACAAAAACATATGTATCTATGCTCAGAGCAGCTTATTTACAATAGCCCCATATTGGAAACAACTCAAATGTCCCTCAATAGGAGAATAGATCAACAAACTATGATACATGTGTACAATGGAATAGTACTCAGCAATAAAAAATAAATTGTCATAGGTATCAACTTGGATGAATCTAAAAGGCATTATGCTGAGTCAAAAGGCTAGTCTCAAGTTGTATTCTATATTATCCACTTATATAACAGTCTCCAAAAGGTAAAACTGTAGTGGTGAAGAACAATATATGTGTGTAAAATTCTAGACTCCTATTCTGTTACATTGAACTATGTGTCTGTACTTAGTGTTGGATTATGAGCGTCTCAAAGGAAACAGCCATATCACATTCACCTTTGAACTCCCAATACCTTGCACATAGTAGACTCTCTCTAAAGGTTGCTGATGAAAGAATGCTGACTTTGAAATTTCACATATGGAAATACAGGTGGGCAAATTCAGAAATAGAACCCAAGTCATGGCCTTTCACATCTGTACACCTCCATCTACCAATACTGAGAAATAGCAACTACTCCAGCATATCTTCTTTAAGAATAATCACTCTCAGCTCTCCCTCATTATAACTGCTGTGCACAACAGCCAAGCTAAAGGATAGGCCATCACAGAAGTAGCCTTGCTCTAAGTAATTCCAAATCTTGATGAGCTAAGTTTTTGCTCAGATGATGAGGGGGACTTTCATTTGTTCATCAGTCTCCTTGGCTGGGAAATTTATGGTAATTGACACGGTACCCTCAATTATACTGCAAATATTTTTTTAAAGAACTGCCAGTGAAATTTTTCAGATGGGTCTTTCATTATCTCAGATTCTGACAATTTCAGGCCAAATCCTTAGCATAATTTTATAGAAGTCACAGAGTGTCAATTTTGTGAGTCTCGGCAAGTCATGTGTTATTTTTTTTATTGGCTTAGAAGTTGGTACGTTTTATGCTTTTGTAGTTTCGAGGCCAGAATACAGCAGCTGTCCATTTGCTCATGTTTATAAGGTTGGTAGCTGATGGTTACACCCATATATGCCATCAACATTTGTGGAGACTGTGGCAATCAGATATGGCCACATTATTCCATGTTGGCCAAACTTCATTCAACCATCCAAACCAATTATATGCCTAATAAATTAAAATAGGCCCTGATTCTAGTCTTGTTTGTTATAAACACATTCAAATAATCTTAAGGCAAATCACACAAAATAAATGAATTCAGCAAAAACAAATCCTTTTGCAAATTAACATTACACATTTATCATTTACCCATGCAGATAGCTAATCCTGCAAACCACTGTCTCCATGGAAGCACCTATCAAAGCTCGTACTCTCTGCTGCATATATTTCACATGGAAATCCCACACTTTCACATTCAGTCTATGATCAGAGGCTCATGTGTCTGAAGCTTCATAGTGTCTCTCAGTCCATGCATCCAAGCTGGCTGGGTCACTGCTCTGGGACAGTATCCTGCATGCCAAATGATAAAATTAGTGAATTTAAATAAATAGAAACTACAGAAATTCTCAGGTTGTTTGTCAACTTTGTGTAGGTCACCTGCTGTTGCTTTGCAGGTATCTTTAGTTTGGTAGTTCTCAGTGTGAGCTGCACATTAGAATTACTTGAGGAGCTTTTTAAACACATCAATGGCCAGAATTTACACCAGAACAGTTAACTTTGAATCTCTGGAAGTGAGACTGGGCACTGATATAGTAAAAACTTTCCAGGTGTTTCCAATGTGCTGCTATAGTTGAGAAGTGCTTCTCTGGATGAACCACAGTTACAGACACTCCCATACAGTCATTGTGGACCTTGCTGCAACTCAAATTTCATTTTTAATATTCATATGCCAGAACGATTTGGTAAAAAATGAATTTTCACCTGGGAGTAGTTTGTCCTTCCAAAGGAATCTCTATTGGTAGAATTCTTGAGGGAGGAAGAAAAATTTGCAGTCCCCCAAGTTGTACATCTTCTTAGGGATAGTTTTACTTCCTTCACTACAGATGTTTGGGTAGCTCTGAGCTGTGACATAAGTTCACTATGCCTACTGATAAGAGTGGCAAGGGGATGAAAGTCTTCCTCCAAGCTGTATTCTCAAAATGGTGTCCTTAGGGAGCCTTACAGAACAAGTCCTGTACCACACCAGGGCTGAAAAGTCAGCTGATATTTTGTCCCAGTCTCTTTAAATGACCTTAATTTACTAAGACAAACGTACCTTAGAAGCATGTAAAATATCTATAATAATATAGATAATATATAATATTATAGATAATAAAATATCTATAATAAAATATAAAGATATATTCCATGTTCACAAGTGGGAATAATTAATATTGTTCAAATGTCCATACTGTCAAAAATAATCTACAGATTCAATGCAATCTCTATCAAAATTCTAGTTACATTTTTCACAGAAATAAAAAACGTCCTAAAACTCATATGGTAGCCCAAAAGATCCCAAATAACCAAAGCAATCTTGAGAAGAAAGAACAAAGCCATCGGACTGCCTGATTTCAAAATCTACTACCAAGCTATAACAACCAAAACAGCGTGCTACTGGTATAAGAATAGAAACATAGACCAAGGGAACAGACTAGAGAACCCAGAAATAAATCAACCCATTTACGGTCAATTGATTTTCAATGAGGATGCCAAGAACACACAATAGAGAAAGGACAGCCTCTTCAATAAATAGTGCTGGAAAAACTGGATATTCACATGCTGAAGAATAAAATTAGACTCTCATCCTATCCCATATACAAAATTAAACTCAAAATGTATTAAAGACTTAAACACAAGATATGAAACTGTAAAACTACTAGAAGAAAACATAGGGAAAAGCTTCATGACATTGTTCTGGGCAACGATATTATGGCTAAGGACAGAAAAGCACAGACAACCAAAGCGAAAACTGGCAAATGAGTTTACATCAAGTTAAAATAAAAAGCTTCTGCACAGCAAAGGAAATAATCAACAGACTGAAGAGACAACCTACAGAATGGGAGAAAATATTTGCAAACCATGCATCTGATACAGAGTTAATATCCAAAATATATAAGGAACTCAAACAACTCAATAGTAAGAAAGTAAGTAGCCAGATTAAAAAAATGGGCAAAGAACCCAAATAGACATTTCTCAAAAGAATACATACAAATGGCCAGCAGACATATGAAAAAATGCTCAACATTATTAATCATGAGGGAAATACTAATTTAACAACAAGGAGATATCACCACATACCTGTTAAAATGACTACTATCAAAAGACAAAAGATGAGAATTGTTGGTGAGGATGTGGAGAAAAGGGAATCCTGGGACACTGTTGGTGGGAATGTAAAGACATTATGTAGTATAGTACAGAGCTTCATCAGAAAACCAAAACTAGAACTACCATGATCCATCAATCCTTCTTCTGAGTATATACCCAAAGGAAATTAAATCAGTATGTTGAAGAGATAGCTTGTATTCTCACGTTCATTGTAGCATTATTCACAATAGTCAAGATATGGAGTCAACCTAAGTATCCATCAATGAATGAATGAATGAATGAATGAATGAATACAGAAAATGCAATACACTGCATAAATATAAAATAGAATACTATTATCCCTTTTAAAAGAAGAAAATCCTGTCATTTGGGACAACATGAATAAGCCTGGTAATAAATTTATAATAATAGCTAACGTATTATTGAATATGACTATTAATTTATTTAATATTTATAACTCCTTATTTCCCCCATTTTGTGGGTTGTCTTTTCACTTTCTTATTTTTTTAAGATTGGAGAGTTGCCTTTTATTTTTAAAGATCGGTGATTCACCTTTTATTTTTAATTTTTGGTGGTACGTGGTAGGTATATATTAATGGGGTACATGAGATATATTAATACAGGAATACAATGTGTAATAATTACATCAGGGTAAATGGTATAAGTATCACATCAAGAATTTACCCTTTCTTTGTGTTACAAACAATCCAATTTTAGTTATTTTAAAAGGTACAATAAATTACTGTTGGCTGTAGTCACCATGTTGTGCTCTTAAGTAATAGATCTTATTCATTCTATCTAACAATAATTTTGTACCTATTAATCATCCCCTTTCCCCATCCCCCCGATACTACCCTTCCCATCCTCTGGTAACCATCATCGTACTCTCTATCTCCATGAGTTAAATTGTCTTAACATTTTTAGCAATGATAAATAAGTGAGAACAGGCAAAGTTTGTATTTCTGTGCCTGGCTTATTTCATTTAACATAATCACCTTCAGCTGTGTCCATGTTGCTGCAAATTACAAGATCTCATTCTTTTCCATGGCTGAATAGTACTCCATTGTGTATATGTACCACATTTTCTTCGTCCATTTGCCTGTTGATGGACACTTAGGTTGCTTCTAAATCTTGGCTATTGTGAATAGTGCAGCAATAAACATGGGAGTGCAGATAGCTCTTCAATATACTGATTTCCTTTCTTTGGGTATATACCTAGCAGTGGAATTGCCAGATCATATGGTAGTTTTTTAGTTTTTTGAGGAACCTCCAAACTGTTCTCCATAGTAGTTGTATTAATTTACCTTCCCACCAACAGTGTACGAGGGCTCCCTTTCCTCCACATTCTTGCCAGCATTCATTATTGCGTGTATTTTGGATAAAGCTATTCCAACTGGGGCAAGATGATAGCTCAATGTAGTATTGATTTACATTTCTCTGATTATCAATGATGTTGAGTACATTTTCCTATGCCTCTTTTCATAGGAAACAGGCATAGAATATTTGTATGTCTTCTTTTGAGTAATGTCTATTTAGATCTTTTGTTCATTTTTAAACCAGATTATTAGTTTTTTTTCTGATCGAGTTAATATATTCCAGTTATTAATGACTTGTCAGGTGGGTAGCTTGTAAATATTTTCTCCCATTCTGTATGTTGTCTTTTCACTTCGTTAATTATTTATTTTGCTGTGCAGAAGGTTTTTAGCTTGATATTATCCTGTTTGTCCATTTTTGCTTTGGTTCCCTGTGCTTTTGGGGTATTACTCAAGAAGTCTTTGATCATTCCACATGTCCTGGAGAGTGTTCTCGATGTTTTCTTGTAGTAGTTTCATAGTTTAAAGTTTCAGATTTAAGCATGTAGTCCATCTTGATTTCATTGTGGAATATGGTAAGAGATAGGAGTATAATCTCATTCTTTTGCATATGGCTATCCAGTTTTCTCAGCATCATTTAATGAAGAGACTGTCCTTTCTGCAATGTGTGTTCTTGGAGCCTTTGTCAAAAAGAAGTCACTATGGATGTACAGATTTATTTCTGGGTTCTCTGTTATGTTCCGTTGGTCTGTGTGTCTGTTTTTATGACAGTACCATGCTGTTTTGATTACTATACCTCTGTAATATTATTTGAATTCAGGTAATGTGATGCCTTTAATTTTGTTATTTTTGCTCAGTACGACTTTGGCTATTCAGGGATTTTGTGGTTTGATATAAATTTTAGAATTATTTGTCTATTTCTGGGATGAATGTCATTGGTATTCTGATAGAGATTGCATTGAATCTGTACACTATTCTGGATAGTATGAACATTTTGACAATATTAATTCTTCCAATCTATGAAAATGAAATATCATTCCATTTTTTGGCGTCCTCTTCAATTTCTTGCATCCACGTTTTATAGTTTTCTCTGTAGAGATTTTTTTTTTTTTAGATGGAATTTCGCTCTTGTCACCCAGGCTGGAGTGCAGTGGTGCAATCTCGGCTCACTGCAACCTCCACCTCCTGGGTTGAAGCGATTCTCCTGCCTCAGCCTCCAGAGTAGCTGGGACTACAGGCGCCCGCCACCACGCCTGGCTAATTTTTGTATTATTAGTAGAGACGGGGTTTCACTATGTTGGCCAAGATGTTCTCAATCTCCTGACCTTGTGATCTGCCCGCCGCGGCCTCCCAAAGTACTGGAATTACAGGTGTGAGCCACCACACCCGGCCCATTGTAGAGATGTTTTTGCATCTTGTGGTTAAGTTTATTCCTAGGTATTTTATTTTATATGTAGCTATTATAAATACCATTACTTTCCTGATTTCTTTTTCAGATTGTTTGCTGTTGGCATATAGATATGCTACCAATTTTGTAAGTTTATTTTGTATGCTGCAACATTACTGAAAATGTTTATCAATCCTAATAGTTTTTTGGTGGAGTCTTTAGGTTTTCCAAATAAAGATCATAACATCTGCAAAAAAGGGTAATTTGACTTCTTCCTTTTCAATTCGTATGTGCTTTATTTCTTTCTCTTGCCTGATTGCTTTAACTAGAACTTCCAGTAGTATGTTGAACAACAGTGGTGAAAATGGGCTTCCTTGTCATGTTCCAGATCTAAGAGGAAAGGCTTTTGTATTATTATTCTTGATCTTTGGGAGTTCGATTATTTAATGTCTCTGAGGTAGTGTTCTTTTGGTTAAATCTGCTTGATGTTCTATAACCTTCTTCTACCTGAATATTGATAGCTACCATAGGTTTGCAAAGCTGTTATTATTCCTTTGAATAAACTTCATACCCTAATCTTTCTCTCTCCACTTCCTCTTTAAGACCAATAACTCTTAGATTTGCCCTTTTGAGGCTATTTTCCAGATCTTGTAGGCATATTTCATAGGTTTATATTATTTTTTCTTTTGTTTTCTCTGACTTTATATTTTCAAATAGCCTGTCTCCAAGTTCCCTAATTCTTTCTTCTTGTTCAATTCTGCTGTTAAGAGATTCTGGATGTCAATTGCATTTCTCAGCTCCAGAATTTCTGCTCAATTCTTTTTAATTATTTAATCTATTTGTTAAATTTATTATAGGATTCTGAATTCCTTCTCTTTGTTATCTTGGGTTTCGTTGAGCTTCCTCAAATAGCTATTTTGAATTACATGTCCGAAAGGTCACATATCTCTGTCTCTCTGGGACTGATCACTGGTGCCTTATTTAGTTCTTTTGGTGAGGTCATGCTTTTCTGGATGGTCTTGATGCTTGTAGATGTTTGTCAGTGTCTGGGCATTGAAGAGTTAGGTATTTATTGTATCTTTCTCAGTCTGGACTTACTTGTACCAGTATTTTTTGAGAAAGCTTTCCAGGTATTTCTAGTGACTTGGGTGTGGTGATCTAAATCTATGTTAATTGCAGCCATGTCTGCTTCAGGGAACACCTCAAGCCCAGTAGTCCTGTGGCTCTTGCAGACTTATGGAGGTACTGCCTTGGTGGTCTTGGATAAGATCTGGGATCATTTCTTGGATTACCATGAAGAGACACTTGTTCTCTTCCCTTACTTTTCCCCAAACAAATGTAGTCTGTTTCTGCTTCCTGGAGCTTCCTGGAGCTGGAAGAGGGATGACACAATCATCCCCATGGCTACCACCTCTGGTAGTATGCTGGGTCAGACCTGAAGCCAGAATAGCCCAGGATCTCACCCAAAGCCCGAGTGACCACTGCCTGTCTACTGACTATGTTCACTCAAGGCCCAAGGACTCTACAATCAGAAGGTGGCAAATCCAGCCAGGCTTGTGTCCTTCCCTTCAGGGAAGCGAGTTCCCCCAGCCCCAGATGGGTCCAGATATGCTGTCCTGGAGCCAGAGCTTAGAGTTGGGGGCCTTCGGAATCTACCTGACCCGGTATTCTACTGCAGCTGAGCTGGTGCCCACGCCAGAAGACAAAGTCTTTTGCACTCTCCCCTCCCTTTTCTTCAAGCAGAGGAGTCTGTTCCTGGGCCACCACTGCCTCAGGCCCAACGCAAGTACTGCCTGATTACCACTGATGTTCACTTAAGGCCCAAGAGCACTTCAATTAGCTTGCAGTGAATGCTGCCAGACCTCACTGTCCCCCTTCAGGACAGTGGGCTCCCCTCTGGCCCAGGGAAGGTCCAGAAATACCATCCAGGAGCCAAGTCCTGGAATTGGTGACCCCAGGAACCCACTTGGTACTCTATTTCACTGTGGCCCAGCTGGTACCCAAGCTGCAAGACACAGTCTCTTTTACTCTTCCCTCCTCTTTTTCTCAGGCAGAAGGCATATCTCCCCCACCACAGCTGGGAATGTACTGGGTCACACCTGAATCCAGCACAGCTCTGAGTCTCATCCAAGGTCCATGGTGAATACTGCCTGGTACCACTGTTGATTATTCAGGGCCCAGGGGCCCTTTAGTTAGCAGATGATGGATTGTGCTAGGACTGGGCCCTTCCTTTCAAGGCAACAGGTTCCCTTCTGGCCCAGAATTTGTTTAGAAATGTAATCCCAGAGCTAGACCCTGGAATGGCAGCCTCAGTACTCTCCCTGGCATCATATTCTATTCTGGCTGAGCCGGTATCCAAGTTGCAAGTCAAAGCCCTCTTTATTCTCACCTCTCCTCTCCTCAAGCAGAGGGAAGTAGTCTCTCCTAGAGCTGTGAACTGAACTGCCTGGGGTTAGGGGAGGAGTGACACAAGTACTCCCTTGGCCTCGCTAGCTGGTGTCCCATGAAGTCATGTTCACCCCAAGTCCACTGGCTCCAAGCCCAGCATAGCACCAAGACTTGCCCAGAAATTGCAGTCCTTGTGGCCTAGACTGCCTTTCAAGTTTATTTAAGACTCCAGAGAACTTTAGCCTATGTTGGAGGAGCTTGCTGGAATCCAGGTTCCAACCACTGGGATGGACGATTTGCCTCTGGGTAGGGCTGGTCAAAAAGCTCTCTCCACGGTTGCTGGATGAGTTCTGTCTTTATTGTTTTCCACTGTGACAGAGCAGCACTGAGTTCCAATGCAATGTCCCACAGGTGCTACACTTGCCCTCCCCCAGGCACACAGATTCTCTGCACCATGTGGACCCTGCCAGGGGATGCGGGAGGAGTGGTGTTGGCAATTCAAGACTATCTTTCCTATCTTCTTCAGTGCCTCTTTCAGTGACATGCAGCTAAAACCAGGTATTGTGATCACTCACTTGACTTTTAGTCCTTATGAAGGTGCTTTTTGTGTGTAGATAGCCATTCAACTTGCTGTTCCTATGTGAAGGGACAGTCACTGGAGGCTTCTATTTGCCCATCTTGCTAGATCTCCTCTGAGCTTTGCCCTTCACTTTCTTGATACTATACTTTGAATTGTAAAAGTTTTGCTTTTGATGAAGCCCAATTTATCTATTTTTTATTTGGATGCTTGTGCTTTTGGTGTCATAGCTAAGAAATCATTGCCTAGTGCAAGGTCACAAACACTTATCCTTATATTTTCTTCTAAAAATTCTGTAGATTTAGCTCTTACATTTAGATGTTTGATGAATTTTGAGTTAATATTTGCATATGGTATGAAGTAAAGGTACACATTCGTTTGCCTGAGATATTTAGTTGTCCTAGAGCCATTTGTTGAAGTCAGAATCCCCCAAAACTTAAAGCTAATAGTCTACTGTTGACCAGAAGCCTTACAGATAACAAATATTAACAGTAAATTAACACATATTTTGTATATTATATGTATCATATACTTTATTCTTTGAAAGTAAGCTAGAGAAAAGAAAGCATTATTAAGAAAATTTATAAGAAGGAGAAAAACATTTACTAGTCTTTAAGTGGAAGTGGATTAACATAAAGGTCTTCATCCTAGCCAACTTCCTGTTGAGTAGGCTGAGGAGGAGGAAGAGGGGGTTGATCTTGCTGTCTCAGGGGTGGCATAAATGGAAGAAAATCTGTGTATAAGTGGAACCTTGAAGTTCAAATCCATGTTGTTCAACAGTCACATTTATATGCTTCTAGCTGCCATGCTCTCTCTCTCTCTGCCTGACTGTTCATCCTGTCTCCTGTGATGTGGGAATGAAGCATTGCCCTCCTGACTCGTTGTACTCTCCCTGTCCAGAAGCTGTAAGAAAAAAAAAAAAAATCTTTGAACTTACTTCCTTTTGTGGTGGTATATTGAATTTGTGCCTTCCATCTGATGAATCAGGGGCTGCCCCAGGTCAAATTTTCCCCAGAATGCCAGAGAGAACAAAAGGTCAGTCTCCCAGCTCCAGAGTGATGGTCATGCAGGCATAAACTGGACACGAGTCAGACAAGAGCCGCAAGGGCATCTGCCAGTATAAACAAGTTTCTCATGTGAGGGACCCCTTGGTTGCATGTTGAACAAGTAGGCATTAAGTCATTCACTAGGTAAAAAAAAATTATCTTATGAAAGGCACAATATAAACTCTAAAGCCCAGCTTCTCTTCATTTTCCATTAGGGCAGGGTTACTAGTTGCTCTGGTACTGGAACCCTAATTTAGCTGGAGGCTCTCAAAACACAGTATCACATTGTCTTGGTTTCTGGAAATTTGTAGTAAGTTTTGAAATCAGAATGTGTGAGTCCTTCAAATTTGTTTTTCTTTCTCAAGATTGTTTTGGGATTAAAGTTCCCTTACATTTCTATAAAAATTTTGGAATGAGCTTGTCCATTTCTGCAAAAGATGGCAGCTTGATAGGAATTGCATCAAACTAGTAAATTGATATGGGGAGTATTGTCATCTAATGCATATTAAGCATTCCAATCCATTAACACAGGCTGTCTTTCTATTTCTTTAGGTCTTATTTTTATTGTCAATTTCACTAGGCTATCTAATTGTGAACATACATTGCCAACATCTTCCTGATGGATTTACCCTTTATCATTATAAAATGTTCCTTTATCTTTACTAATAATTTATTTTTGTTAAAGTCTGTTGTCTCTGATATTATTATAGCCATTCCAACTCTCTCTTTTTATCATTTTCATGGTATATCTCCTTTCATCCTTTTATTTTTCATCGAGTTTGTATTTTTGAATTTAACATGAGTCTTCTGTAGACATGATACAGTTGGATCACATTTTTATCCATTATGTCAATCTCTTAATTGTAGAGCTTAATTCATTTACATGTAACATAACTACAGATAGAGAAGAACACAATTGTGCCATTTTGCTACATCTTTTATATATGCCATACCATTTGTTCTTAGTTTCCTCTATTACTAGAGGAAATTTGTGGTAAATAGATATTCTTTAGTGTACCATTTTAATTCCCTTGACACATTGTTTACTATATATTTTTCAGTTATTTTCTTGGTGTTTGCCCTGGGGGTTAAAAATAACACCTTAATTTAGAATAATCTTATTCAGATTAATACTCATTTAACTTCAATAGTATGCAAAAGCTTTGTACCTGCAGTTTCAAACTCCTACTTCCTGCTGTTATTGTGACAAGTTACTCTTTATACACTGAGTTCTCATAAACATAAATTTACAATTATTGCTGTGTGCAGTTGTCTTTTCAAATAACTAGAAAAAGAGGATTTACAAATTAAAAATTCATTTATACTGTCTTTTATATTTACCTATGTAGTTACCTCTACTGGTGTTCTTTTTTCCCACTTGTATTTGACTTACTGCTCTCTAGTCTCCTTTTATGTAAGCTTTAATGATTCCCCTTAGCATTTCTTACAGGGCAGATCTGTTAGCAATGAACTCTTCCCAGAATCTTTTTTTTTCTATGTTGAGATGTCTTAATTTCTCCTTCATTTTTGAAGGATAGTTTTCCCAGATGTAGAATTCCTGGGTGCAAGCATTTTTTTTTAATTTCAGCACCTTGACTATGCCATGTTACCATCTTCTGGCTGATGTGATCTCCAGTGAGAAATTAGCTGCTAATTTTATTGAGTATCCCTTGTAAGTGGTGATGAGTTATTTCTCTTGCTGCTTTCAAGATTCTATCTTTGCCTTTGAACAGTTTGGTTATGATATGTCTAGGTGTGGATCTCTTTGAGTTTATCCTTCTTATAGTTCATTGAACTTATCGGATTACAGATTAATAGTTTTGTATAAAATTTGGTAATTTTTCAGCCATTATTTTCTCCCATACTTCTTTTGCCACTTTGTCTCTCTCATTCTGGAACTTCCATTATACCTATGTTAGTACACTTGATGGTGTCTCACAGGTCTCAGATGGCCTTGCTCTTTTTCCTTCACTCATTTTTCTATTTCTAAAACAGGATAATTTCACTTGTTGAAACTTTACAAAGCACTTGTGGACATGCATTCCCCAGCCTTTCTTCCAAGGCTTTTTGGTTAATCTATTGTTTGCCCTGATTATTATGCATTGCCTCAAGCAGCAAAGACTAAAACTTTTGCCTATAAGTATTTTTGACAAATGCCCCCAGGGTAGCAACATGAGCAGTGGGGGAGTTCTGAGTCAGATGAAATAAAGAGAGGGCTTCTGGTTGGATCTTCCAGGGAACCACTAGATAAAATAATGACAATTCTTTGCAAATGAAATCTCTACTCCCTCCAGAACCAGTGATATGGGCTGTTATATTTAAGGATAACTCTGAGCTGGTTAGTGAGGAATAGTACTAGGGTAAATGAAAATACCATAAAGCTTGCTGTTCTTATTGAGATTCAGCAGTGCATTTTTTGAATAAGTGCCCCCATGGGTTGCTGCAAGACTTGGTTAACTTTCAGAGTTACAAAAAAGTTGACTCTGATAATTTTTGCCAGTTTTTTAAATTGACTTTTTTGGGGGGCAGATTTTTGGAGTTCCTTATTCCAGCATTTCACTGAGTTCACCTTTTATACCATTTTTGAGCATTTTCTGTGTTACAGACACAGAAATATCTGTCTTTATAATGACCTCATTTCATCCTTGTAATAGCACTTTAATGTGGGTATCATTCTGTTTTAATAGATAGAAATTTATGATAAAATGCTCTAAAATTGAATTATATTGATAGTTGTAAAACTCAGTAAACAAGAGAAATCATTGAATTGTACACTTAAAAATGCATAAGAAAACTGAGGCTCAGAGACATGAGATTACACTTGGAAGTAGCAGAACTGTATTAATCTGTTTTCACACTGCCAACAAAGACATACCCGAGACTGGGCAATTTATAAAGAAAAAGAGGTTTAATAAACTCACAGTTCCACATGGCTGGGGAGGCCTCACAACCATGGCAGAAGGTGAAAGGCACATCTTACATGGCAGTAGTCAAGAGAGAATGAAAGCCAAGCCAAAGGGTAAACCCCTTATAAAACCATTAGATCTCATGAGAACTCACTCACTACCACAAGAACAGTATGGGGGAAACAGTCCCCATCATTCAATTATCTCCCACCAGGTCCTTCCCACAACATGTGGGAATTATGGGAGCTAAACTGCAAGATGAAATTTGGGTGGAGACAGGGCCAAACCATATCATTCCACACCTGGCCCCTCCCAAATCTCATGTCTACACATTTCAAAACCAATCATGCCTTCCCAACAGTCCCCCAAAGTCTTAACTCATTTCACCATTAACTCAAAAGTCCACAGTCCAAAGTCTTATCTGAGACAAGGCAAGTCCCTCCCGCCTATGAGCACGTAAAATCCAAACCAAGTTAGTTACTTCCTAGATACGATTAGGTAAATACACCCATTCCAAATGAGAGAAATTGGCCAAAACCAGGGGTCTAAAGGCCCCATACAAGTACAAAATCCAGTGGGGCAGTCAAATCTTAAAGCTTCAAAATGATCTCCTTTGACTCCGTGTCTCAAATCCAGGTCACACTGATGCAAGAGGTGGGTTCCCATGGTCTTGGGCAGCTCCAGCCCTGTGGCATTGCAGGGTACAGCCTCCTTCCTGGCTGCTTTCACGGGCTGGAGTTGGGTGTCTGTGGCTTTTCCAGGCACACATGCAAGCTGTTGGTGGATCTACCATTCTGGGGTCTAGAGGACAGTGGCCCTCTTCTCACAGCTCCACTAGGCAATGTCCCAGTGGGGACTCTGTGTGGGGGCTTCAACCCCACATTTCCCTTCCTCAATGCCCTAGCTGAGGTTCTCCATGAGCGCCCTGCCCCTGGAGCAAGCTTCTGCCTGGAAATCGAGGCGTTTCCATACATACTCTGAAATCTAGGCAGAAGTTCCCAAACCTCAATTCTTGACTTCTGTGAACCTGCAGGCTCAACACCATGTGGAAGCTGCCAAGGCTTGGGGCTTGCACCCTCTGAAGCCATGCACCGAGCTGTACCTTGGTGCCTTTTAGCCATAACTAGAGCAGCTGGGATGGAGGGCACCAAGTCCCTAAGCTGCACACAGTGGAGAGCTCTGAGCCCACCCCAAGAAACTATTTTTTTCCTCCTAGGCCTTGGGGTCCATGATGAGAGGGGCTGCCTCAAAGGTCTTTGACGTGCCTTGGAGCCATTTTCCCCATTGTCTTAGCCATTAACATTTGTCTCTTGGTTACTTATGCAAATTTCTGCAGCCAGCTTGATTTTCATGAGTTTTTCTTATCTATTCCATGTCAGGCTGCAAATTTTCTGAACTTTTATTCTGTCTCCCTTTTAAAACTGAATGCTTTTAACAGCCCCCAAGTCACGTTTTGAATGCTTTGCTGCTTAGAAATTTCTTCCACCAAATACCCTAAATCATCTCTCTCAAGTTTAAAGTTCCACAAATCCCTAGGGGAGAGGCAAAATGCCACCAGTCTCTTTGCTAAAACATAGCAAGAGTGGCCTTTACTCCAGTTCCCAACAAGTTCCTCATCTCCATCTGAAATCACTTCAGCCTGGATTTCATTGTCCACATAATTATTAGCATTTTGGTCAAAGCCATTCAACAAGTCTCTAGGAAGTTCCAAACTTTCCCAAATTTTCCTGTCTTCTTCTGAGCCCTCCAAACTGTTCCAACCTCTGCCTGTTTACTCAGTTCCAAAGCTGTTTCCACATTTTTGGGTATCTTTACAGCAGTGCTCCACTCTATCAGTACCAATTTACTATATTATTCATTTTCACACTGCTGATAAAGACGTACCCGAGACTCAGGTAATTTATAAAGAAAAAAAGAGTTTAATGGACTTACATTTCCACATGGTTTGGGGGGCCTCACAATCATGGTGGAAGGCAAAAAGCTTGTCTTACATGGCAATAGGCAAGAGAGAATGAGAGCCAAGTGAAAGGGGAAACCCCTTATAAAACCATCAGCTCTCATGAGACTTATTCACTACCATGAGAACAGTATGGGGGAAACCACCCCCATGATTCAGTTATCTCCCACTGGTTTCCTCCCATAACATGTGGGAATTATGGGAGCTACAACTCAAGATGAGATTTGGGTGAGGACACATCCAAACCATATCATGAACCATAATCTAAATCCAGGTCTGTCTAAGTTAAAAAAAAAAGTTTTTCTACATCAGGTGGCCTCCTATGGTGGGGTCAAGCTGAAAGCTTGCTAAATCAGAATAAAGAAGATATAGGGAAATTGCTACCAGTTGAGGCTGGAAGTGAGCACCACAGATGGGCCCACATTCCCACAGGGAATAAGCACTTCCATAAGTTTTGTTCAAGTTATTATCAGATGAAATGTACAATAGGGAATGCATAAGTAAGGTGCAGCTGCACTAAGTTGCTCTGTGTTCTTTCCATGTGGCTATTACCCTGGCTTTCCAGGGATAAGTGTACTTTTTATAAAATTGATCTCTGTTTGTATGGAATTTTCTTTAAGGCCAAGTATAACATCTCTGACTTCACATAGAAAGATCTTGAAAGCCCTAGAAGATTTAAAGAAGAAAGTACTTTCTCAGAAAACCCTTCCTGACTTTCAGGCCAGGACAAACCCCTTCTTTATAGGCTGTTGAGGGTCTCTTAACCTTCCCTTTGGAGCACTTGTTATTATAATTTTACATGTATTAATATGACTACTGATTGTTTCCCTCATAAGACTTCAAGCTCCTTGAGAGTAGGTAAACTGACCCTCTTTTCACCTCTGTGCCAGTGTCTGACACAGAGAAGGTGCTCAGCAAATATTTGTGAATGAACTAACAGGAAACTTAGCTTCCTTCCTTTATACAGTCTGACCTTGAAATTAATCTCTTTTAAGAGGATAAAAGATTAAAAATATAGAGCATTGGTAAAAATAAATAAGATACAATATAGTAAAAAGAGACACAGAAGAAATAATCAAACCATTCTTATAGGAGTAGATCCAGGTCTTGCTGTGTCTAAATCTCATAGAATTTGAGGAACCCCTCTTTAAGAAAAAGAGTTTCTGCCAAAATACATAATTGCTAGGACCCCCACCCAGTCACAGACATGGGCACAAATTAAGGTCCCTTATTATCCGGGCAAAAGCAGCTGTAAGATTCTGCCAGGAAGCTCATGCAGAGTCCACAGATGAACCCCACCTGGAGCCAAGACTCCTGGCTGTGGGCTTGCCTAGCATAGAGGGAGCATTTGATCTCCAGCAGCCATAGAAAGGGTGTGCTGCTATCCCACTACCAAGTTTCCAGGCAGCTGGCAGTGCCACCTTCTCATCAATATCTCTGGGTTCCAAGTACCCTAGGTTGCCTACTATGATTAACCCCTGTTGTAGATTGCTCAGGAGAGTCTTTTCGTTTCCTGCTCCCTAGAGGCACAGAGAAGAGGATACAGGCCTTCCTTTTGGAGAGAGAGAGAGATAAGGTGAAAAGGAATATTGTAAAGACTAGCAGCCTCCTTGAGAACAGGGAGTGCACCAGAGACATCACCTCTGGCTATGCTGGCACAGAGTATGGACTCAGCTAATATCTGTGGCATCAAAGTGGACACAGTCTGACAAAAAGAGCCACCTTCCAGTCTTGTTTCAATCCCAGCCCTCCAGCCTAGTAGGAAGCTGCAGAGTTACTCAGTGTCTGCTTGGCAATCACCAACGGTTCCTTCCTTCTTAGACCAAAGCTGCATCTCTCTGGATTAACTGAGCCACAGAATACACAGGCCTTTTGCTATTACTTCAAAATAGTGTCCTTTTGCAGAAATCATGCCATCAATCCAATGGACATGCCTCCCTCTGCGAACAGTGAGGCCAGGGACAAATAAATGGCCAGTGCACATCATGAATCCCTCCGTGACAGGGCAGCTTGGAGAAAGGAATGGAGTTCAGCACATTTGTATAAAATAAAAACGGATGGGTTCTGTTCTGCAACAATCTGAATTTCAGCCACTCTGACATCTAAAAATGCCTTGCCCATCTTCTTCACTGTCAAATACTTTAGAGCTTGGGCTGCTTGTCAGGGCTTTTTAGTGGGAATATAAGCCTAAAAGGATACACTTTCAAAAGAATTCCTGCACCTTTCACTAACAGCAAGGCAACCAGATCTCCTAACTTCTGCAATTCAGGGCCCACCTGTAGACCAGCTTTATCATGCTCAGAAAAGGAAAAGAAGAACAAGGGCAATGGCCACTAGCAGGAGTGGAGCATCCAATTGCCAAGCCTTGAACTTGCTCCCCATTTGTCATTTCTCCATTTATGTAACAAATATTTGCTATAACCACAGTGACAGGCGACCCTGTGATCTCTCAGGAAGAGACCATATCTTGTTTCTTTTGTTGTAAATGATCATGAATTCAGGATGGAAAGAGATGTGGCCCTGGCCCTCAAGGAGATCACAAGATAGCAAGGAGACAGATAACTAACCCAATTAAAATAAATTATGACCAGTATGGTGATAAAGATAGGCACAGGTGCTATGCTAACACATAGAGAAAACCCCTAGTCTCCAGGGATGGTGCAAGGTTTCCTGAATGAAGTGACATCTAAGATGATATCATAGAAGTGAAGAGCACTAAGCCTGACAAAGGCGGAAGGGTGTTGCAGGTTATTCCATCAGGCTTAACCTGTGGTTAGAGTGGCCCCAAAAGCAGTAGCAGGGGTGTTTCTGCAAGGGATTGCCCCAAACAGGGCCAGTTGGGATTCCAAAGAAAGAAGGACTAAATGCCACAGAGATCCATCCAAAGCATTTATTAAGAGAATTTACATACAGAGTTCTGTATGTAAATTTGAGCAGTCCTCAAAATGGACAGTGAGCAGAAGGAGAATTTCCACCTAGGTAGTCTGCAACAAGGGGGTTGGGCTATGGAGTTTATGTGAGGCTTTAAGTATCTAGCTCAGGGGGAGGGGCTATTTTTTGTTTGTAGCAATATGTTTGATTTTTTAGTTTTTTGGACTGTAGCCTAAATAAGTTTATCAGTGTTTGGGAATATTCAAGAACCTGGCTTGTGTTCAAGCCTGCAGGGAAAAACATGTAGCTGGCCAGGTAGCATAGAGGTCAAGACAATCTGTGTTCCTTGATCAGGAACACAGCAGGGAGTACTACGGTACTCTACACAGACAAAGGGAAGTACAAGGCCAAAGGCTTAGAGATAAATAAGAACAGGACACATTGTGGGGACCTAAAGAAACTTAGGCTGGCTAAAGAATCCAATTTTGTCTGTCTGGCTAATGGCAAAGAAGCAAGATATGAGACTGGAGAAATAGGCAGGAGCCTGGTAATGAAACCATATTAAGAAGTTTGAATTACTATTGCAGTAATGGAGCTATTGAAAGGTTACAATCAATAAAGTAGCTGGTTAGTTTTCAATTCTGGAAATCCCTCTCTGGCTATAGAGTGAAAGGTTGAAGGAGGAGAGACTATCCATATGAAAGATGGTTTAAATAGTCCAAGAGATGATGGTTGCCTGAACTTAGGTGGAGACAGTAGGAATGGAGAAGAGTAGACAGATTCAAGAGGTATTTTCAGAGCTATATTCAATGGCACATGTAGGAAAAGAAACAGGGCTGGGTATTTCCATTCCCCAGGGCTTAAGTGAGAGACTGGAGACAGTGTCTAGAAGGGAAGGCAAGTTTAGATATGAGTCAAAAAATTGCTGCTACCAAGAGGTCCAAGGAGGCAAAAGCCAGGAGTAGGACTCCGAAGAGCAGGCCATCTTTCTGCCAGGGAAGCTATTGTCTGGGTAACCATTGAGGAGCAGGATCTAACTGATGGGAGATTGAGAGGGTCAAGAACTGGGTCCTCAAGGAATAGTTAGCTCCTGATAGCTAAGAAATAGGATCTAACACAAAATCTCACCATGCTGCTCCCATGCTATCTATTCCATTCAAGATAATCTCAAAAACAGAAGGAAGCCAGGGCCCAAAGTTTATATGCATCAGTAGCTTCAGTCATCATTGTGTGGGGTAGGGATTCTGGAAGGGCTCAGTTGGCAGATCCTGCTCCACATGGCATCAACTGGGCTCACTTGGTGGTGTCAGCTGACAGGTGGGCCAATTTGCAAAATTTGGGATGGCTTCAGCCACATGTCTGGTGCCCCAACTTCTGGGGATGGTTGGAAGTTTTCCACTCGGGGGGGATTATTGACCAGAATGCTTACACATGGCTTCAGGGTAGTTGGAGTTCATCCACAGCATCCCAGAGTTCCCAGAGAGGTGTCTCAAGATTCAGAAAATTGGTACCCATCACTGCCATTGTATTCTACTGGTCAAAGATCGTGTAGATATAGATTCCTCTTGATGGAAGGAATGCCAGCAACTTTGCATCCATCTTTAATTCACCATGAGACCTGAAAAGACATAAGGTAGGTAAGGTGCTTAGCATAGTGTCTGACACATAGTAAGCACACGATACAGGAATAGAATTTTTTGTAGCTAATGGCAAGGTTCAAGTGAAGAAAACCATGAATTGTAAGGTCTTTGCATAGTTCTCAAGCTACTGTGGCTCTTCACTAGTTAATATGATCCAATCCAGCGCCATATTCTGCTCTCAATCCCTTGAGCAGTTTGATAATTACATCTTCTGCATCTAAGTTTATTTTATTTTATTTTATTTTATTTTATTTATTTATTTTTTTGCTGAGAAGAAGAAACAAGGTTGTTGTAGACAGTGGAGTCCATGTGCAAAAATTAAAATCTGTGTGTCAGCGTGTCCTCAAAATCAGTGGACAGGAAGGAAGAGAAGCAAAAGCATGCAGGGCATGCCATGGCAAAAGATTTGGGCTGCTGAGAGCCCCTGATCCACAAAGCTGCCATTGCTTTTGGTCCCAGGATTTAGTGCCAGACTCACAGAGATGTCGTGAGACAGTGAGACCTCCTGGCAGTGGAAAAGGTCATGTACCACAGAACATGAGTACCCTCCTGAAACTACCTTCCTATCCAAATGCCTCCTTGAAAATCCCAACTCAATTGAAAAAGAAAAATCTGTCAGTCCTGATATATTAGAAAGACAATTCAAGCAGCTGCTATTTGTATTTTATTTTTAGACATCTTTAATTTTTCCTTCAGACTGATCACAATTTCTATAATATTATTTCTTCTTCTAGGTCAAACAACATCTGTTGTATAAAAAAAATAAACTAATTCACATTGTCGAGTTTACAACTTCCATTTTTATTGTGCTGCAGCAATATCATGTAGTTATTTTATTTCCCCTCAGAAGAAGTCGTTATGGTTGATGGTGTCAATCGACCATAGATTAAAGGGTCCCCAAACAGACTGTGGCACATTGTTGAGGCTTTTAGTGTCAATAATCCTTGAGTAGGCTCTGATATGATTAACTACAATAACTCTAAATGATCAATTCCTGTTTATTGTTAAAATGGAACTCTGCTTATGCCAAGGAATACCTTTCAGAAAGTTCCTTTCTACCACATTTGTGTTTCTTCCTGTCTTAGGATCTCCATTAAATAAGAAATCTGGGTGAAGTCACTTTTGCAGCTTGGTCCTAATCATGAGGAAGGGATGTTATTAAAAGAAGCAAATGAGCAAGTTTTTGACTAATGAGCAGGTTACTATAGCTAAAAATTACTGAAGAATTAACCCCCTGGCCTCCTTTCTGTTTGGTGCACATGCTGTTTGCTTCTTCGGCCTGGAAACCTCTTCCCCACCCCTTCCTTTAGCTAATGCCTACACATTCTTCAGATCTCAGCTCAACTGTCACTGTCATTTTAAATCCCCTCTCCCAGCAGAATAGGTAATATCCCCTTACTCTACATTCTTGCCACACCATGTACCTTTCTGCTGGCGCACTTACTACAGTTGCAATTTTGTTTAAATTTGTGAGATCATTCACTGAAATGTATACCTCTCCCACCAAACTAGAAGATATGAGTAGAGGCACCATGTCTAATTCGCTCATCATTATATCCCTAGCACCTGGCACAATACTTGGAATATAGTAATCATTCAATAAGTATTTGATGAGTCATCAAGCTAGCTCTGTTCCTGTATCTGGACAGGCAGCTCTAGCTGCTGTGGCATACAGCCCCAGAATCTCAGTGGATTAACACAATAAAGATTTATTTCTCATTCACATCAAAATATAACATAGATTGGACAGCTCTCATTGGAGGCTATTTTCCATGTGATTATCTAGGGATCTAGATTTCTTCCATCTAGTGATGCTGCAGTCTTCAACATATAACGAGCCCTACTTAAAGGCAGGTTCTGCAATCACAGATTCAACCAACTGCAGACAGAAAATATTCAGAAATAAAACAAATGAAAAATAACAATACAACAGTAAAAAATACAAACAGAAGAAAACAATACAGTATAACAACTATTTACATAGCATTCACATTGTGTTAGGTATTAAAAGTAATCTCAATATGATTTGAAGTATTGGTGAGGATATGTGTAGGTTATATGCAAGTACTATACCATTCTATATCACAGACTTGAGCACCCACGACTTTTGGTATCTGCAGAGGTCCTGGAACTCATCCCTGTGAATACTGAGGGATAGCTATATAGTGTGCACAATCTCTAAAGAAGGGAAAAAGAGAACATGGACAGTGGTATAAGGGATTCTATAGCCAGGCTTAGAAATGGCACACTCTTACTTGTGCTCACACTCCATCCAACCCGACCATAAGCAGGGTTAAGAAATGTAGTCTTTCTGTGTACCCAGGAAGAGAAAACAGGATTGGTGAATATCCAGTCCATCTTGGCCACATGCTGTTCCACAGCTTACCACATTTTACAACAATGAATACCAATGAGAAATCAACAAACCCCAAAATATTGTGCTCACTTTCTCTCCCTACTCTTATACCTTACCTTAGCCATCCTTGATTCTAATGATTCCAATTAGAGTTGAGGGCTTTAAATCAATGGTGTCTTGGTTAAATATTGTTTAAGAAGCAAGTAGATACTTAAAAAACTGAAAAACATAACCAACCCAGGTCAGCTCCCTCATCAAAACCCTCTAATAGCTTCCCATCACTTGTCACAGACATACAAGGTTTTCCATGCTTTGGTTCTTAATACCTTTCCAGAAGCAAGCAGGAGATTTGTTTAAGGTAACTTGTTTTATCTTGAATATTCATGCGGCTGGGTGTGGTGGCTCAAACCTGTAATCCCAGCACTTTGGGAGGCCAAGGCAGGTGGATCGCCTGACGTCAGGAGTTCAAGATGAGCCTGACCAACCTGGTGAAACCCCATCTTTACTAAATATATATATATATATATATATATATATATATATATATATAATAGCCTAGCATGATGGCACATGACTGTAATCCCAGCTACTTGGGAGGCTGAGGCAGGAGAATCCCTTGAACCCGGGAGGCCGAAGTTGCAGTGAGCCAAGATTGCGCCATTGCACTCCAGCCTGGACAACAGAGTGAAACGGTCTCATGAATAAATAAATAAACAAACAAACAAACAAATAAATATTCACGTGAAATTTTTCATTCTGCTCCAAAATATACTTATGGGTATTTAAATTTAAACTGGCTCCCTAGACATTTCTAAACACAGTGATTGTTCCAGGAAGATGTCCTGCCATTATTCAGGTTTTAGAATGTTGTCTGGCATGAGTGCAAAGGTTTAAGCAGCACAGCCCTTGAAGCCCTTAGAAAAAGACTGTTAAACTGACTCTACTAAAAAGAGCCCAGCAGAGATGCTCCTGCCTCGGACCCTGTCTTAGTTTGCTTGGGCTGCCCTGACAAAGTACCACAGGCTGTGTGGCTTAATCAATAGACATTTATTTCCTCATAGTCCTGGAGGCTGGAAATCTGAGATCAAGATGTCAGCAAGGTTGGTTCCTCTCCAAGCTTCTCTCCTTGGCTTGCAGATGGCCACCTTCTCCCTGTGTCCTCACATAGCCTTTCCTGTGTGTGTGTCTGTGTCCTAATCTGTTCTTCTTTTCAGGACATCAGTTGGATTGGATTAGGGCTTACCCATATGACCTCATTTTACCTCTTTAAAGGCCTATCTCCAAATACAGTTACAATCTGAAGCATAGGAGGTTAGGACTTCAATGTATGAATTTGAGGGGCACACGATTCAGCCCCTAACAAACTCCCAAGGTAATCTGAAGAATACTGCAAGAAAAGAAAACTTCCCCTATGAATTCATTGCAAGAAATAAATGGCCCATCCCTCAACATACATACATATCTACCCATGTTTTGGCAGTTTTAGATTCAGAGCATTTTGATTTAGGGAATTTTTGCATCTGTCTAGTGGCTGTAGAGGAGTTTTGCGCTTTGTGACACTGTTTTGTAGTTGGTTTTTCCATGGCTGCTCCACATCTAAAGCAATAAAAGGGATTTGAATTGCAATAATTTGCCTTCTCTCTGTCACTCACAGTGCCCTGACTTGGTTGCCAAGCTTTTGAGAAAAATCACAGTTATACACACACTTTCTGTGCTGATACCTGCCACCCCTCTATTTGCTTTCTGATAAATATGCCCTTTCCCTGGAATTCTACTCAAATGCCAGTCTGTGACTGACTCTGGTGCCTGTCTTTCCCGTGTGTTATATGACAGCCCTTCCTGCATAAGAAGCCCTGCCCCTTCAGAGAAATGTGCTCGGAACTCAGTCTCCTCACTCTTCCCCCAGCCAGCACTCAGCTGCTGAGCAGAAATGTGTTTTGGGAATGCCAGTGTGACAATTACACAGGTACCTAGGAGAACCAAAAGCTCTGGTCTCAGCTGCATGATGGCTTCAGGGAAATTAAGTGCAAGCTGTTTGGTGAATATTTCTCCTTAGGACATCATGAAATCCCAGAGGTGGGGATGCGTGGACAGTGCCTGCCTGTTTCTTTCCCCCTCCTCCCCCAAGCTTCTAGAAAGAAGAAAGAAAAAACTACAGCTTAGTATTTGATATTTTGAATTAATTAGAGCCCCAAATCCCACACCAGCCAGCAGGCTTCTTAATGAGGCCAATGTATTCATCTTGTTCAGGGATCATTACAGTGCCTCACAATGCCCTATGGGTTTCAAAGCACTACTGCGCGCCACTGCTTCATCTGGGATCCACAATCACCTTGGTAGGTGGTCAAGACAGAAGTCATCCTTTCCATTCCTAGATGAGCTTTCAGGGATGTAGAGTCACTTTTTCAAGGTCACATAACTAATAAGCAGTAGAAACTGGATTTGAACTCAGCTGGTCTGCTACCAGGTTCCATGCAGTTAACCACTGCTGTTCTACACTGCCTCTCCAGAAAGATGCACGGCTGCCTCATGACAGAGTTATTTAGGGATGCAGAAAAAAATACAGAGGTTCAGTAAAATTTGAATTTCAGATAAACAATTAATACGTTTTTTTGTATAAGTATGTCCCATAGTTATGCTTATCTCACAAATCACATGGAAAATACTTACATGTACTAAACATTTATTTGATGTTTACCTGAAATGTAAATTTAATTGGATATTCTGTTTTGTATTTGCTACATCAGCCAATACCATAGTCAGCACTATCCTAACAAGGCTGGCCAACCACCTGGCCTGACCAGCTCTACTCCAGCCATACCCATGCCTGCCTAATGCCACTTTCTTTTACTGACCCTGGCTTGAAGCTTACCAGCCATGCCTTCTCCATCCTCCTGACTTCACCTGCTTAATCTGTCCCCAAGCCCCAGACAGTCAGCATTAGCTTTGGTTCTCTCATCTGGCCCTTCCTTCCCACTCCCCTAAGCACCACTGTGATCCAGAAGCCTATTACCTCTCATCCAGATCATGACCAAAGTTCTTCTACCTTGCTGCATTCAACAGATGATTGGCAGACATTTTCTGACCAAAGCGCAGGACATTTATCTATTCAAAACTTGCTAAAGGCTCCCTAAGTTTCTTAGTGTGGCATTCAAAGCTTTTTGGTTGGGGTCCAACTTGACAATGCCACCTCCTCTCCCCACCCCTACCACAGTTGAGTGTGGATTATAAGCCTCAGTCACACTGAGGACCCCAGTTTCCCACTTTTGTTTGCTTCTGTCACTCCATTGACCTTGAATCTCACCTCCCTTGGCATCCTCAAGTCCAGTTTGACAACCACTGCCTCCAGGAAATATTTTATCCTTTCCACTCACACAGCCATAAGTGATTTTGCCTCTGGCTCAACTCTCACAGTGCTTCCTAACCCTTTTTGGTACATGCCATAATATCGTTCTTTTCTTGTTTTTGCCTATGTCTTAGCTCTTCTCTCCACTGTCTTACATTCCTAGAGGACAAGAGCTATTTTTGTGTTTTGTTTCTTCTCTAAAGGGCTTAGCACAGTTTCTGTCACATGATAGATGTTCCATAGAAATGTTTGGATATAAGTGAATGGCCTGATCCCAGAATCATTCTCTACTCAATGACACTTACTGTATGCCAACATTGGACCAAACATGGAATTAGAGTGATCACTAGGATCTGGGTCTTATCTTAAAGGCATACCATAAAAGCAAAACAACCTTAACTGGAATGAAACTAGACCACCCTGAAACCAATCTAAGATCAGTGTTTCTGCAAAAGAATCACACACCCAACTCCAGAATGATTTGAAGAATAGGGGAGGACTTCACTCAATAACCCTTGAGAAGGTTGGAGAGTGTATGCAGAGGTGAGGACAAAAGTACATCTTACAACATGCAGCAAAATATTCTCTAAGTCCTCTTCCAATTCTCCATCCCAAACCCACTCTTTGTGGTACCTACTTATTCCATCTATTTCTCTCCCTTCTCCCCTAATGTCAAAAAGCAGCTCTCATTTGGCCTCAATGGTGCTCCATCCTCAATCCAGCCCTCTCCTGGGATTTTGTGTGGTTTTGAAATATTGCTGCCTACTTTCTCATATTGAGCCATTGAGCCCTTCTCTTGGTTTCCATGGCTACATCCCCAGGCACTACCTGCACAACAGAGTACCTAGAGAGGCCAAGGAAAAAAAAATAATTTTTTCCCACCATAAATTGATGAGACACTCTGTGAGGGCCTTCGAAAGGTACAGGGAAAAAAAAGGCCCAGAAAGAAGAAAAGCAAAGAATGGGAAGGAAGACCTGAGGAGGGGGCCGGAAGCCTGTACTGCTCCTTCATCTTTGATGACATTTTCTCTTCCAAGTCCTCCTTGCAACTTGTAGTATGCTGTCTCTAAAGTGGCCTCTATGATGACACCCAATGGCCCCATCTCTTGGTATCAATGCCCTGTGTCATTCTCTCCTCTTAGGCTTGGGCTGGACCTAATGACTCACTTAAAACAAAACCAAAGATGGCAGAAGTGATGGGATATGACGTCTGAGATTAGGTTATTAAAAAACTCCAGTTTCCGAGGGCTCATTTCTGTTCCATCTGTTTTGTTACCAGTACCATGCTGTTTTGGTTACTATAGCCTTGTATTATAGTTTGAAGTCAGGTAGCATGATGCCTCCAGCTTTGCTCTTTTGGCTTAGGATTGTCTTGGCAATGCGGGCTCTTTTTTGGTTCCATATGAACTTTAAAGTAGTTTTTTTCCAATTCTGTGAAGAAAGTCATTGGTAGCTTGATGGGGATGGCATTAAATCTATAAACTACCTTGGGCAGTATGGCCATTTTCATGATATTGATTCTTCCTATCCACGAGCATGGAATGTTCTTCCATTTGTTTGTGTCCTCTTTTATTTCATTCAGCAGTGGTTTGGAGTTCTCCTTGAAGAGGTCCTTCACATCCCTTGTAAGTTGGATCCTAGGTATTTTAATCTCTTTGAAGCAATTGTGAATGGGAGTTCACTCATGATTTGGCTCTGTTTTATCTGTTATTGGTGTATAGGAATGCTTGTGATTTTTGCACATTGATTTTGTATCCTGAGACTTTGCTGAAGTTGCTTTCAGCTTAAGGAGATTTTGGACTGAGATGATGGGGTTTTCTAAATATACAATCATGTCATCTGCAAAGAAGGACAATTTGACTTTCTCTTTTCCTAATTGAATACCCTTTATTTATTTCTCCTGCCTGATTGCCCTGGCCAGAACTTCCAACACTATGTTGAATAGGAGTGCTGAGAGAGGGCATCCCTGTCTTGTGCCAGTTTTCAAAGGGAATGCTTCCAGTTTTTGCCCATTCAGTATGATATTGACTGTGGGTTTGTCATAAATAGCTCTTATTATTTTGAGATATGTCCCATCAATACCTAATTTATTGAGAGTTTTCAGGGCTTTTGGGGAAAGGATTCCCTATTTAATAAATGGTGCTGGGAAAACTGGCTAGCCATATGTAGAAAGCTGAAACTGGATCCCTTCCTTACACCTTATACAAAAATTAATTCAAGATGGATTAAAGACTTAAATGTTAGACCTAAAACCATAAAAAACCCTAGAAGAAAACCTAGGCAATACCATTCAGGACATAGGCATGGGCAAGGACTTCATGTCTGAAACACCAAAAGCAATGGCAACAAAAGCCAAAATTGACAAATGGGATATAATTAAACTAAAGAGCTTCTGCACAGCAAAAGAAACTACCATCAGAGTGAACAGCCAACCTACAGAATAGGAGAAAATTTTTGCAATCTACTCATCTGACAAAGCGCTAATATCTAGAATCTACAAAGAACTCAAACAAATTTACAAGAAAAAGACAAACAACCCCATCAAAAAGTAGGCAAAGGATATGAGCAGACACTTCTCAAAAGAAGACATTTATGCAGCCAAAAAACACATGAAAAAATGCTCACCATCACCGGCCATCAGAGAAATGCAAATCAAAACCACAATGAGATACCATCTCACACCCATTAGAATGATGATCATTAAAAAGTCAGGAAACAACAGGTGCTGGAGAGGTTGTGGAGAAATAGGAACACTTTTATACTGTTGGTGGGACTGTAAACTGATTCAACCATTGTGGAAGACAGTGTGGTGATTCCTCAAGGATCTAGAACTAGACATACCATTTGACCCAGCCATCCCATTACTGGGTATATACCCAAAGGATTACAAATCATGTTGCTATAAAGACACATGCACACGTATGTTTATTGCGGCACTATTCACAATAGCAAAGACTTGGAACCAACCCAAATGTCCATCAATGATAGACTGGATTAAGAAAATGTGGCACATACACACCATGGAATACTATGTAGCCATTAAAAATGATGAGTTCATGTCTTTTGTAGGGACATGGATGAAGCTGGAAACCATCATTCTCAGCAAACTATCGCAGGGACAAAAAACCAAACACCACATGTTCTCACTCATAGGTGGGAATTGAACAATGAGAACACTTGGACACAGGGTTGGGAACATCACACACCGGGGCCTGTCGTGGGGTCGGGGGAGGGGGGAGGGATAGCATTAGGAGATGTACCTAATGTAAACGACGAGTTAATGGGTGTAGCACACCAACATGGTACATGTATACATATGTAACAAATCTGCGCGTTGTGCACATGTACCCTATAATAAAAAAAAAAACAGGCAAAGAATAAAAAACAAAAAACAAACAAAAAAAACCCTCCAGTTTCCATCTTAGTGTCTTTGTCTTGCTTGTACTCTCTTGTTCTCTCTTAGATTGCTCCTTCTAGGTGAATCCAGCTGCCATGCCATCATTTGGAGGGGTCCATGTGCATGAGCTTGGACCCATTTCCCCACAGTTGACCCTTGAGATGACTGCAGCTCCAACTGCCATCATACTGCATGACATACCTTGAGCTAGTGGCCTCCAGCTAAGCTGCACCCAGATTTCTGACCCATACAAACTGTGAGATAATAATTGTTGGTTGTTTTAAGCCACTAAGTTTTGGGGCGATTTTGTTTGTTACGCAGCAATAGATAACTAATACACAGCTGAAATTTCCACATGCTTCACTGTGACTCAAGCACACCCACCCTACTTCATGTCCAAATGTCATTTTATAATGCTGCAGTTGAAATGATAAAGCCGGTGGTCTCCAGAGACACTTGTAGGGCTTTTATAGCTGTTACAAATTCTGCTTCATGAATCCCAGACCCATATGCAAATGTGAAGCTCAACCTTTGATAAGCCATTTGATTTCCCTTTTAGCTAATGAAGTGAAAATACACCATTTTACACTAAGATTAAATTGCGAAAATGTTTCACTCTTGTCCCCAGTTAGTTGTAATTAAAAATAGAAATGGAAGAACAGAAAAAGTCACTGACTCTCTTCTGGCATACTGAGCAACGGAAAGGGAAACTGTGATCCTCTGCAACTTCTAAGTGGAGGTAAAAGGGTGGGCATGGGGGAGCAGGGTGAGAGCGCAGGCCTGCCTAAACTGGCAAAGGGTGTGCAGTCATCCCCCAGCAGCTCAGAATGCCAGAAGAAATATTTCCCCATGCTTTCTGGGGAGGAGGAAGGGAGGGAGAGCATTCCTATTTCTCAATGTCTGCTTAACACAGAGCATCTTAACTTGGGGCTCACAAATACTTAGTAGGACATGATTGAGTTTTATAGGGTCTGGAAATTGCTGACACATAGTAAGAACTCAAACGTGTAAAAAAGAGAAATGTGTGTGTGTGTGTGTGTGTGTGTGTGTATGTATGGGTGAGGGAGGTGTTTAGGTATCTGTGTGGCTGAGACAGAGAGTGAGTGAGGGAGTGTATATGCACCTCTGTGTAGGTGTGTTGTGTATAGGGATCTATGTGTGAGAGATAAAATAGGTGAGAAGCATATATATAAACGTGTGTGTGTTTAGGTACCCACATGTACGAGAGACAGCATGAGTGAGGAAGCATCTATGAGACTATATGTCTCTGTGTGAGGGTATTTGTGTAAGTATACCAATACTAGGGTTATCTATGTATGAGCTAGGGTGTATCTATGTATGTGTGGGTGTGAAAGTATGGGTGAGTGGTGGACACGTATGAATGTGCATTATTGACATGAGAGAAAAGTGGCTCTCTGATTCTGTAATGCTTAAGAATTCCCTGGGCATCTTGTTAGGAAGGTAGGTCCTCAGTCCCTACCTCCTAAGATTCTAATTCAGTAATCTGGGGAGGGGCCCAGAAATCTGTAAGTTTTTATCCTGATGGTTCTCAGGCAGGTAGGTCCAGAGAGAAACACTAAACCCAGAGACCCAGAGTGAAAAGGAACTGTAAAAGTCATCATTCCACAGATGAGTAAACTAGGTCTGGAGGAGGAAAGTGGCTTGCTGCAGGCCACACAACTAACAAATGAAAGCCACGACTCAAACCCTGGCTTCCTGTCTACCAGCTCAGTATTCATTCAGCTACAGCAATATTTCTCCAATGGGAAGAGACTTGGGGAGAGAGTCACATGAGGGCTTTATTCAATGTCCCCCGTCCCATATAGTGGCCCTTGAGAATCCTTGTCATAGTGAACATTTGTTTGTGTTAATTATATGCCAGGAGGGTGTTGGGGAAGAAACCAGGGCTTGATATCATATCACATCCCTGCTAGGACTACTGTATTAAACAGCAAAGGCAAAGCACAACCCTGTAAAGTGAGCCCTGTGTAAGGGGACATCCTAGCTGGAAGTCCAAAATATTCTACGCAACGAGCAGCTGGGATGAGGGGGCAGATACCCTCTTGGCAATAATTGGGCTCATGGATGATTCTGTCTTCAGAGAAACTGGGCGTAGCCAATGGCATTTCATAGGAGAGACCCTTCAAAGACATACTTACAAAAGAGCCGAGTGCTATTTTTAATTCAACCATCATGCCATCTAACAACCTCTCTCATTACCCTCTACCTCACCCATTCATCTCAGATGCTGAACATTGTCGGATGCTTTTTAAAAATCTAAGCACACTGTAGCCCCTGAGTTTCCTTTATCTGCCATGACAGCAGTGTCTTCAAAGAACTTCCGCAGGTTATTTTAAAATGACCTCCTCTAGCTTGGAGCTTAGTTTCCCAGAGAGCTTTCACTTCAGTGCTGGATGTGAGAGAGGGAGGACCAGGAAGGCTGATTCGGCAGCCCTGCTGAGGCAACAGTGAGCACTGGCAGAGAACTGTGTGTGGGGCCCAAAGAGTTAGTGGTAGTTGTGAGGGGAGGCTCTGCCTCTTTCATGAGCTGATGTCAACTCCTTAACTCCTGGTGTCTTCATCTCTGCAACAGCTTAGCCAAGGGAAGGATGGAGACACTTCACCCCTATCCTGACCATTTCATTTACCATGGTGCTGTAGACACACGGGGGCCACTAGCATGCCAGCAGCCACCACAGACAATAACTCAACAAAGAGATTGGCTAGGCCACAATCCCACAATCCATTGTTCTGTGCTCTTTCCATCCTGGTCATGAGGCAGGAGGCTAATAAACAGCCAAGCAATACAGGGCTGAGTCAAACAAAGATGATGAGGACACTTGAAGTCTCCTTTGTAGCTCAATAAAGGTTGAGCCAGTGGTGGAAAGCATCTTCAGGGAAGCCCATGCTTGCCACCTGAAGCATAGAGCTGTTGATTCCGCCTGGGATTTTCCCATTATTCACTGTGTTTCATGTAGGGATTAGCTGAAACCTGATTTCCTGGGCTCTCAGGCTTTCACTGCTTAGGTCCTTCCTGTGGAGTCTCACAGCCTTTTCCCTGAGCCTTTCAAAGACCTACACCTCTGTGCCTCTATATCACTAATGCTGTACACTTCTCAGTCAGGATATAGCTCTGGAAGACAGGGCTTCCATGTCATGCATGCACCTTGCCCAAGACCGCTCAAATTATGCATGTTTGGAAATATGTGTATCTCTGTTGCTGGGCAAAAATTGGATGCTCAGAGCCTCCCTCCACTGTAGGCTAGGATGTGTTACCTCTGTTGGTGGCCACATACTGCCCTGTGACATGGGAAATGCAGGGAAGCGAGCAGGATATCACCTCTCTAGGCCCCCACATGTCCCAGGCACAGGCATAAGATCTCAGTCCTCACAAAGATCCTGTGATTTATCCTTCAATTACATTTGAAGAAATTGAGGCCCAGAAATATTTGGTAATTTTCCAGTATAGCTAGTAAATTGGCAGAGCTGGATTGTAACTCAGATTATCATGAGGATTAAATGAGCTGGTGCAGGTAAAACCACAGACCTCCAAACAGTGCTAAACGGGAGCTCTTCTCACCCTCCTCTCATGCAGCAGTTCAGTTGTAGCACCAGCATAAGGAATTGCCCATCTCTGGGCCTGGGTTTCTGCAAAGTGTGTTTCTCTGAATACTGTGGAAAGAAGAAAGCAACAAGGAGAGGGAGTGAAAGCCACCTCTAAAACCACGAGGCTTTCCTTTCCCCTTCAAGCAGCAGTTCTTAGACTGGGGGCAGTGGAGAGGGTTCAAGAGAGCTGCAGACCCTCCCAAACAACATTGTGTGCATGTGCCTGGGTGGATTTTCCGGGAGAAGGTGGTCATAGCTTCAATTCAGGGCCAACACCCAAAAGAAACTATTAAAGGTAAATCCTTTGAGAGGGAACCCAACATCCATTGGGCATTTATTCCAAGCTCAAGTTTCCTATTACTGTAAAAGGCTAAAGTGATTTTTAAAAGCTGTACTTAAGAATTTGAAGCACCATTTGTATGTAGACTAAGTCAATCAAGAGAGGCCTTGGAATCAGATAAACTGGAATTCAATTGCAGCTCTGCCATTTGCTGGCTGTATAAACCTGGCCCAGTTACTTCAGTGAACCTCCCTGAGCTTCACTGAGTTGACACGTAGTAGACATATCAACTGAGGAAAAGTATTACTACAACCTGGCACATGGTAGGCATTGGTTAAATGCTGTTGTCCTTTCTTTTCTTCTACATCTAAATGCAAAGTAAAGTTTTAATTATTCCTCAGAGTTGGCAGAATCTCAACTCTGAAATAGTTATTATTGCTATTGCTGTTGTTAGCTAACAATTATGGAGTGCTTACTATATGCCAGGCACTGTCTTTAATGATGTTCATATATTTACTCATGAGACTTATTCACTACCACAAGAAAAGTATAGGGGAAACTGCCCCCCATTATTCAATTTTCTCCCACTGGCTCCCTCCCACAACACATGGGAATTATGGGAGCTACAATTCAAGATGAGATTTTGGTGGGGACACGGCCAAACCATATCAGAAGTGCTCATAAACCTGGGCTTTCCTCAATCTTGTGGGAGGAGCCTGAACTCATCTCTAACCCCAGGACCCTAGGCTCTGGCAAGGGCTTCAGGTTTATGGCTAGACTATTGTTACCATGACACTCCCACTGCAGGCTGGACTCAACCTTATCTTCTGGACTCAGGAAGCCAGACACATATTAATTCCTGCCATTAAAATCTCCACTCATTTATGCATGCATACATTCATTCATAAATAAATGCATTATTTATTTACTTGACATTTCTTTCCCTTTTCGCATCACTACCCTCCCCCCTTCTTTCACCTCCTTTCACTTCTGTCTCATTCTCCATAACACATGTCAACAACCTCAATGATATCTTTCAATATTTTTCTATATGCTCAAATACATTTGGGGCAGTTGATCATTGTTTTAGAAATCTGAGATCACAATGTATACAATTTCTGCACATTACTTTCCTCACTCAGAAATCTCTCCCAGAAATCTTTCTAGGTAAACTGGTAAAGCTCTAGCTCGGTTTTTTTTTTTTTCATGGATGCAGTCAAATTCATCATCCAACTTAACTTTCAGCCATACGTAAGGGTTGGCAGTTCCCTGAATACCCCAGACTGTATCCCATCTCTATGCCTTTGCCCATCCTGCTCCCTGGACCTGGCAAGTACATTTCCCTATTGACCTGAAGGATACTTCCTCATCTGTAAAGACTCAGCTCATAGCAAATCTTTCCTGCCAACAAATGACCTGGCAGAAGTGACCCTGCTCTCCTTTGTGTCCTCAAGGTGCCCTGAACAGACTTCTATCCGAGAATGTCTAAAATGTTAAGTGATATATTGATATCTGTTTCCCCCAACAAGACTCTAAGTTCAGGAAAATAAGATTTGTCTGTTTTGCTCACTGCTGGAATACTGTAGGTACCCAATAAATATTCTGAGGCCAGGTGTGGTGGTTCATGCCTGTAATCCTAGCACTTTCAGAGGCCGAGGTGGGAGGATCCCTTGAGCTCAGCAGTTTCAGGCCAGCCTGGGCAACATGGGGAAACCCTGTCTCTACAGAAAATACAAAAAAAAAAAAAAAATGGCCAGGCGCGGTGTCTCATGCCTGTAATCCCAACACTTTGGGAGGCTGAGGCGGGCAGATCACCTGAGGTCAGGAGTTCGAGACAAGCCTGGACAATATAGTGCAACCCGATCTCTACTAAAAATACAAAAATTAGCCAGCCGTGGTGGCATGCCCCTGTAGTCTCAGCTACTCAGGAGACTGAGGCAGAAGAATCACTTGAATCCAGGAGACAGAGGTTGCAGTGAGCTGAGATGGAGCCACTGCACTCCAACCTGGACAACACAGCGAGACTCCATCTCAAAATAAATAAATAAATAAATAAATAAATAAATAAATAAATAGACAATACAAAAAAAAAATAGCCAGGTGTGGTGGTGTGCACCTGTAGCCCAGCTACCTGGGGAACTGAGGCAGGAGGATCATTTGAGCCAGGGAGATTGAGGCTACAGTCAGCCAAGATTGTATTACTGCACTCCAGTCTGGGCAACAGACTGAGACTCCGTCTCAAAAAAAAATTAGACGTGATGGGTGGATGAATGAATAAATGAATGAGGATAACGAAAGCCTGAGCCAAAGGACCAGCAGTGGAAGAGGAGTGACACTGGTGCACTTCAGAGCTATTTATGAGGTAGAACTGCCAAGACTTGGCAATTAGCTTAAGGGAGTGTTTCTTATTTCCACAAGAACATAATAAGCACTA
The DNA here is from genome assembly GCF_000001405.40 of Homo sapiens. Lineage (NCBI taxonomy): Eukaryota > Metazoa > Chordata > Mammalia > Primates > Hominidae > Homo > Homo sapiens. The sequence continues at coordinate 149,273,270 of NC_000023.11, forward strand.
TGAAAGGTCATGTTTGTCTTGTTCGTGGTTTCCTCCCCATTGCCTAGATTGAATAGTGCCCAGTGCATAGTTGGTGCTAAATAAACATTTATAAAATAAATTAATCGCACTGGATTCAGGGATCTCCAGCCTGGGCCTTTTCCCTGACCCAGAGGAATAGACCCTTCAGCAACCCAAACGTCTCACCTTGCCGGCTCTCAAAGACTTCTGCTCTCTGCTTGCTCTCCTGTACTATCCAAATCATGATGCAAGATCCTTCTCCCTTGGAATCTTTCTGAAGTCCTCACCTCAGCTAGTCTCAGTTATTTCCAGCCCAAGCCTGTGCTGATGAATGACTATGTGTTTGTGTGTGTGTGCGTGTGCCCATGTGCGTATGTGCAGCTGTGTGCGTGCAAATGGTGTGGGTGAGTGTGAAGTAAGATTCCCAGTGGGGAGGCTCAGAATATTTCTACCACAGAAAGAGGGAGCAGAGCTCAGGGGTTATTCTTGGCAGCAGCAGAGAAAACTGATATTCCTGTGCTGAGGTGAGAGTGCTGCCTCACTCTCCTGTTGGCACCAGGTCAGAATCCAGGGTATGGAGAGAAGCCTTTAGCTCCAAGAAAACTCAGGAGGTAGACCTAACTGTGAGATATTTACCCTGAGTTGCCTTTAGGAACCCTGGAGTCCAGGTACAGGTATATAAAGGAAGAGAAGCCCAATCTTCAAGCCAAATCCCTAGGAAGGCTTCATCAAAAGAGGATCTCCCCCCATGCTCCTAGCCCCATCTACAAGAGGGGTCTCCAAAGGCTGAACATTGCTTGTGGGTAGCAAGGAATAGAGTAGTGAAGAGTGATTCCTTCTTGGGACAATGGCCACACTCCCCTATAGTTTCTGCCATAAATCAAATTTAGAGGCCCAAGGAATTCATCACACTACAACAAAGCAATAGCCTAAACAAACGCACTGATGATGACGAGTACAGAAATTTCCACAGGCTAGTAAGGAGCTCTGATATGTGTCTTGAGGGTACATAAAGAACAGACTGAACTGGATGGTAGGTCCCAGACCATGGTGTTCCTTGAAGGTCTTTTTGAAAGGTTTGGGCTTTATCCTGAAGGCAGTTTGAGGAGTAGGGGGTGTAATCCATGAAAGAGTTTAGGCAGGGAGGTGACATAATCAGCTTTTGATCTGCAGTCACTTTGGTGGCAATGTGGAAAACAGACTGGATGGAAGCAAGATTTAGGTACAGAGGAACAAAGAAGAGATTGCGAAGGTTTCACTGGCACCATATATATGGAGGGAACCTGGGAAAAGTGGATCATCAAGAGATGCTTAAGGGATAGACTTAATAGAACCAGGACAGTGGCAAGGGAATGTAGAGCAGGACTAGATTTCAAACAGATGATGGGAAATCGTGGAAGATGGGTCGGAGTTGAAGGAAGATTTGAAGGAAAGAGGCAAGAGTTGAGTCAGAGGTGACTCAAGCTTTACAAAGAGCCAGGAACAGAAAAGATAAACAAAAGGTCCTCAGGGAAGTGTTGGTGTGGTTGGAGGGCTTTGGGGACAACAGGAGTGCAGAAGCCTGTCTTGACCAGTTAAACTGGGGGTCTCAGCTGTCAGCCTAGTGTAAATGCCCAGCAGGCAGTTGGGAAGAGAGGTCAGCACTGGAAAGAGCAACCTGAATTTGACAGCATGAGATGACTCAGCCCACAAGCCGGGCCAGTGCTATGTCACTGATCCAGAACACAGGCTCAGACAAATTGGACAATCCTAGCCTGCAACTTGGCACAAGGCACATGCCATGCTGCCTCCCAGCAACAGGTTCTCACAATCTAAAATCCACCTCCTATATGTATGGCTTGAAGGAGATGCATTTAACTTAGATTTGGAATATAAAATGTGTATACAACCATTTATTCCATTAGTACATTTACTTTCCACCTCAGAACTAAATGCCTCTACTAATTAAATACATTTATTTTAACTTCAGAAGCATTTATTTCCAAAATAAGGACACGTTAATTATCTGCAAAGTGAAATTAACCCCAGGATGCTAATCTATATATTCATCTGCCTGGATATGTGTTACCCATGGATGCCTGGTTGTGCTGCCAACCGTTGCACAACACTGTTCAACGCACTCTTACCACCTGCATCCCCATCCTTCTTGTTATCATCTTACTGAGAACTGCATGGTTGATGTGGAATGTGTAATTTAAATGTTACCACACTCATTCCAAACCTAAGAAGACTACAGATACAGGATTCACAAGCAGGTTCTGATATAATTCAAGGGCATTTTTACCGGGAGAGGAGGTAACTATCTCCAACTACCCTGAGGAGATTTTTGCTCATGTTTTATGAGAACTGACACCTTAATTCTCTTGTCACTGACATTTCCTAGACATGGGTACATATCTGTAATTCTCATGATAAGTCATTAGTATTAATTAAGCCACATCAATAGCATAATTTAGCTAGTCAGTCAACATTTTCTGAGAGCTCTCAGTGGGGGTAGTCCTAACTCAGAGCATTGGAGAGTTAATAAGGGAAAAGAAAATGCAAGAATAGAAAGAGTTTTCCAGAAAGATGGGCATTCTTGCCTTCACAGCCACTGGGGAGTCACTTGCAGAAACTTCAAGAAGGAGTGAGGTCTTCTTTTATGATATAACATCTGTTTTTCTCATCTGCACAACGGAGCAGAAATACCTTGCAACAGTCTGCCATCAAGGGGAGGAGCTTCAGAGAGAGTAGGCTTCAATGCCCCCAGGGAAAGACAAATGGAATGCAATTGGTTCCAGCAGGAATTTGGCAACTCTGTCGACCAAATTCTGGCCTTTGGTCTACCAAGTCTGATCAGTCAGAAGTGAAAAAGTAAGAGAGCCCTCTCAGTTAACAGAATGTCTTCTCTCTTCCTTCCTTTACATTCCTCTCTCTCCCTGCCTCCTTCCCTTTCTCATTCCTTTTATCCCATCCTTTCTTTCTTCCAGAATATTTTTTGAGCACATACTATGAGCATTTACTATTTACTTAGACACTATGCTAAGCAGTGGAGGGACAACAGTGAACAAATAAAAGTTCCTTCTTCTAAGCAGCTAGGATTCTAGTGAGGGGAGAGAATCATAAGTAAACAAATGAACAAGCCAAACAATATGTCAGCTAGTGAGAAGTGTTATAAAAAAAAATGAGAATACAGGAACAGAAGTGATGAGAGTGGATGGCATTTTAACTTCAGTTAGTTCCCTGTGCAGCATAGACATAGTAGAAGTCAGCAGGAAGGAGAATATTCCTACTCTTGGATACCCAGACTCATGAGGCATGCATGCAGTGTTAGTAGCAGTTGAAATAAATGTTGCATTTTTAAAGTGCTAGCTTGGTGCTACTGGAACTACATATTTTATACATGCAAATGGCTTTCCTAGCCAAGTACCATGTGCTCATGCCTACAAAAAAGACAAAGGCCATTACCACCTCCTTTTTCCCTTGGGCTAGCACCAACTTGACTCCCCAAAGGAAGGCTCAAGAGCTTTAATCTGGAGATTCCCTGACTTCTGATGAGTGGTAGGACACATAAAAAGGAAATGCAAGTCAGAAGTTATGCTTCTGCTTCCATGAATGAGACGTGGGTTGGGCTCAAGGTGAATAAGAGGCTAGAACTGAATGGTTTGAGAGTGGTCCAGAAGATGGCATTGTCTAACATCAGGGTTAACTGTGGCTACATTGAAGAATTCCAAATTAGGGATTTAAACCCCAAGTCCTCTGGTCCCCTATGCATCCTTGATTGTAGTATGTAGAAGAACATGGATGTGCATAGGCCATTTTACACATAAATTTTTTAAATACACTAAAGTACACTAATGTGTTATACACCAAGTTCAAGATGCTTGAACTTTGCTTTGCTTGGCAGTTGGTAGTTCTAAGAACTAGACTCAAGATGTGGGCATTATCAAATAGCTCCAATAAAGGAGGACAGAGGAAAGATTGCCTTCATATGCCCGTGGATGTCTACCAACTTGAAAGGATATATCATGCTATTGAGGTTCCTGTCCCTTCTTAGTGACCAGAGAAAATGGTAATTTAAGATGGAATTATCTAGAAGACTTAGCCTATGTAGATGACTATTATATATCAATCTGTGCATTTGTTTTGGTCCATCTCCTCCCAGGTTGATGGATGCAGCAAACCACCATGGCACGTGTATACCTATGTAAGAAAACTGCACGTTCTGCACATGTATCCCAGAACTTAAAGCATAATTAAATGAATAATAAAACTTGCTATGCTATAACTTGACAAAGCAAAAGACTGGAAAAAAAAGGGTGGTTTTTCAAATGGGATATTTTAGCCCTGAGATAAAAAAGAAACAAGCCAGAAGTATTAATAAAAGGAACAACAGAAGCTGCTATGAGTAAAAACAGAGCATAGGATTGATCATTACTTAATTCAACAAGCATATGTTTTCCACTCACATCACAGTTCAAATGGATTTTTGCCAACCAGTCTTTCACTTGGTGCCTTGGGATCCTGGCTTCTCAAAAAAAAAAAAAAAAAAGAAGAGGAAGAAGAAGAAAAAGAACGAAAAAGAATGGATGCTTCATGATAATTTCATGTACTGCTGCAGCATTAGCGCCTAAATAATGTCTGGCTCAGAGTAGATACTCAACAAATATTTGTTGCATGAATGAATGACATAACTGCTTGCAACACATCTTTGGGAGAGCACAAGCTGCAGCCCCTTAAGGTACTGGGCTGCCTAGAGAGGGCTATTTGTTTTCTTATGATTCACTTTTGAGAGTTCTCTGTATAAATCTAAATATAAGTCTTTGTCAGGTATTTGCTTTGCAAATATTTTCTGTGCCTTGTCTTTTTATTATTTCATCAGCGTCCTGTAAAGGAGATGAATTTTTTTATTTTGTCCAGTTTATCATTTGGTTCTTTTATGGATTGTGCTTTTGGTGTCATATCTAAGAAATCTTTGCCTAACCCAAAGTCACAGATTTTCTTCTAAAAGTTTTACAGTTTTAGGTTTTACATTTAGGTCTGTGTTCTATTTCAGATTAATTTCTGATTACAGTGAGGTAGTGGTCAAGGTTCTTTTTTTGCATTTGAATACTCAATTGTTCCAGCATCATTTATTGGAAAGATTATTCTTCCAGCTCCATTCATGTCCCTGCAAAGGAAATGTTCTCATTCCTTGTTACAGCTGCATAGTATTCCATGGTGCGCATGTACTACATTTTCTTCATCAAATCTGTCACTGATGGGCATTTGAGTTGATTCTTTCTCCACAAACACAGCAATATTTGCAATAGCACATTACTGTAAACAATGTAAATATTCATCAATAGGGGACCAGTTAAATAAATTCCAGTATATTTATCCAGTAGAAATCCACGGCACCATTAAAAAGAATGTAATAGCTCTATACATACTTATTTTGAGCAATATTTATGCCCTGTTAAGTAGACGTAACATTTTAAATTGAAATAAAATTAATTTTCATATATTTTCCTGTTAACCACATGTTCACATCTTTTCATCCGATAAATATTCATTGAGATGTCCTTGTGTGCAGGCACTGTTCTAGGCACTGAGGATACAGCAGTGATATCTAGTGGGAGAAAGCAGACAATAAACAAATAACTAGTGTGATGGTTAATTGTATGTGTCAACTTGGCTGAGCTAAGTGATGCTCAGAAAGCTGCTAAAACATTATTTCTGGATGTGTCTGTGAGGGCGTTTCCAGAAGAAATTGGCATTTGAGTCAGTAGACTGAGTAAAGAAGATCCAACCTGACCAATGTGAGTGGCCATCATCTAATCCATTGAGGGCACAAATGGAACAAAAACGTCAAAGAAGGTAAAATTCTCTCTTTCTTATCTTGATCTGGGACATCTGTCTTCTCCTGTCCTGGGACTTTGGTGCTCCTGGTTCTCAGATCTTTGGACTCAGATCAGGACTTACACCATTGACTCCCCTGGTTCTCAGGGCTTCTGGTTTGGACTGGAACCACACCACTGGCTTTCCTGGGTCTCCAGCTTGTAGATGGCAGATCATGGTCCTTCTCAGACTACACGATAGTGTGAGACAATCCTTCATCCTGAATCTCTTTCTATATAGCTATATATCTCTTATTGATTCTGTCTCTCTGGAGACCTCTGATGAACACAAGTAGCTACACACAAAATCTGATCATGATAAGTGCCATGGAGAGAAATAAAACAGGGTAAGAAAGATGTGGAGTGTGGGATTGAAGCGTTACAATTTTAATAGGGTGGACATGGACAGTTTTACCAAGAAGGTGACATTTGAGTAAAGACTTAAAGGAGGTGAAAATGTGAGTCACACAGACATCTTGGAGACAAGCACTACATGGTGAGGAAAAGCAAGGCCCCCAAAGCAAGAGCTGTTGGAGGAATTTCAAGGAGGCCAGCGTGGCTGGAACAGAGTGAGCAAGTGGAATGGAGTGGCAGGGAATGAGTGAGGGAGACAACAGCTCAGTAGGACCTTGTGGGCTACTGGAAAGACTTTGGCTTTGACTCTCAGTGAGATAAGGAGGTATTTGAAGGAGTTTTAGCAGAGAAGGAACAATTCTGTTTATTTTTAGGAGCTCTTTATATATTTAGGAAATTACTTCTTTGTTAGTCATATATTTTGGAATTTGTTGTTCCCCGTTTGTCATTTCTGTTTCTACATTTTGCTTATAATATTTGTCTATGTAAACCTTAATATGTACTTGGTTAAATTGATAAATTCTTTGCATAATTAATAGCTAGCTATTGTTGGCCTACCTATAATTAATTTTTGCTTTATCTAGTAATAGGCCTGAATTTTCATTTGGGATCCAGCCCTCTCCCTGACACTATGCAGGGCCTGGGAGACTAAAGCCTGCTGGAAATAACTCCAGCTTGGCCCTGCCAAACATTACAACACCTAGCACCTGCTCTCCCCACCATAGTGACTGATTTGGGCAGGAATGAGACCACAGCCACTCCAAGAGCCCAGCTGTTGGCTACCAGTAACATCTTCTCCTCTAAACAGGAGATCCAGCTATATTGAAGGCTTCCAAAATTACCCTATGTCTACCTGTCACAGGAATGTTCAGAGGACTAAGCCTCTGCCTTTCTCCACCCCATACTTACTTCATATGGAACTATGAATGGGCAACTTCACAATTTATTATTTACGTCACCTAGATGCAAGTCAGAGGGAGAAGCAACAAATCAGCAGTACCTAAGAAGTTCTCAAGTCCTCAAGGTGAACTTTACCTATATATACAAAATATATTTGCCTCTTTCCTTTAACCCTTTTTCTTACTCCCACCACTTTCCACCCAATGTGTAATAATATTAGTCACTTCATAGAGTCCTTATGAGAAGTTAAATGAGGAAATCATGTAAACCACTGAGGGCTGGCAACAAGTTCTTAATAAGTGCTATTGAGTTATGAGTATTATTATCTCCCTTGGGCTGGATTCACAGTGTCACCTCTTCTGGGACCATAGTAAGCCAATGGTTCCAGCTCCTTCTATTATGTCATTTTAATTTGGGGAATAGCTTAACATATTAGATGATCCTTTACATGCCTGAGCGGTCTTTCTTTGATGGTATTTCTATGATCTTATGAAGAGCTAGATGTTGCCGCTCCATTTTATCTTGCTGGTGGCAGCTGGTGTTTAGCCAACTTGTCTTTTTTTTTCTGTCTTTATATTTTTGGTTTTGTTTTTTGGCAGAAGCCTGTGTTTTTCAGATTACTTTTTGCTTGTGTCTACTTTTTCCCAAAACAATATTACATATTAAACTTATTGTATATTTAAGTTTATTTTATGCATCAAAAGTCGCATTGAATTTCTGTGCTATTGTGGGGCAAATTGACATCAATGTAATTTAACTCATTTTATCCCAAATTAGGCTATGTCTTTCCATATACTCAAATCTTCTTTTATGTCCCTCAACAGCTTCCTTCATATAAATATTGCATATTTCTAATTAAGTTTATTTTTCTAATCTCCATTTTGGATGTCTTAAATATAGTCTTTTCTCCCTTTGCTCTTTATCAAAGATCTGCAAACTATGGCCTGTTTTTGTAAATAAAGTTTTGTAATAAAGTTTAAATGGCCACTCCCATTTGTTTACATGTTGAGTATGGCTGCTTTCAGACTGAAATGGCGAATGAAGTGGTCATAACAAGACCATATGGCCTGGAAAGCAAATATATTTATTATCTGGCAATTTACAAAAAAAGTTTGCCAACCTCTGCTTTATATTTTTGATCTAGTTGTTATTTGAAAATAAAGCTATTGATATTTGTATATTAATTTTTTACCCAGCTACCTTATTGTTTTTATTACTTAATAGTTTACAGTATTTCTTTTAGTTTTTCCAGGTGTAACATCTGTAAATATTAATAAATCTATTAGCTAATATTTCATTTAGCATTTTTATATCTATACTCACATGAGAAGTTTTCTTTAATTTTCTTTTGTGTTTATCAACCTGTGTTCACTCAGGAAAATGAAGCCACTTAAGTATACCAGGAGTGGAGGGTTTCATATAGAAATGAGGGCTTATTTGAATTTTGGGAAAGCTGATGAAACAGGTCAGCAGAGTTACTGCAGAAGACCAGGAAAGTTACATCTGGAAGGTTAGGGAAGCAGACACTAAAGACTTAAGCCTGAAGCATAGAAGTAAGGATCCGTCAATACTTATTGAGAAACTTCTGGAATTCTCAAGAACCTCTGAGAAATCTCCCATTCTGTGGCAATAAAGTGGTGGTACTCAAGCCATCACCAACATGGCTCATATGTCTCATTGCACTATGTCCAAAGACAAATGGCCTCTGCTTCTCTTCTGTCTCCTAAATCTCTTAAGATTTCCTCTTATTTGTTTAAGTCTAACCCAGAAGACTTACATGGCAGGTAATTCTGGGAAATGTATTCCCTTGTTTCTCCAAAGGGGTGGGGATAATACCAAGTTGACAACAGAAAATCTAGCACCCTTTTTAAGGTTTTGGCATCAGTGATTTCTTGGTGCTCTAAATAGTTCTTATGATTATTCCATGGGTGCTTAAAAAGAATATGTATTCTCTGATTTAAGAATATGTAATTGATTTAACTATTGATTAGATATTAATAAAATAGATTTTTAAATTACCTTATTAATTTGGTTAAGTCCTCCATGACTACTTATTTTTTGACTATTTGTTATGGAAAGGTGTAGCTAAATAAATATAGAACTACTCTATATGTGTTTCTAGTTCTCTATGTATTCTCTACATTTTGCTTTATAATTGTTTTCTTTCTTAGAGACAGGGGTCTTGCTGTGTTGCCCAGGCCAGAGTGCAGTGGCATGATCATAACTCACTGTAGCCTTAAACTCCTGGGCTCAAGCAATCCTCCTGCCTCAGCTTCTCAAGTAGATGGGACTACAGAAGTGCATCACCACACCCTGCTAATTTTTTTCTTATTTTTATTTTTAGTGATGGAGTCATGCTATGATGCTCAGAGTGGTCTTGAGCTCCTGGCCTCAAGCAATCCTCCCACCTCAGCCCCCTGAGTAGCTGGGATTATAGGTGAGAGGCACCATGCCTGGATTTGCTTTATAAATTTTGATATGTTACTTGGTGCATAGATATTCATTGCTGTTAGACCTTCATTATGTGTTGTACCCTGCCCTTCTTTGGTTCACTTTTCCTTGAATTCAGTCTTGTCTGATATTAATTTTCAGCTGTCTGCTTTCTTCTTATTTCCATTTTTCTAATATGCTTTTGCCTACTCATTTGCTTTCAATTTTTTCTGAGTCATTTCATTCTAGATGAGTATATTACAGTCAGTACTTAATTGGGTTTTTCTTTGTCACTGAATATGAGTGTCTCTTTTCCTGTGTATTGATAGGGTAGATATGTGTAGTATGAGTGTTACAATTTTTTAAAAAACTTTGATTTCTCTCCTTTGTTTTATTTGGGGTCTCCGGTTATTTTTTAAGGTGTATAGTGTCATTTTATTTTTAATGTTTGCCTCTGTAAAAATAATTTTATAGGCTGTACTTAATCTTCTATTTATTTAGCTAGTTTATATTGACTCTTCAATAACAGTAGTAAATGTCCCTACTTCTAACTCCCCTTGCCCTCCACCTTTTAATTTTGTGGGGTATACTACTGGCCTTAGTTTTTCTAGTGGTTAATTTTATACATTTAAATAGGTTTATACCTTTTAAACTTCAATGGCCACCTTTAAAAATATTTTGACCCCACCCACTATAAAAAATAAACATGCCATCTTACACGCACAATCTCACTTTCTCTCCCCTTACATTCCCTAATTTTTACTGGGTATTTTAATATTTCTTCATCATCGTGGTTGATTACATTTACATGTATATTGCAGTGGTAGTTCCCATAATTGTTATAACCTTTAACCATAGTTCTACATTTATTTTTGCCACCGTTTTTCCCATTCACCTTTTGGTTCAACTTTATCTTCTAGTAGTGTCTTCAAAAAAGTGTTCTTGGAAACTACAGCCCATGAAACATTATTGCATATTTGAAAATATTTATCTGTCACCATTACACCTGAATGACAATTTAGCTAGCTCAAATTTACTGGCTCACATCATCTTTTTTTTGGTAATTTTTTAAGTACTTCTCTACTGTCATGTAATGTTGTATGTAGGATAGCCTAAAGCCAACTTGTGTTTTTTTATTTTGCTGTTATAGTAGTTTGATCATTTTTGCCTAGATGCCCCATAGGATTATTTTTCTTTGTCTTTATTTCAGGAAACCTTACTAGACTATGGTTCAGTGCTGACTAGACATTTTTTTCCTTAAGAAACACCATGCCCTTTAGATCCTTAGATTCAAATCTTTTTTAATATCAGTAAAGTTTTTAAATTTACATATTTGGATATTTTATACTTCTCTAGTTTTTTCTTCTTAAAGAAGAAAACATTAATTCTGTCTTTGCCTGTCTTCCATATCTACAATTTTCTTCTAATCACTTTTTATAATTTCCATTTCATTTTGCTCAATTGCCTCAAAGCTGCTATCTATTTTTCTGTTGTCAACAATCTGTACTCTTACATCAGCTACTATGATAATATTGTGTCACCATTTACTACTATTTACAAGCTAACCATAATTTCTCTGATGATTTTAGTTTTCTCTTCTACTTTGTGTCCTAGATACAGGCAGCTCAATTTTAATTTTTGTTGCTTTTCTTGATTCCTTATACCTCTGCATTAAGCTCTTAATTCACAAATTACTTCCATTGTTAAGTTATTGAGTTCTTAAACAAATATTTGGTCATGATTTTCATCTACTCCACATCAAAATGTTCATACTGTGTAGGCTGTTTGCCTTTTTTGTCCTGCTATTTTCCACCATTTTGTGACATTTTTGTATGGATCTCCTTGTTCCTTTTTTATTATTAGTCATCCTTGAGTGAGCAGAAATCTTCCTAGAGCAGGTATTTGAAAGAAGTAGTGTGGAAGAGGGGCTGGGGCTGTGTTCTGCGTTAGTAGAAAATCCCCTAATTCTTAGAAAAATCCTTTATGATTCATGGTCTTGTGGGAGAAGGTTGTGAAGCGGGTTTTGTGAATGTGCTTCATGTGCAATAGAGAGTGACTGAGAGGTGGTTTAACCTTTCTTCTTAGCTCACAAAGAATGGCTGCTACAGAGCTGCTTAACACCCACAGTTTTTCTTCTACATGCTGCACATTTACAAAGATGGAGTATCCGTGAGTTTTCTCACTCATTCCTACCTCCCCTGCCATTTTAAAGTATCCAAGGAAGTTGGGGAGATTCCCTCAGCTAAACAGCCACCCAGATCTTATTGTTCCAAACAAAAAATTATTAGATTTGCCCTCTGAGCAGGTCACCTACTTTGGAGAATTTTGTGCTCTGCCAGCTCTCCTCAAGATTTGGAAAAGCAGTTATTTTCTATTGGAGCCCCCATCACTCCAGTCCAAAGTTCACTGCATGTGACATCCCATCTTATTTGTCTGGTTCCTGATTATAGGAGTTTCCCAGTTTCAACAAAAATACTGTCTTTGTTTTTGTTTCTCATTCATTTTTCCCCAATTTTGTTTCAAAGCGAAAAGTAAAAACATTCTTACTCTAACATCTTAAAATTAATGTCTGGGAGGAACCTAAACTGCTTATTAATATATGCCATGCTATATGTGATATGGCAGAGACTGCTACCTGTCCACCAGAATCTATTTATTTTTCTTGGATGCACAATAAGACTACATTTCCTAGTCTCCCTTGCAATTACATGTGACCATGTCATTAAGATTTAGTGGATGAAATTTAAGCAGAAGCAAGGTGTGTAAATTCTAGGGCTGGCCCATTACAAACTTTAACATGGGCACCTGTGTGTTTTTCCTTTTCTGCTTAATTGGGTTGGAGATAATCACAGTGATGCTGAAAGCCATGTGCTAAAGAAGGCAGAGCCTCCTTCTGCTTGGGCTCCTGAATGACTGTGTGGAACAGAGGCCCTTGCCACTCTTGGGCCATTCTGGATTATTACATGCACAAAGAGTAAAGTTCTTTTCTGTTAAGCCATTAGATGTATGGGTTTATTTGCTGTTACAGCCTAGTCGAACCCAAATGATGTAGTGAGGGAGGCAGGACAAGGAAGAAACCTATTCAGTATGGAGTTATCCTTAGGGACAAGTTACAAAAATTATAAGGATCAGACACCACTGCTGGTTGATCCATTATAGACCAGAATAAGCAGGTGGTATGATTCCAGAAGGAGATGCCATGGTTGTGTGAGAGAGAGATTAACCATTCCTATAAACAGAAGGGTCAAAGAAAGTAGCCAGTCACCAGAATGCTTATATTAAGGAGGATTGTGACTACCTGTATATAAAGTATAGGAAGAAAATGGGGCAGGGCAATTAAGATGAATTGCAGACACAACTATTTGTGCATATTAATTTGAATTTAAATTTAAACTTAATTTAAGGATAATTTAAAGGAAAATCTTCCCTTACCTATTTCATGCTGAAGGGGTCTTTCAAGTTGTCAAACTCTCTCTATATAAATAAGACTGCATAATCCAGACCCTCCGGAATCCAGAGATGAATTGCATGTGGTAGCTGATGTGTGGGAAGCCCACAGAGCAGCACTTCTGGTCATTGCCATCCAGCTAGCTGGTGCTCTCAGAAGAATGAGATGAAGAGGCATGACTTTCAAGCTTCCTCTGCCATACAAGGTGAGTTTGGGTTCCAGGCTTCTTCCTAGCCCCTGTTTCTGCTTCCTCTGATTTAATACCCAGTCACTGAGTACCTACTAAACACTCGGCATTAAACTGAAAAGAACAGGGAAGTCAAAAACCTTTTACCAATGCCTGATGGGATAAAGACATGACCCATCCCTCAAAGAGCTTGTGGTCTTCCCATGGCAATGCCCTTCCTCCCTAGGCCAGATGGACTGTGAAGAACAGCAGTCTCAAGTGGATTTATTGGGAAGCTCATGAAGACTCAGCTCAATGGGCCATGTTTGCAGGGGCCCCTTACAAGGCTCTGCACTTGATTTTGTAATTTTGAATTATTTTTCTCAAAAAGGCCTCCCAAATTATGTAAGCTTCAGGCCTTTAAAACTTGGATCTGTTCCCTTGAAGCCACATAATCTGATCAGAAATAATTTTCAGGGCTCATTGGGTGCTGGAGAATTCATGGTTAGATATTTAAATAAAAATGCAGAGAATCTATAGGACTTTCCAACTGAGACCAAGGCTTTTTTTTTCTGGTAGCTTGACTGCCAGGAAACAGAAAGCGGGGCATCTCCACCTGCTGGCAGAAGACCAAAACTACACCATATTGCATTGACCGCAGACATCAGGCTTTGTTTCCTTTTAAGTGAATAGGTGAAATCAATCAAGCAAACTGGAATTAGGAAACAGAAGGACCACTCACAACCGTACCTCCACAGCAAAGCTAACACTTTCATTTTGAATAACCCCTTTCCAGCCCCTGTTTACATCAGTCACATTTTTGCATGGACATAATAGTGTTTCAGGCAGTCCTGCTCTACAGAAGGCATTTGTTTCGCTGACCATAAGCATCTTATGTGCTTCTACATTGTCTTTATAGCCAGCTGTCTGAAGTTCTACATCATCCGTCAGTGATGGGTCCTGAGTAAACTCAGCAGTCTCCTCTAAGTAACTTGTATATATCCCTTTTATAAAGAATGCTGCAGTGGCCACCCTTAAGTATAGAACTTTGTCTTTCCCAGGCATTACTTACAGGAAACTGGGGACCAAATGCCACTCCATAGCATAGCTTAGGAGAAGTGAGATTCCAAAGGACAGAGTGGGCTGGCACATATGTAGTAGAAGACTAGACAAATGAGAGTGAATGAGCGAGTCTGTTGTGAGTGGATGACACGCAATGCAACCCCAAGGGCCGGCTCCAATTTGCACAGTCCCTAAAACATCCCAGGGATCCAGTCTTATCGCAGTCTCATCAACATTGACAATAATCATTTAGAGAATTTTCACCATGAGACTTTTGACACTCTGCTCTGGGATTTTGGAGTTCCAACTGCTTTAACAATTTATACAGTCACTCAAATGTAGAATCCAGTGAATTATTAATGACAATTTTGCTCCGCATATTGAAAGGGCATTCTATATTAATCAATTATAAATCATGATAAATTGCTTTCTAAAAATTATACACTTGAAACCCAGAAATGTTCAAGCCCCTCACCAGTTTACATACATCCTTAACCGTGTCTTGTTAACTGGGTGACCAGGAAACAGAGAAAGGAGGATGTACTTAATGAATAACTGGCCAGAAGTCGGAAGACCTAGATTTTCTTCCTATCCCTTCCATAGATTTGCTCTGTGACCCTAGACAATTCATATGCCCCCTCTGTTACCATACTTTTAAGCTGAAGGGGTTATAGTGCATACTTTCTGAGGTCCTTCTAACACTGGAGATCTATGAGTTCATAAGATCACATAGAGTCTTGGACTTTTCAGAGATCACTAGGCATAAGAAAGCCCTCGAGGACATCCTCTTCCTAGATCAACCACTCCAAGCTAAGACCTTAATGGGTCTACACTGTCATCCATTTATATAGGAGAGAGGATGGTACAAGCTAAGTGAAAGTCTGTTGTCAACTCAGGAACTAGGGTACAGTTCCAGCAATCAATCTCCATGGAGGGTTAGCAGAGGTCTGGCCTAGCCAATTAGGGTTTGGCACTGCCATATGCTACTAGAAAACACATGCTTTCATGCCAGGCAACAGGGTGGGAAGTGCAATGCCATTAAGGACCATACCTTAGCCTACTTAAACTAGCCTGGGATTGAGTTACTGAGCTCAAAATACAATTCAGCACACTTTCCTGCCCACTGCAAGTCAGGCCAGCCCCTGGAGAACTCCAGGGACAAGGCAAGTCTGGAGTTTGTCCCCAAGGAACTCCCAGTCTAGTGGAGGAGATGGGCCCATAGCAGAGTTACAAATGTCCAAAATAAGAGCACAAATTCCTGGGTTCTTAAAGAGAGTTCAAGCACACACACACACACAGAGAGAGAGAGAGAGAGAGAAATTAATTTAGATAAGGAAGGGAGGTAGGGAGAGATGGTGCCAGCAATGGCTTCCTGAGGAAATGTCACTTGTGATGGGTCTTTTAGGTGAGTTGGACATTGAGAGAAAGTAATCAAAAGGGCACAAGATAGGGTAGCTGTCAGGTAAACAAAACAAAACTGTATGCACAAAGGTCTAGAGGCAAGAAAGCATGGGTGTGCTTGCATAGCAATGAAGAATGTGGTTTGGCCAAAGCATAGGATTCACAGAAGGACCTCCCCAGGCCATCAGTAGTCTCTCCTTCGCAGGAGTCCACTGTGGCTGGACGAGGAACAGATCAAAACAGGTCTTGTTTGAGGCTTGGCCCAACAACAGGGCCAGCTGTTGACCAGGGCTTCCTTCACCCTTAGCTTTCTCTCCCCCTAGTGTAGTCAGAGACTCCAAAGGCAGTCCCAGAGTGTTGTGCCAAAACAAATGCACATCAGGCTATTGTCATCAGGAGCCCTTGTCTTGTTCTGTTTGTTTTAAGAAGACATAAGTGAAATAACCAGGTTTCCGAAGAGAGGGCAGAATTGGGTTTGTCCCCAGGGAAAATGAGGTTTCTCCACCATGGCTGTTCTCCCCATGCAGCAGTGGCCAGGGGTCCCCAGCAGCTCTTTGCTCAGTGCCCCTGCTGCTAGGCCTGATGCTTCCTATGTGGTCAGCTCAGATGTGCAACCCTTCTCCATTTTTATTATTTGAGCAATATAATCATTATTGCTTTTGTTACCCAAAATCTTATAATCACCCATTTAAGAGTAATGTAGGAATCATTTTTCTCTTTTATTTGATGAACTAATCTTTCTGGTTGGCTCTTGAGGTGGGAGGGGTGGGCAATGGGGACCAGCCTGCTTCATCTCACTCTTTCCTAGGCCTGCTCCTTAGGCACGTGCCCCACAAATCCCACCTCCGCAGCTTGGAAAAGGGGCCCACAGAGGATCTCAGGTATCTGAGGAAGGGCCAGAGGCTATTTGGCCTGACATCCTGGAACATCACCAGCCAGGAGCCATAACTCCTTTAGGCTAGCCTGCCTGCAACTGGATCAGGTATAGCAAAAACGATTGATCTCACCTTCTAATTTTCAATGAGTGGGAGTGGCTGCCTTGAGTGCTGTGTTGGGAAGGAGTCTGAGGCAGCATCTGGACCCTGTGTAAATATGCGTTTCCTGTTATTGATGAAGCTTTCAAGACAAGATTTTAGAAAGCTTTGGCTCAAGTTGTAGGTTGTGGGAGGAAGGAATTAGTAAGAGCCATCATAAACTCAACATCTATTGTGTTCCAGGAGCTGTGACCACTCCCTTCTTTTTAGTCGGGAAGGTCAGGATCTCACTATGTCACCTAGGCTAGAGTGCAATGGTGTGATTATTGCTCATTGTAGTCTTGAATTTGAATTCCTGGGCTCAAGTAATCCTCCTGCCTCAGCCTTCTGAGTAGGTGGGACTACTGGTGTGTGCCACCACACTCGGCTTACTCCTCCCTTTGTATCCTGCTGCATCGTTAGTGCATGATACCCACCACCCCCTCAGAGGCCCAGCCTAGTGCTGTCTCTCAGAAAAACACCCTTTGAGTCAACAGAGACAAACTTAGGGGGTGCCTGACTCCAAAGTCCAGGCCTTCCTCCTTTGAGGAACAGCATGGCTTCCCCAGGGAATATCATTCCATGGAGACAAGGCCTGCAGACAGATCTCATTTTCATCTGTTCTTTTACTAGCCCTTGGAGGATTTGCTCCAAAAACCTGAGGCACTGATGTTTACTCCAGCTTTACTTCCCCCATACCTGGTGAACAACTCTGGCCCAGCTTCCACACACCAAGGCCCATGGCTCTAATAGAGCCAGAGAGGCAGTCTCAGCTAAGAAGAGCTGTATCCTCCAGGGACCAGCAGGAACTTCCAGAGATATCCTACAAGCTCCAACTGCTGGGAAAAGCAGACTGGGGTCTTCCTCAGGCTCCACCAAAGATAGCCAAGTGGCAGCAATGACATGAGCACCTCATTCCTGTCCTAGACCCTGGCAATTCCATGAGAGGGAGGCTCTGAATTCACCTCTGTTCCCAGGATGTGTGACATCAATGCACATTGTCATACCAGATACACCTGCCAAACTTCAGAACCCCTGGGAAGTGACCAGAATGCCACTGAATTCAACACCTTAGACCAATGAACATGACCTGGGTCCTGTAGGATAGGAGGCAGCAGCAGTGTATACCCAGACCTGCCCTCAACATCTCTGACTTTTAGGCATAGCAGGAACATTGGAATCTCTGCCCCCACTTTTTTAAAAATCTATTTGGATTCCACACACACAAAAAAAATGATTTTGAAAAAGGAAAATTTCGCTCCCTAAAAACTAGAGTGAACATTTTATCAATTAAAAGTAACAACTCATTTACAGAAAGGGAACAGGCCCAGAAAAGAAAGTCCCTTTCCCTTAGTCTCACAGTTAGATTTTTTTATGGCAAAGCACAGACTAGAATGTATTCTTCCTGAAGCATATGGTATGGACTGAATGTTTGTGTACCTACCCCTCAAATTTATATGTTGAAGCCCAATCCCCAATAGGATGTAATTGGGAGGTGAGGCCTTTGGGAGGTAATTAAGTTATAAAGGTAGAGCCCTCATGAATGGGATTACTGCTCTTACAAGAAGAGAAACAAGAGAGATGATCTCTTTCTTGACCACGTGAGGATACAGCTAAAAGATGATCATCTGCAAACCAGGACAAGAGCCCTCCCTAGACAATCTATCAGCACTTTGATCTTGGACTTCCCTACCTCCATAAATATGAGAAATAAATGTTTATTATTTAAGCCATCCAGTCTATGGTTATTCTGTTATAGCTGCCTAAACTAAGACACCATACTATCCAAGCACATTGACACAAGCCTATTTCATCCCCTGAGAGCTCTGCTAGAGGTTATGAGCTCATGTGACCTGTTGAGTGGCAGAAGTAAGAAAGCAAGTGTCTTAGCTTGTTGAGGCTACTGTAACAAAATGCCACCAACTGGGTGGCTTAAACAACAGGAATGTATTTTTTCACAGGTTTGGAGGCCGGAAATCTGAGATCAAGGTGTTTGCAGGGCTGTTTCCTTGACTTATAGAAGCATCACCCCGATCTCTGCCTTCATGCTCACATGGTGTTCTTCCTGTGTGCATATCCATCTCTGTGTCCAAATGTCCCCTTTTATAAGGACACAGGTTATTAGGTTAGGGCCCATCCCAATTACCTCATCTTAACTTGATTACATCTTAAAAGATGATTTTCATCTCAATAAGATTACATTCTGAGATACTAGGGTTTAGGACTTTAACATATGAATTTAGGGGTTGTCTCAGTCTGTTTTCTGTTGCTTACAACAGAATATCTGAAACTGGGTAATTTATAAAGAAAAGAAATTTATTGCTTACAGTTGTGGAGGCTGAACTGTCTCTCTTTTTCTTTCTATAAAGCCACCAGTCCCAATTCCACGATAACCCATTAATCCATTAATCCATCAATCTATAAATGAATTAATTGGCCACGCACGGTGGCTCACGCCTGTAGTCCCAGCACTTCGGGAGGCTGAAGCAGGCAGATTGCTTGAGGTCAGGAGTGCAAGACCACCTGGCCAACATGGTGAAGCCCCGTCTCTACTAAAAATACAAAAATTAGCCAAGCGTGGTCGTGGGCACCTGTAATCCCAGTTACTTGGGAGGATGAGGCAGGAGAATTGCTTGAGCCCAGGAGGCGGAGGTTGCAGTGAGCCAAGATTGTGCCACTGTACTCCAGCCTGGGCAACAGAGTGAGACTCTGTCTCAAAAAAAGAAAAAAAAGAGAATTAATCAATTCATGATGGCAGAGCCCTCATGACCCAATCACCTCTCAAAGGCCCCATCTCTCAATACTGCCAAATTGGGGTTAAGTTTCAACATGAGGTTTGGAGGAGACAAAATTTCAAACCATATAGCGGGGCTATGGACAAAATTCTACCCGTAACGGTAAGTATAATTAGAGGCCAGAGGTCAGAAATAAATAGTGAGGTCGCAAAAGCCCAAAGGGCTTTCTGAGTGAGACGGGTGCTGGAAAGGGGATAGGGAAGGCAGCTCTGCCCCTTGTTTTCCCAGTCTCTGCCTCTCTGGGTCGTTGGGGAGGAGATGAGAAGAAACACTTTTCCCTCATAGGCAAACACATGTGGCTAGACTTACTGAAGCACCAGGGGTAACAATGCTCTTATTGTCCCCTTCCTTCTCCATCTTCCATGTGCATGTACTCACCAACAGGCATAACGGCATGGCCAGGAACGTCAAACTAGAAACCACCTCGAAGATACTAAACTTCACAAAGTGCTTTCCTTTTACAGTAGAATAAGCCAATTGTCCTTCAATGGACTGGCAGGACATGTAGCTCTCAGTTTCTATAGCTTCAGGGATATCCACAGAATAATAGCAGTTGAATGTCTTTTAAACTCAATTGCTGGTTTTATGCAATCCTATTTGGAGAGCAAGTGGCCCAGAGAGAAGGGACTTACCCAAGGTCACACAGTGAGTTAGAGACAGACTTGGAACTCAGTCCCCAGTTTCCACCTTCTTATAAGAACTATCAGATCATGGGGATACCCAAGCTCAATGTTGTTTTTTCTGTGCTAGCCTCCTTCTAGCATGCCATGTTGCTTACCTCAGTGGAAAGTTAGTAACAGGTTTTCCCACCATATATGGACCCTAAAGATATTCAACAGGGACCTCCTAGAAATACTGTCTTGCTCCAAAGAAGGGACAGCTTGTGGTGGTGTGCGTGTGTGTGTGTGTGTGTGTGTGAAGGGTGTGCATTTCCAGCATCGAAATATGAGCTTTGCACTAGTTGTGTATCTCCACCTTCCCTGTCAGTTGTAACTTCCTACTCTTTGGCAGCCCGGCCTTGATAACATATTGCCTCAAATCTCAGTGCTGCTTCTGCTCTGCTGGTAGGCCTAGGAATCAACGGCAAGTAACGACCTACTATGTGGAGGCCATGAGAAAGATTTCTGAATGAAGTCCACCTGCACATGGACTTTATTGCAACTACACCGGCTGCTGAGATGGTGGGAGGGATTTGACTTTTTCTCATTCTTGATTGAATATCAAACAGATGACAGGGTAGCCAGGTTTGAGATCTTAGATGGTGAGTAAGGAAGGATCTAGAGAACACAATGTCCAAGCTCAGGTTCTAGGGTGCTGAAAGCCTGGAGTACAGCAGAGTACTGGCAGCTGCTTGTTACTCAATAGAAGTGGTACTCAGACACTCGGATCTCACTAACGGTCTCAAAGGATGACATGTTCTCCAGAAACATGGCCTCTTCTTTGGTGAAGTCATTGACCCTGTGCCAAGATGCTTGTCAATTAGCCATTTGACGAAAAGGCAATTCTTCTAAATGTTTCCTCAGCAAGACCCACGACACAAAATTTGTCTGGGGACACTTGCATTTGTCACCTTTCTAACTGCCAGCTATTATTAAAGGCATTAGAATAGACCTAGAGTAACTATTTCACCATTAACATAAAGATGGCTTTTAAGTTGTCCTGGAATAAAAGAAATTGTGAGACTGTTCAAATGTAAGAGGTCAAGAACCCAAGTGAGTGGCTGTTTCATTTTTTTAAGTATCTAATAATTTGCATGTAAGAGATTTCATACAATGAAATGAGTTGAAAAATGAAGGTGGGAATAATGTTTATCTTACCTTTCTAAGTCACAAAAGGTACTACAGAACTGAAATGTCATACCAGCCCAATGAATTTTTATAAGCTACCCATTTTGTACTGTCTGTTAAATAATACTGTTCTTAGATTCATCATCAAAAATCCCTCAGAATCGTTCTTATTTTAAAATCTAACCAGAAAATATAGTTGACATCCAACTCATCAGCATTCTTATTAATGTGTGTCAAGCTATATGGCAGGTCCTATACTGTGTACCATATATTTTATCTCCTGCATCCTTGGCAACGACCCAGTGTGGCAGATATTAACACCATTTTATAGCTGGGGAAACTGAGGTCCAGAGAATTGAAATATCTTGCTCCAAGTCACACAACTAATAAGAGGTAGAGCCAGAATTTGAACTGAGGTATTTCTTCTTTTTTGCTACTATCTGTTCAATAATCAACCAATAGTAGCCATGTGGCTCTGCATAGACTATGGTGGGAAATCACTTGGCCAAGGTTTGCTCCCCCTTTGTAGAAGATGAGAGACCAGTTTTCACAGCCATATAAATTGTGAAATGCCTCTCTCGCATAATCTCATATTTGGTCCCATTGACAAGCCAATCCAACATTTTCTTCCAATGAGACATAGAAAGTTGGAATATTTATTTATGAGAACGAGTCTACATCACCTTCCAATTAGGGGCTCACATGCCCTACTTGGGCAGCCTACCTCCATAACATTAACACCTTGAGATGACTTGTATCTAGAGGCATACCATTTGTATTTACTGAATAAATAAATGAGATTATTATTCATTATTACAAAGGGGATGCTGCAAAAAGGGGGTCTCTGACAGTGAACTGGGTGAGACCCAAATGAGATGAAAGAGTTTTAGGAATGAAACAGTGTGTTTTCAGGAGCAGTGTGTTTCTCCAGCCCCAAGACCCTTTATAGAAACAAATTTGTTTGGAACAGATTTGCTGTGTTGATGAATTCACCCATTATGACTTGGGCAACATGGGTGAGACAACATGTTCTCCTGGCACAAATACCGATCTTAGATTCTCTTCTCTTCCTGTGGGTAGAAAGCATTTCTGAAAGAAATGGGAAACATCTGGGGAAAAATACAACAAAGCGGTGAACATCAGATGCCATCCACCAGATTAGCTCCTGAGATACATTTCCTGAGGAAGAAGAACACAACCTTAATGCAATTAGATGACAATACTGCAAGCCAACCAAGAAGCTAAAAGGTTTAGGTATCTCCCTAAGTTCTAAGTGGCTTTGTGTGCACCAGTTTAACTTTCCACCAAGATTTTAGGAGTGTGACATTGGAGCCTATGAATTTAGATAGCTCATTGGTTGTGGGACACTAACCACGCACCAGTATCAAGTATGTTTTTAGATCCCTCAAACATGAGGAGAATTCAGGTAGAGTATTGCATGCTACCACCTACTGCAGACTCGGACACAGCTCTGAATTTCTATTATGGCCTTATTTATAACTTTCAGACTTCATTAATTTGGGTAGAATTATGATTTGGCTTTGGCTTTTTATTAAGGTTGTGTGTGACAAAAAAGTTATGCTTTCAATTTGTAAAAGCAAATACCTACGTGAGACCTGTCATGGCCAGCATGAGCTGCAGACAGTCACGCTGATGGGGTTAATTGCCATTTTAAAATAATTCACTGCCTCCAGATTGATTCTTCTGTGTTTTGTCTTTACACAACATTACTGTTTCTCACTCTAATTATTCAATGCTAAGTTCATACTTCTGAAGCAGGAGATTGGAGTCAGAGGAAATGGTGTTTGATTTGTTGCCATGGAAACATCTCGCTGTAGATGGACTCTAATCCCATGACAACTCTCTCTCTCTTAAGAACCATTTTTTTCTGACATAATAAAAATCTGATCAAGGTCAGATTTAATAACCATCTCAATTCCCCGACTTTCTCCTGTATTTGGTGTCAGAGAGTCATTTTGACAAAGCGATGATTAAAAGAACTTTTGCTTGCTTTCTGTATAAAATTATTGTTTATGCCTCTAAATATATAAACCTGGCTCTGTGTCACATTAATTTGCAGCCATACCCTTTGTTATTGCATAATTTCTGCATTAAAAAAGTTACTTATAATTGAATTGTTTGCACTATGTTGGCAGATGTTAACATTTTGTGGTGCATTGTTCTTGCTAATACATACATTGGGGTATCAATAAAGCTTATCATTTGTCAACAAATGGTGTTTACAGTATTAACAAATGCCACGATCATTTATCTTTCAGTTTGTATTGTAATAATTTTCTGAACTGATTATCATGTAAGTATGCAGTTCATTGAGATGGGAACTGTGCAATGCTGCACTGAAATGAAATGAAATGCTTCATGTTCAGAAAGGTAAATGAGAAATTGCCTGCAGTGTGACCTTAAGCAAGGCCCTTCCTCTCTGGGCCTCTGTGGCCTCATCTGTACAATGAGATTTTAGACCACATGATCTCTAAGGACTCCTCCTACATCTGGCAGACCCTGATCTTCATCAGCCTTGCCGGGTAAGGGTCATAGGCTCCTGCCTGGACCCTCTTTCTGAGGGTTTTATGAATCCTGGGTCTGTAACCGAGTCTCCTACTTGCCATGCATATGGCACTTGGCCAGTCTGAAAGCTTTTAATTTGCTTCATTATAGCCTTACACTCATCTTGTGAAGGGGAAGGGCAGGGATTTTTAACTCCAGTTTATAGGTGAAGAGTCTGGGACTCAGAAACGTTAAACCACATGTTCAACATCACACAGCTTCTATTTAGTATAACTAGATCTCATATTCCCATTCTTTCACACGGTCAATGGAGTCATGTTAGTGAAACACTGCTAGGTATACAGATGCATCGAACACCATTTGTAGACAAATGATAAACTTTATTGATACCCCTAATGTATGTATTAGCAGGAACAATGCACCACAAAATGTTAACATCTGCCAACGTAGTGCAAACAATTCAATTATAAGTAACTTTTTTAATGCAGAAATTATGCATCAAACCCCTTTCAGATTCACAATTTTTTTTTTTAAGACAAAGTCTCACTCTGTTGCCCAGGCTGGAGTGCAGTGGCGTGATCTCAGCTCTCTGCAAGCTCCTCCTCCCAGGTTTACGCCATTCTCCTGCCCCAGCCTCCTGAGTGGCTGGGACTACAGGCACTGGCCACCACGTCCGGCTAATTTTTTTGTATTTTTAGTAGAGACGGGGTTTCACCGTGTTAGCCAGGATGGTGTCGATCTCCTGACCTCATGATCCACCCGCCTCGGCCTCCCAAAGTGCTGGGATTACAGGCGTGAGCCACCGCGCCCAGCCCAGACAATTTTGAATTCCAGCTGCACTTCTTACTACTTATGCATCCTGAGGGAAATTATATCAACTATCTATACCTCAGTTTCTTTATCTGTAACAAGGGGAAGCTAACAACAACACCTCACTGGGCTTCGAAGTTAATTAAGGGAGATTATGCATGGAAAGTGCTTACCACAGAGCCTGGCACACAGTAGGTGCTTATAATGGCAATGACAATGAGCATCATCATCACCTCCACTATCCACTCCAGAATATTACACCAAAATATTACAAATCCTGCTCAGTGGTCTCCACTGGCAGGGAGTAGGGTCCTCCCAGCTGTCCACCCTCTGACAGCTACCTTTACATACTCACTGGAGATCCAGGGGCTTTCTTTTCCTTTCCCAGGCTTTTGCACATTCATCATTCCCAATGACTACAAATCTTACAGAAAAATACCAAACATAAAATAAACCAGATGCCTACATGCTTAAATCATTCCATTCCTTGACAGTCATTCTGTAAACATGGTTCTGATCTCCCTTTAGACATAATGGGC
Organism: Homo sapiens; assembly: GCF_000001405.40. Taxonomy (NCBI): domain Eukaryota; kingdom Metazoa; phylum Chordata; class Mammalia; order Primates; family Hominidae; genus Homo; species Homo sapiens. The sequence goes on from NC_000023.11 coordinate 149,298,359, forward strand.
CCATGATTTGTGTGACAAATGTAGCAGATGCAAATATTTTTCTTGCCTACTTTTCTGCTTTCCTTCCACGAGTCATCAGAGCTTGTTCCACAGAAATCTGTGAAAGTGTCATTCTCTAGAGTGAGAGTCTACATAAGGCCAGGTCACCTGAGAGACCATCATCCATCTGGACAGGGATTTTCTCCCATACTTGACTTGCTTTGCAATTCTATCAATGTCTGAATACACTGGCCTGGTGCAAGCCTTAGAGTGATGTAGAGGGCGGATGAACAACTTTTCATTGCTTAGGAGGATGCAGCTTCATCTACCTGCCTCCTAGCAAGGAAAACCTTGGTCCTCAGTACTTTAAATTGTTTTTCATACTTGTTCTTGTTTATCGGTTGCTGTGTGCCAAGGCATAGAAGACAACCCAATTCTGACTCTGGGGCCTCCATGAATTGTTCATGCAACTCTCCTCTCCTGGCTTCCCATCTGATACCCCCCAACACACACACACACACACACACACACACACACACACACACACACACACACACACCATACTCACCTTAAAATAAGTAGCTTGGATGAAATGGCTTCCAATAAGCCCTTTTGTGCTGACAGTGGGGAAGTGGGTAATTTGTCTCAGCCACCCTGCTGGATACACGTCCATCCAGCAGGACTGTGAATAATTGCTCTCAGGGCTACAGGCTCAAGGAGGGGCAAACATTGAGTCATTGTTGCCCACTGCTCTTGTAAAACTCACTTATTTTTCCATTTAAAATGAACCAATGAAGAAATACGTTAAACAAGAAGTGAAATATTTTACAGACTTATAAGACTTATGAACAAGGTTTTGCTCTCTGAATGTTAGTGCAGAGAGTACACTAAAAATATACACAAGGTGGTAACTGGATTATACTCTCTTCAATGGCCATAACAATACCTTCCTCTCTGATGAGATTTTAAATAATTGAGTGAACTGTGGCAGGTAGTAACAGCACATAAGATGATATGGTTAGGCTTTGTGTCCCCACTCAAATCTCATCTTGAATTGTAATCCCCATAATCCCCACATGTCAAGGGAGAGATAGGTGGAGGTGACTGAATCATGGGAATACTGTTCTCGTGATAGTGAGTTCTCACAAGATCTGATGGTTTTATAAGGGGCTTTTCCCCCTTCACTCAGCACTTCTTCCTGCTGCTTTGTGAAAAAGGTGTCTTGCTTCCCCTTTGCCTTCCACCATGATTGCAACTTTCCTGGGACCTCCCCAGCCATGCAGAACTGTGAGTCAATTAAATCTCTTTCCTTTATAAATTTTCCAGTCTTGGGCAGTTCTTTATAGTAGTATGAAAAGGGAGTCAGGTAAAGAGACCAAATTTCTATTTATCTCCCAACTCCTACTCAGTCCTCCCTCATGGATTATCCAGTTTGATTTTGGGCTAGCCAGCCTGGTTTTGTGGCAAGTCTAAGTTTACAAAAATGTTTTAAAAGTACTACTACCTTTATAATATCCTCCAAATGGGTGATCTCTCCATTTACTATGCTACTTCCATGATTCAAACCCTCACCACTTCTCTCCTTGTCACTATACCAGCCTCTTAGCTGGTCTCTCTGCCCTCTGTCACTCTCCTTCCATTAGGGAGATCTTGCTGAAACCTAACTCTCTCAAAAATAAAATGCACACCTTATTATGTCCTTGAAATCCTTTATAAACTGTCTACTCTTTTCAGAATAAATCTCAACCTCTTAAGGGGGGCCCACTAGGCCCACCCGATTTGACTCAACCCACCTCTTTGACTCAACTCTTCTGTCATGTGCCAAATAATATCACCCTCTGGCTCATTCATCAATTAATTCATTATTTCTCTTCCTCTGCTTGTCCCAACCCTTGTGTCTAGAAAAAGGGATCACTGGCATTAATTAAATACCTTCTATGGTATATTACCTACAAAAACGGCCACAGCAATCTCTTCCCTTCCTATATACACACAATGTTCCTCCCATCAAGTTAATTTGCTCTCCCCTTGACTCTGGAATACATAGCCCTGTGACTTGCTTTGGCTAATAGAATGTGACAGAAGTGACACTGTGACTTATAAGCTTAAGCCTTAAGAAGGCTTGGAAGCTTCTGTTTTCGCTTTTGAAACGCTCACCATTGTGTAAGGAAGCTCAGCCTAAACTACTAAATAACAAAAGAACACTTGAAGAGAGAGGCCCTGGGACCACATGGAGAGAGACAATCATTCATCCAACATTCAAGGACACAGCAATGAACACTCATAGGTCCTCTTATATGATAAGCAGAACATGGGCTGTGATCAAAGCAGAGAATGGGCTGCAGAGACTAGATATTTCAATTCTACCAGTTATATTGCCTGCGTGACCTTGAAGAAAGCATATAACTTCTCTGGATCTCAGGATCCTTGACTGTACAATGAATGTGAAAGGAATAGCTCTGCTTACCTCACGGGGCTATGATCAGACCCAGGTGAGATTCTGTGGCCTGAGTAAAGGGCTCCATCTATCATGAAGTGCTGAATCTAAGTAATGTGATGTCCCAGTTGGCTCAAGCAAGGACTGAGTAATCTGAGCACGTCTCCCAGATAATGTGAAGTGGGGACAGAAAGTTTGAGGAGGATTTCACAAGGAATGAGGAAAATATGAGGAAGTTTCCCCAGGTTATAAGGCTCAATTACAATAAAGAGAGACAAATCTGTCCCTTGATAACCAACCCAGCTGTGCCTGTCTCTATAACGAAGGTAATAATGGTCCTTTCCCCATTATTTACCCAAAGTGCCACTGCAGAGTCTAGAACAGGTTAGTGGACTCCCAGTGCTGAAAAGAAAATGACCAATCATATGGGGCTACCAGATATTGAACTGCTGTCAATTGCCTGGTGACCAAAGCCATGATTGTTCTCTCTTGCTCCCCCAGTTTCTCTACATTCCAGTCTTAATTTTGTAAGAATGCATGTCAAAAAATTTTATGGCAAGAACCAAGAACTGAAATAAAAGTCACCACAAGCAAATAAGAGCAATTGCTGTCAGAAATCACATGCAGATCGGTTTTGGCAAATATTGGGAAATGTCTCACAATGCTCCAGTGAGCACTGAGAAATGCCCCCAAAGAGACCCTGCTGACAGTATGGCAGAAAGGTACAGGTGAGGGCAAACAGCAGAAGGCAGGAGCTCGCTTCCACTTGACAGAAAGTTCCATAACAAAATCTCCATTACCTTTAATGATTAGTTTTCAGTTTTGCCTTCCTAATTAGTGATTTCACCCATTCTCTTTGGAAAAAGCACACTGCACTAGAAGTCAGGAGACCCCTGTTGGAATCCCTGGTTTGCCTCCTACAAGCTGAGTGAGCTTGGGCAGAGGCTTTGACTTCTCTGATTCAGTTTTCTCATCTGTGACATGGGGTGAATCTCCACCTACCCCACAAGCTTGTGTGAGAGAAGGGAGGGCAATGTAATTTGAAGGCTGCAAAATGCTAGAAAAATGGAAGTGATTTTTATGATTAAATCAAGACTCGGAATTTACACATTTGCTGCCTGCTCTCGAGGTTGAAAAATAGAGCTCAAAGGTCAAGTGCAATTCATTAAAACCTAATTAGAAGACAAATTGTCTTTCATTTAAACGTGATACAGAATACAGTCGCTTAAGGAATAAGGATAGTTTATTTTAAACTCTTTGTTTCAATTCAAAGCTTCCAGGATTTATGGAGCAGCTGCTCTGTGCAGGCCTTCTGAAGGGGACACAAAGAAGCAGAGGGCACCATGCCCACCTTCCTAGAGCTTGCAGTCCAATATGGATGAGAAGACAAGGCCACAAATAAACAAGAGACAGAGCATGCTTGGGGGCTGAAATAGCTACAAGACTAATGCCGTAGGCTAGGGTTCCCTTGTGTGCAGGAGTGTTATCTAATTGGGAAGAAGTTAAGACAGTACTAAAAGAAGGACTTGAAGGAGCAGCATGTGTGTTGGCAGAGACAGGCAGCAGACAGAAGCAAAGTAGCAGAGGTGGCAGAATGTGGGCCTAATCCAGAAACCCCCAGGGTCTGGCCTGGCTGTGGCACGTGTACCCCACAGACAAGCTGAAGACATGAGGCCTTTCCTTGAAAGCCAGGAAGATCAAACTCAGGAATTAGACCTTCAGTCAGTTGTCAGTGCAGAGTTGTAGACAGCACAGGACTGATCAGAAATGACTCCATGTACTTTGATTACCCTCTCCTGACTTAAATGACTCCAGAGTTTTCCTATTTCATTGTCATGCCCAAATGCAAGATTATACATACTTGATCTGACCTTGGTCTTGAACAACCCAGCTTTTTCACTCAGTTAGCCAGGCTTCCTTTCCTTCCATAATCATTTATTGAGCACTGTGATGGCTTTTTGATGTGTCAGATATTTTACACTCATGGGGACTCAGCTACAGTCCCCATTTAGTCAATCAAACATGAATCTAGGTGCTACGGTAGAAGGGATTTTGCAGATGTGTTTAAATTTCCTAATGAATTCACTTAAGTTAACTTAAGGGAGATTATCTTGGGTGGGCCGGACTTAATCAGATGAGTCTTTGAAAAGAGAGTTTAGGCCTTCCATGAGGCAGAGATTCCAAACAGCTCCTGCTCCAGGGTTTCAGCCTGTCCATGGTCTTCTCTCCTGACTGCTGCCTGTGGATAACAAGCTTCAGCCAGTGTCTGTGAAGTTCTAGCCTGCTAGCCTGCTTGTGATCTTTCCTTTCTGGCTGCCTGCTCTGCAGACTTCAGACTTATTTAGCCAGGCCTGACAATCACATAAGCTAGTTCCTTGCATACACACACACACACACACACACACACACACACAAGTTGAGTATCACTTATCTGAAATTCTTGTGACCAGAAACATTTTGGATTTCAGATTTTTTATAGATTTTGGAATATTCGTATTATACTTACTGTTTGAGCATGCCTGATCTGAAAATTCAAAATCCAAAATGCTCCAATGTGCATTTCCTTTGACCATCATGACCACGCTCAAAAAGTTTTGGATTTTGGATTGTTTTGGATTTCAGATTTTTAGATTATGGATGCTCAACCTGTATATAATACATAGTGTATATAATATATATTATGTAGTATATATAATAGTGTAGTTTTATATATATATATATATACACACACACATGCATATACATATATATTTAGAAAGATAGATAGATAGATATGCTATGTCTGTGTATCTTACTGTTCCTTATGTTTCTTTGGTTGAATCCTGACTGACACAAGGAACTGCCCAGTACAAAACTCTGTGCAGGGTACTAATGGTATAGTGGTGAGCGAGACATAGTCCCTGTCACCAAGGAGCTCATGAGTTATTGGAGATGAAACAGGCAAGTCAACTGGCATTTCCAGATAGCAGATCAGTGCTGGGAAAGGGTGGCATGGGAGCACAAAACAAAAGGACATTTAACCTAGAATGGGGAGGTAAGGGATGCTATAGGGAGATATGATGACAAAGTAGAAACCTGAAGGATAAGGAATTTGCCAGATTAATGGGGAGAAATGAAAGGTGTTCCCAGCAGAGGAAGCATTCCCAATGCTGAGAACATCTTGCTACTCATTCAAGAAAATTCTGAAGTAAAATACTCTGAACTCAATAAATATTTGTGGGATTAATTACTTGATACACATAAGGGAAAAAGAAGACATTGCCCTGGGTAGGAATATAAGCCAGGACCAAGCATTGCTTATTGAAGTAAGGAAACAAATGAGAAACAAACAATTCCAGAAATTGAGAAGAAGAGAGAAAAAAGTAAGGTCTGCTAAGATCCTTTGAATAAGTAGTTAACCTGAGCACAGTCTAGGAAAGGCCCACTGGACTTCCTTCCACACGCAGAATCTTGCCTTTGATACTACACATCAATTTGTTGAGACCTGTACCAAAGTGACAGTGTAGTTATAAGATGAAAGAAGCCCCCGAGGTACAGAGTGTTGATGAATATAGGCCAAAGGAAGGTCAAGGTCACATGGTGGAAAGGAAGATCATGTCTGATAAAGGGGACTATATCTCCCAGAGCAAAAGACCTTGGCCATATTTGTAGATATAGTCTTTCAAATAGTTTCAATTTTTATTCAAGCTTTTAATGTAATTATTTGGCAGTAATCCAGGAAACAAAATATAAAAACAAATGTAAAGGGAAAGAAGGTATGGCTGCCTTAAGTTTAAGAGAAAGGACTGATGCAGTGCAAAATGGAATCTAGCCTAGAAAGATAGATCTGATAATAATAGTGAAAGGTGTTTAAAAGTGCCTGACGCAGCTCTACAGAACAAGATTGGTGAGATATTGATCCCTTGAGGAAATGACCAAGCGCACCAAGCAGCAATCCCCAGGAAGGTTGCTCTAAAAAAGAGGAAAACCAACCAATCTTTTTTCGTGGTGGGTCAATTCTGCTGATTCAACTGACATTTAGCTGTTGACTTTTTAGAGTCTGAAACTATACTTAGCGAAAGAAAATTGCACTGACAAAAACTATGGACATAATAGTAGTAATACACCATGTTATTCCTCTTGTTTTTCTTCCAAAATCTCCGAGGTTAAGCATGCTTTATCCATCCACTTAACCATGCTTAATGCCAGGCACTAGAACTCTAGAGATGAATCTGTCGTGGTGCTTGCCCTCAAGGAACATTCTCCTGAGAGGCTCCAAGAGATAAAAGTGGAGGAGAAACTAGGAGAAAAGTCTACATGGGACTCCAAAGGAGTCAGTTCTACTGAACAGGGGATGGTTCCCAGATAGAATGGCTGTTTGCCAGTTGGACAACCGTCATGAAGAGGTGAGAATGTTCCAGGCAGAATGAGTCATGGGAGGCAAGATTCAGAGTCTTGAAACTTCTGGAACTAGGGGTATATCCTACTGGCTAGAGAGTTAGAGGGGAAGGGAGTGCTGAGAGGGAGGTAAGAGTGATCCTGTAACCAGTGGTTCTCAATTCTGTACATAACAGTCACCTGGAAACACAGAAAATTAGCAATACATGGAACCCAATAGAGACCACTGAGCCAGGATTTGTAATATTTTGGTGCAGACCAACATTGGCAAACCAAGGATGGAGACATTGAAGAATCCTTGCAGGGTTCTTTGATGATGAATGCCATGTTCATCAGACCTTGAATGATATTTAGAGTCTTAATAGGCATTTCAGCCACAAGTGTTTTCCATTAAAACCTTTACACGTGCTGACTGCTATTAAATTAAAAAAATTTAACCAGCCTTTTTCACAAAGCCCAAAGTGTATTTTCTGTGTAATTGTGTTGACACAACAGGGATTTAGTCAACTCAATCATGGAAATCCTCACTCTCAATTTCATGAACCTCTTATTTTTTTCATTTTTCCTACTTTTGTTTGCCATTGCTCAGTACAGAGGCCTTCCCTGTGACTTCCCTTCAGCATCAGCAATAGCATTCAAGAAACTGGCATTGCTCACTCTGAAGAGCTGCGGGAAAAAGAGGTAAAGAAGTGAGAACTTCTCCAAAGCTGTTCCAGGGGAGAGGGCTGCAGATTGGAAGTCCTGCATAAGCTGACGTCTGTGCTGAGAATGAAGGTTGTTCCAGAAATTGAGAAGAAGAGAGAAAAAAGAAAATATTTCTGGCACCATCACCAGATAGTTCTCAAATAGGTACACAAGTTACCCTTAAACATATAAAAAGGTGGTCAACTTACTCATATTAAGATAAATGCAAATTAAAGCTACACTGAGACTTCTGGTTCCAGGAAAAAAATAGGATTTTTTGCACACTTCCAGTAATGGGGGGGACATGGCATTTCTCCCTAAGTACAGCTGAAAACCCTGGACACTATATATAAAACAAACATGAGAAGATTTTGAACATCAGAGAGAAGGAGGCATTCCAGGACCTGGGCATGACATGACAGTGAGTTTCCTGCTTTTTTTTCCCCCCCCCTCATATATTCCACCGAGAGTGAAGAACCTGGCAATGTGGAAAGGCCAATAGGTACAGGAAAAAAGGAAATTTCCACAAAAGTCTACTTTCTTCAGCCAAAGGACCCGGAAAGGAGCAGCCACATTGAGACAAAACTATCGAACAACAGTCACTCAATTTTAGTCAAACATCACAGAAATAACTATGGCCTCAGCCCCATTCCAGCCAACAAAGACTGAGTGGGGAGCCTAGACTTCCATCCTCATCACACTGAAACCAAGCACCACAAGAGTGGTGTCGCAGAAGGCCAAGTGATGAGCTGGGATTTTCAACTCCCTCTCCCCAGCAGTAAAGAGGCTGCCATCATGCTGTGTCACCAGAGGGCACATGGAGCCCATTGGTAACAAGAAGCCCCATCCCTCTTGCTACAGTGGTGTCAGAGGACACTTAGTGGAATCTATATTTTCACCATCATCCATTGGTGACAAAGCTACCCCCAATGGTGTCAGGGGAGACCATACAGGGAAGCAGAATTTCTACCTCTGAACAGCAGTAATAAGGTGTCCTTCCCACTCCCTGCTTGAGTGGTATTATTGAAGGTATCTCCTGCTGGCAGAAATCAACCCTGCCCCCCTATGCAGTATCAGTGGAGGCCCTGTGAAGGGTAGTAATGAGGTGTCTTTCCCCATCTGGACCAGGGATGTATCAGTGGAAGCCTGGTGGGGAGTCCGAATGAATTTCTACCTCCGTCCAGCAGTAATAAGAATCCCTGAGTGTCAACAGAGGCCCAGTGGAGAACCTAGAATTCCATCCTCAACTAGCAGCAATGAAGCAGCACTCCTGTTCTCAGTCAAGCTGGAACTCTATTAAATACGTTTGTTGGTGGTAATGGTATTTATAGGGGTGACAGCTCCAAAACTACTTTTTGTGTATTATGGAAATGAGCAAAGAATAAATTCGTTAATGTTGTTGGAAACTAAAGTTCTCACTCTGGAAAAAAAGTTATATAAATATAAAATAGAGGAAGACAGAACGCTGAATTAAAACTAAAAGTATCATTATCAAGTTACAATTTAAAATTTGGGGTGGGTACGTGTGTGTGCGTGTGTGTATATATATATTTCTATCTCTGTCCATTGAAAGAAGCTAGAAACATGGATACCCTATTGACAATGAGCTCACCTAGCGACCAAATATTGGTTTAAACTCCCCACTCAAAAGAGCCAGAGCTTCTTGGAAAAGTGGCTGATTCCAGGCTAGGGCAGAGTAGGGGATCCCTGTTGAGGCAGCCACCCCATCGTAGTCAGTTGTCTGTTGGCATCTTCTGTGATAACAGCTGACTGGACTACAGGACAGTGGACCAAAAGGCCAAAGGAAAACCAATCATTTGGGGCCTGAGCCTGATCGTGATCGGGGCATCCCAAGAAGCCTCTCAATCAGGACTGCCTTGCTATGCTCCCTCAGTATTAAGTTCTCTTGAAGACTTTGGCCTGCCTCAACAGTGCCACAGGAATTAATAGAAAATGTTTGCATCCTCACCTGGGCTGAATGTTCAGCAAGGACTGGACATAGTATTAGGGACAGCCAAAGCCAGAGCAGCCCCAGAAGGACTATGGTTCCCCAGTGTTCCCTCAGTGTCTCTTGAAGTTCTTTTTGGCTTCTCTTTTGGGAAACTCAGATGGTTCTTACAACAGAAAACATGGTCTCCAACAAGCTTGGGTGAGGCCTAATAGGGTTTGATCATTTTGGTTACCTCCTTTGGTTTTTGGCAACTTTATGTTGGGAAGTGGTTCTCACTCCTTCATGCAGTGGGAGGCTAGAATGGCCGTCAATCTGGGAGGGAAGCTTTCTCAGTATCTTGTATGATGTGTGCCAGGAGGAGGTGCCCACAGCTGCTCTGCTGGCACTGAGATGGGTCAGGGTGTGGACTCTGACCTCAGTAGTGGCTGGCCTTCTCAGTTGGGCAGTCCTTCCTTCAGCTGTCTATTTTTTAAGGAGCACTTATTTTGTACCAGCTCAAAAAATACTGAGAAGCTATTTTGTTCTGGGAACTAGAGGTCCAAAGATAAAGAAGTTGTGCCTTGTTCTTAAGGATCCCAGTCTTTGGCCATAGAGAGATAACTAAACTAACGAGTACAACATGGTGTGGAACATTCTGCAATTGAGGTAAGATCAAAATGCACAGTAACACTCAGGACCACCTTTCACCTCTTAGATTGGTAAAACTGCCTAGAGGAGACAGATACAAAGCAAATAATACCACCAAGCCTTGCATAATTACAAACCATGAGAAATGCTATGACAGGATGCTATTCTAGAGGGGAAAAAGCTGAGTTCAGTTTGGACATGTTGAGTCTGAGGGACCTGTGAGCTGGTACCTGCACTTTGTATTACAGAAGAGATGTAAGTAGAAATCTAGTCCAATGAATAAGGAGGCTTGATCTTGTACCTCTTAACCCTCTTCTCACTGGCAAGGTAAGTAACAGAACCAAGAGTTGCAAAGGATACAAAGTGCCCTTGGGCAACTGTGAATTAATTTAATAAATTTTATGCCTGATAAATTCAGGGCTATACTTGGGCTGGTAAATGACAGGGTCCTACAGATTCTCTAAGTGAAATACAGACTGCTGGAATTCCAAGGGTCTTAGAGATTGCCTACTAAAAATTCTTCACTTTACAGATAAGAAACCCTCAACCCAGAGAGCAGATCTGCTCAAGTTAATATGGCTGGTTTTTGAGATGCTACACACTTAGGTTTTCTTTAGTGACTTTTTGACCTTGGGCAAGCTCTTTAAGCCCCTTGTGCTTCAGTTTCCTCATGGTTAAATGAGGAATAGTGATAGCATCTACTCCATAGGCATGTTGTGCTACTTCTTTGGTGGCACTGGAGTCTGTGTCCTCTAGCTGGAGTCTTCCTTCAAAGGGTCAGCCAACCTAGTGAGTACTCTTGCAGGCAGAAGATGACTGGACCCTGTGTTTGCCCAGAGGCAGTTTTAGTATTAGGGCTTCCTGCACAGAGATCTGACATGTGGGGGAAATGCCTAGACTGCCATATCCATTGGATTACAAGTTGAATTGATAACAACTATAGTCATAACCATTCGCACTGAGCATCAACCACGTGCTGGGCACTGTGTTAGAGACTTTATTCATTGCATGGCTAACCATAAAACCAGTCTCACAAAGTAAATAGGATCATTCCTATTTTACAGAAGAAAGTGAAGCAAGTGAGAAACTAAATAAATATTCCAAGAAATATGACAAGTGACTATCCTTCATATATAAAAACTCTCATAAGTCAGAAAGTGGAAAACAACACAAATGAGGCAAAAGACAAAAATAGACAATGATAACATATGCACCATATATATTTAATAAACTTTAAAATGCCAACATGATTGGCAATCAAAGAAATGCAGATGAAAATAAGACAACATTATTTGCCCATCAAATTAGCAAAAATTTTAAACATGAAAATACATAAAATTGGCAAAGCAAATGGGATATGACTATTTATACACTTATGTTAAATTACCAACTGGTAAGACTTTTCTGAAAGGCAATTTGGCAAATTATATGAAAATCTTGGAAAATCTATATTGTTTGACTCAATATTTCTATTTACAAAAATGTATCCTACAGGGATAATTAGAAAAATGCATCCATTTGTGAATGAGAGCATTTGACACTATTATTAAAAGTCTAATTAGTCAACTAAACTCTGGCATATTTACGTGATAGAGTACAACTCGGCATTAAATTATGTTTTTAAAAGTATATTGTTCATAATATAATTAATAAGCAAAATAAAACAGGATACAAAATATCCAGCATGACCTCAATCTTATGTTTGTACAGACATATACACTTAATACATTCATGCATATGTCTATATGTTCATAGAAAAATTCTGAAATAACTCACAAAAATATTTTAACAGAAGGATCTCAGGGAGGTAGGAATATTGGCGATTTTAAAATTTTCTTTTCTGCATTTTCCAATTTTGTTCAGTAACTTTACAATCAGAAAATGCATATATTTACCAAAAGAAAACTGTAAGTTATTCTAAATGAGTTTGTACCTCCTGGCCTGGGTAAATTCTGCCCCAAGGCTCATCATAATGACAGAATAATTAAAGTCTAGCAATCCTTGAGAAATTTCTCTTGTAAGAACAGGAATGATATTGGGACACTAGAAAAGACAACATTCTATCCCAATTTTACAATATGAGAAGGTGGCAAATTCTATAAATCAGATAGTTTAGTGGATTTATAACCAGTTGAATGACTGCCTGTATGCCTCAAATTCTAATTAACTCAAACATGTTAGAGGCAGGGGGACCTGAGGCCCATCTAGTGTAACAATTTCCAACAAACTCTTGGATGCAGACGTTGATGGCCTATAGATCAAATTGACAAATATCACAAAGCTGGGAAGGAAATAAACTATATCAAAGAGAATAAGGACACACAGTTATTTAAATGGAAGAGTTGGTGAAAAAATATGAAGTTTAATAAAGATAGTGCAAAGTTCTGCACTTAGGTCCAAAAAGTCAATGTATTTAGGGGAAGACCTGAATAAATGGCATTCATAAAAATGAATTGTGGGTTTTTAATAAGGACCAGTTGTATCCCAAACAATTGTGAGATGGGGCTGCCCTGAAGACCAGTGTCTGCTAGGGCTCTCTGAATAGAATATGCGGCTCAGAACAAGTGAGGTGATGAACCAGCCCAACTCTGTCCCAAGGAGACCACAGCTGGAGGGACTTAGTCAGTTCTTGGCAACAACATGCTCTCAGAGGGACATTGAATTCTTGAACTTTGATAAGAGTAGGTGACCAGCAAGGCAAGCTGGCTCATCCGTCACAGGGATTTTTGAACTGGAGATGTTTGATCCAAATAAGAGAAAGATTGAGCTGTGCTCAGGGATTTGGCTTACTCTGGGTGGTTCCAAGAGCATCTGAATAGGGTTCAGCACAAGGAAAGTCTTTGAATGGGTATCTGCTCCCTGAGGGAGTAACAGCCTGAATGGCCACTCAGGTGAACACTAGTTCACCTATACTGAAACAGGAGAGCTCCCTGAACCCCCTCGCATGACATGCGACAGGTGTGTAGCTTGTCTCTTCGGCCACCACACACTCAAACCCCTTACAGTGGGGGAAGCATGCAGACAGGCAGGAGCATGAACCAGGGCAAGTGTTTTTGGGCTCCAGTCCCATGGTAGTGTCTAGGACTGGGTGCCTGTGACTCCTGGAGCCCCAGTGAGCATGTTACAGTGCTTTTATTTTTAGCTCTGCTGTTTACAGATGGCTTAAGTGTTAACCAGCTCAGCGCCCTCTTGGTATCCAGGTCCTTGTCTGGCATCCAGGGAGAATCAGGTCACACACAGACTTGAAGGATGGAGAATGCGGAGGTTTTATTGAATGGTGAAAGTGGCTCCTTCATCATTGGCTTCACCATCCCATTGGCTCCCAACAAGATGGATGGGGAACTGGAAAGGGGATGGAGTGGGAAGATAATCTTCTCCTGGAGTTTGGCCATCCTGCGGCTGATCTCCTCTCCAACCATCCCTGACTGAACTCCTCTCAACATCCAGACAGACGCTCCTTCTCTTCTCTCCTTCTCTGCCATGCCACTCTTCTGTTCCTCTGATCTTCTGCTCATCTTCTCGTGGAGCCTGGGGTTTGAGGCTTATTTGAGTACAGGATAGAGGGGTGTGGTGAGCCAAAAGGCTACATTTGGGAGCAAATTCAGGAATGCCCTTTCCCTTTTAGGGCTGCGGGTTTCCAGGCTTAAGGGTGAGGTCTTTGCTGGGGAAACATCCTATTTTAACCAGTATTTCCTTGCTTCCTGTCCATATCAATATGTCCTCCAAGATTCATTCAGTGAGCCATTTCCCTGATATTCGCCTAAATAAAAGCCCTAGTGTTATGTAGACCTAGAAGTCTAGCAGTTGCTGGTCTATAATTATTAGGTAGGTGCAAAAGTAATTGCAGTTTTTGCAAATACTTTTAATGGCAAAAACCGCAATTACTTTTGCACCAACCTAATCCTAAAATGTAGCTGGAAGGAGTGATCTATTAAAGTGACCCTTGCAAAGCCATGTTTGTGGTTCTTCCTTGGTCCCAAGATGGGGAGACAGGACAAAGTATACAACAAATGCTCTCTTAGTTTTCTCCTGTCACGAAAACCAAGCCCCACTTTCCAGGTGATAAGAATGGAGAAACAATTATCTAGTAAGTGGCTTGTCTCTTCCAGGCTTCTGTTCAGATCCATTCCACATAATTTCTAGAAAATGTTTCACAAATCATAGATGTATCAGGTATGTCACTTGCACAAAATTTTTCATTAGTTCCTCAGTGTCCAGGGGAATGAGGCAGCCCTCCCTTCTTTTAGCCAAGCATCTGAGGCCTGCCACAGTCTGTTCCTATGCTCACTTTCCCCACACAGCCTCGGCTCCATTCCAATGAAATGGACTCCTCCTTCCCCTTTCCCAAGCATTCCCAAAACATTCCCACCTGCATACATCTGCTTCTGCTGTGTGTCAACCCAGAAGGGCTTCTTGCCCTGCCCTCCTCTCCACCAAGCTGATCCTCTGCTTCCCTGAAGGCCTACCCTACACTGCTGTGGCCTATCACCCCCTTTAGGCAACTAACCAAGGATACCAGGTGGCATATGCTCTCTCAGGGAGGCTTAAATCCCTCAACTTTGTATCCTGCACCCCAACACAGGCCTTGCTTAATAGATGTCTGGCAAGGAGGGCACAGCTGTGGCAGTGCAGCCACAGAAATCTGGGAAGGTCATTAAGTAGAATAATATCCCAGAAGGGTGTGTATGCTCTTCTGTTCCCTATTATCCTGTCTGCTTGTACCTTTCAGGTCCTTGACAATTTATGGTGCAGCAAAAATCCCATTAGAACAGGCTACATGAATTTGTTCAAATTATGTCATTGTACTGGAATTTGGGTGTGTTGAAGGCAATTCCAAATAAAAAAAATTACTGTCCAGGACTTAGGCAATTTTCATTTGAGTAGAATTTGCTTTGTCATGTCATTAACAGGAAAAAGATCTACTTAGTCTTGACTTTGCCCAGAGGATGAAGTGATAAACACCTGGAGAAAAATTATAATTACAGTTTGTAAAAGCTAAACATAGCCCTTCTAGTTTTTAATTAGAGTATATGTTATGTGGCTGAGGGTGACTGATGGATGGAATTTGGTGCCATAGGATCAGAGACCCGGAGCAGCATGGTCCTGTGTGTAGCCAAAAGCAAGTGACTATTAGATGACATAGCTTGTGATGCTAAGCCCTGACTATATATTTATATTTTCTGTATAAACATGATAGCCTCTCTTCTGTTACTCTGAGGAATCTTTGATAATTCACATGTGAAATTAAAGGCATCTTATTCATTCAGTTATTTATTATTCTCTGTAAAATGAGTTAGGAATTTGTCCCCGTGAATAATGTTAGCCATAATAGTTAATTTACTCCTATTCATTGGCAGTAATAAAAATGTACAAGGGGAGGCAGAAACATTATTATTTCTTGCTTGAAGTGCAATTTCATGTGGTGAGAAAAACATGTTAATATGCTGCAAAGTGCTACAGGAATTTAGTTCTCAAAGGAATGGCGGTATTAAATGTATTCTGACAAGAAGGAGCCTCGGAAGGGAAACATTTATCTTCATAAAGTCATTAAATTTACTGAGCAGCATCACATTCTTCCTGCAATCTGCTCACTCCATTAAAGGCGAAGCCGTGGAACTGGCTCTGTCACATGAGAGGCCCCTGCATTTCTGAACAGAGGAAGAATGGTGCTCTTTCTCCTAATATTGGGTTTCCCCGTCAAAACCAACAAGCTCACGCACAGATCCACACATGGGTGCTCTGCTGCCTCTTTCCAAAACAAACAAATGAGGTACTGACAAGATTCTGCCTTTCTCCACGATCAGATGATTCTCCGTGTGACTAAGAAAAAAACAGATTTTGCAAAGCCTCCTGTTTCATCGTTCCAGGAGACTCTTGGCTCCGAGGGTGTTTTCCCATCCCACTGAGTTGGAGTCCAGGCAGCTTACACAGGTCAGGGTCAGCACGATAGCATGAGTTGTTCTGCAGAGCAGTTTTGTGTGTATGCATTTCAAAATCGAGGTATTCTTATTCATACACAATACATCAATCAGTGTTTTTGAAAATCACAGCAAAAGACAGGGCTCTGGTACCTTGGAGTTATACATTTCCCTTGTTCTTTTCAATAGGTAGGTGTCATTAATGAGCTAAAATCACCAAGAAATGCAAACAGACTTCAGAAGCAAAGTCATGCTGTCAGCTTGGACACATGGCAGGGAATGAAAACAAATTGAATAGTTTTCAATAAATTATAATATCATTCCCATTCACCTGATACCTTTCTTCCCAACACTTTGCAAACAGCTGTTCTTCTGAGAAAAAGGACAAATAACTTGCCTGCATTCATGTTGAGAAAGAATGCAATTTCAAGTGCAGTTGTGGATAATGATTTTAAAATCCCAGCGCAAATGTATCTAGAGAAGAAAATGTCTCTAACTGAACTAAGAAGCTAAAGGTTCCTCCACACTGTACCACAAACCACAGCTAGGGCTGCCTAAAGACAAATACAGAAGAGTCAAGCCCTTTGTTTGGTGACATGAAAACCAAACCATTGAAGGGATCTAACTGTAAGCTCCAAGAGGTCAGAGACAATATATTTCTTGATCACTGTTATAGTACAAGCTCTTAACCCACAGGTGCTCAATATATATTTGTTAACTAAAAGAGTGGATGCATAGATGAATTGCTCAGTTTTGCTCTAGGGGTTTGTAGGGTCAGATGGATAAATTCCTAATCTTGTCCTCCAAGCAATATTGGCCTGTCCAAAGGAAACTAGGTTTTATTAGCAAGATGAATTCTGACATGTTTAACCAGGTAGAGAGAATCTGCAGTGACCAATTCCCAGAATTGGGATTCTCCATTCTGAGAGAAGAATAATATTTGTTGTGTCTAGCATGTGCTAAGTACTTGACCTGTGTTTTTACTGAATCCTTAGAACAGCCCATTTAACAAATTAGGACTCTTAAAAAGGTTAAGTAATTTGCCTAAGAGGACACAGCTAGTAACTGGTAGAAAACTACCTACAACTCATTCATTCATGTGCCAACTATCCAGTACAGGGCTTCCACATGCCAAGCCCTATTCTCAGTGCTGGTTTGACCACAGTGAACAAGAGAACACAGTCCTTGTCTTCCTGGAGCCAATGATCTAAAATTGGAGACTGTCATTGAACAATTAATATTCCACTTAATCACATGACTATACTGGTGATAAGTGTCAGGCCTCTGAGCCCAAGCCAAGCCATTGCATCCCCTGTGACTTGCACGTATACACCCAGATGGCCTGAAGTAACTGAAGATCCACAAAAGAAGTAAAAATAGCCTTAACTGATGACATTCCACCATTGTGATTTGTTCCTGCCCCACCCTAACTGATCAATGTACTTTGTAATCTCCCCCACCCTTAAGAAGGTTCTTTGTAATTCTCCCCACCCTTGAGAATGTACTTTGTGAGATCCACCCCTGCCTGCAAAACATTGCTCTTAACTTCACCGCCTATCCCAAAACCTAAGAACCAATGATAATCCATCTCCCTTTGCTGACTCTCTTTTCGGACTCAGCCCGCCTGCACCCAGGTGAAATAAACAGCCATGTTGCTCACACAAAGCCTGTTTGGTGGTCTCTTCACACTGACGCACATGAAATTTGGTGCTGTGACTCAGATCAGGGGACCTCCCTTGGGAGATCAATCCCCCATCCTCCTGCTCTTTGCTCCATGAGAAAGATCCACCTACGACCTCAGGTCCTCAGACCGACCAGCCCAAGAAACATCTCACCAATTTCAAATCTGGTAAGCAGCCTCTTTTTACTCTCTTCTCCAACCTCCCTCACTATCCCTCAACCTCTTTGTCCTTTCAATCTTGGCGCCACACTTCAATCTCTCCCTTCTCTTAATTTCAATTCCTTTCATTTTCTGGTAGAGACAAAGGAGACACATTTTCTCTGTGGACCCAAAACTCTGGCGCCGGTCACGGACTGGGAAGGCAGCCTTCCCTTGGTGTTTAATCGTTGCAGGGATGTCTCTCTGATTATTCACCCATGTTTCAGAGGTGTCAGACCACGCAGGGACACCTGCCTTGGTCCTTCACCCTTAGCAGCAAGTCCCACTTTTCTGGGGGAGGGGCAAGTACCCCAACCCCTTCTCTCCGTGTCTCTACCCCTTCTCTGATTTTCTGGGGCAGGGGCAAGAACCCCTCAACCCCTTCTCCTTCACCCTTAGCAGCAAGTCCCGCTTTTCTAGGGGAGGGGCAAGTACCTCAACCCCTTCTCTCCATGTCTCTACCCCTTCTCTGCTTTTCTGGGGGAGGGGCAAGTACCCCTCAACCCCTTCTCCTTCACCCTTAGTGGCAAGTCCCACTTTTCTAGGGGGCAAGAAACCCCAATCCCTTATTTCCGCACCCCGACCTCTTATCTCTGTGCCCCAACCCCTTATTTCCATGCCCCGACCCCTTTCCCACTTTTCTGGAGGGTAAGAACCCCCGAACTGCTTCCCTCCGTGTCTCTACTCTTCCTTTTCTTTAAACTTGCCTCCTTCACTATGGGCAACCTTCCACCCTCCATTCCTCCTTCTTCTACCTTAGCCTGTGTTCTTAAGAACTTAAAACCTCTTCAACTCACACCTGACCTAAAACCTAAATGCCTTACTTTCTTCTGCAATGCTGCTTGACCCCAATACAAACTCGACAGTAGTTCCAAATAGCCAGAATACGGCACTTTCAATGTTTCCACCCTACAAGATCTAAATAATTCTTGTCGTAAAATGGGCAAATGGTCTGAGGTGCCTGACGTCCAGGCATTCTTTTACACATGGGTCCCTTCCTAGTCTCTGTGCCCAATGCAACTCATCCCAAATCTTCCTTCTTTCCCTCCCACCTGTCCCCTCAGTCCCAACCCCAAGCGTCACTGAGTCTTTCTAATCTTCCTTTTCTATAGACCCATCTGACCTCTCCCCTCCTCGCCAGGCCAAGCTAGGTCCCAATTCTTCCTCAGCCTCTGCTCCTCCACCCTATAATCCTTTTATCACCTCCCCTCCTCACACCCGGTCCAGTTTACAGTTTCATTCCGTGACTAGCCCTCCCCCACCTGCCCAGCAATTTACTCTTAAAAAGGTGGCTGGAGCTAAAGGCACAGTCAAGGTTAATGCTCCTTTTCTTTATCAGACCTCTCCCAAATCAGTGAGCGTTTAGGCTCTTTCATCAAATATGAAAAACCCAGCCCAGTTCATGGCTCGTTCAGCAGCAACCCTGAGACACTTTACAGCCCTAGACCCTAAAAAGTCAAAAGGCCAGCTTATTCTCAATATACATTTTATTACCCAATCTGCTCCCAACATTAAATAAAACTCCAAAAATTAGAATCTGGCCCTCAAACCCCACAACAGGACTTAATTAACCTCACCTTCAAGGTGTACAATAATAGAAAAAAGTTGCAATTCCTTGCCTCCACTGAGACAAACCCCAGCCACATCTCCAGCACAAAAGAATTTCCAAATGCCCGAACCACAGCAGCCAGGCGTTCCTCCAGAACCTCCTCCCCGAGGAACTTGCTACAAGTGTCAGAAATCTGACCACCAGGCCAAGGAATGCCTGCAGCCCAGGATTCCTCCTAAGCCATGTCCCATCTGTGTGGGACCCCACTGGAAATTGGACTGTTCAACTCACCTGGCAGCCACTCCCAGAGCCCCTGGAACTCTGGCACAAGGCTCTCTGACTGACTCCTTCTCAGCTTAGTGGCTGAAGACTGATGCTGCCCGATTGCCTCGGAAGCCCCGTAGACCATCACGGACGCCGAGCTTTAGGTAACTCTCACAGTGGAAGGTAAGCCCATCCCCTTCTTAATCAATATGGAGGCTACCCACTCCACATTACCTTCTTTTCAAGGGCCTGTTTCTCTTGCCTCTGTAACTGTTGTGGGTATTGATGGCCAGGCTTCTAAACCTCTTAAAACTCCCCAACTCTGGTGCCAACTTAGACAATACTCTTTTAAGCACTCCTTTTTAGTTATCCCCACCTGCCCAGTTCCCTTATTAGGCTGAGACACTTTAACTAAATTATCTGCTTCCCTGACTATTCCTGGACTACAGCTGCATCTCATTGCCACCCTTCTTCCCAATCCAAAGCCTCCTTTGCGTCCTCCTCTTGTATCCCCCCACCTTAACCCACAAGTGTAAGATACCTCTACTCCCTCCTTGGTGACCGATCATGCACCCCTTACCATCTCATTAAAACCTAATCACCCTTACCCCACTCAATGCCAAGATCCCATCCCACAGCACACTTTAAAAGGATTAAAGCCTGTTATCACTCGCCTGCTACAGCATGGCCTTTTAAAGCCTATAAACTCTCCTTACCATTCCCCCATTTTACCTGTCCTAAAACCAGACAAGGCTTACAAGTTAGTTCAGAATCTGCGCCTTATCAACCAAATTGTTTTGCCTATCCACCCCGTGGTGCCAAACCCATATACTCTCCTATCCTCAATACCTCCCTCTACTACCCATTATTCTGTTCTGGATCTCAAACATGCTTTCTTTACTATTCCTTTGCACCCTTCATCCCAGCCTCTCTTTGCTTTCACTTAGACTGACCCCGATATCCATTAGGCTCAGCAAATTACCTGGTCTGTACTGCTGCAAGGCTTCACAGACAGCCCCCATTACTTCAGTCAAGCCCAAATTTCATCCTCATCTGTTACCTATCTCGGCATAATTCTCATAAAAACATACCTGCTCTCCCTGCTGATCATGTCCGATTAATCTCCCAAACCTCAATCCCTTACAAAACAACAATGCCTTTCCTCCTAGGCATGGTTAGTGTGGTCAGAATTCTTACACA
Source organism: Homo sapiens (assembly GCF_000001405.40). Classification (NCBI taxonomy): domain Eukaryota; kingdom Metazoa; phylum Chordata; class Mammalia; order Primates; family Hominidae; genus Homo; species Homo sapiens. The sequence continues at coordinate 149,319,224 of NC_000023.11, forward strand.
AGAGCCAGGACTGCACCCTGTAGCCTTTCTGTCCAAACAACTTGACCTTACTGTTTTAGCCTAGCCCTCATGTCTGTGTGCAGCGGCTGCCGCTGCTTTAATACTTTTAGAGGCCCTAAAAATCACAAACTATGCTCAACTCACTCTCTACATTTCTCATAACTTCCAAAATCTATTTTCTTCCTCATACCTGATGCATATACTTTCTGCTCCCCAGCTCCTTCAGCTGTACTCACTCTTTGTTAAGTCCCACAATTACCATTGTTCCTGGCCCGGACTTCAATCTGGCCTCCCACATTATTCCTGATACCACACCTGACCCCCATGACTGTATCTCTCTGATCCACCTGATATTCACCCCATTTCCCCATATTTCCTTCTTTGCTGTTCCTCACCCTGATCACGCTTGATTTATTGATGGCAGTTCCACCAGGCCTAATCGCCACACACCAGCAAAGGCAGGCTATGCTATAGTACAAGCCACTAGCCCACCTCTCAGAACCTCTCATTTCCTTTCCATCATGGAAATCTATCCTCAAGGAAATAACTTCTCAGTGTTCCATCTGCTATTCTACTACTCAGGGATTATTCAGGCCCCCTCCCTTCCCTACATATCAATCTCGAGGATTTGCCCCCGCCCAGGACTGGCAAATTAGCTTTACTCAACATGCCCTGAGTCAGGAAACTAAAATACCTCTTAGTCTAAATAGAAACTTTCACTGAATAAGTAAAGGCCTTTCCTACAGGGTCTGAGAAGGCCACCGTAGTCATTTCTTCCCTTCTGTCAGACGTAATTCCTCAGTTTAGCCTTCCTACCTCTATACAGTCTGATAACAGACCAGCCTTTATCAGTCAAATCAGCCAAGCAGTTTTTCAGGCTCTTAGTATTCAGTGAAACCTTTATATCCCTTATGGTCCTCCGTCTTCAGGAAAAGTAGAACGGACTAAAGGTCTTTTAAAAACACACCTCACCAAGCTCAGCCACCAACTTAAAAAATACTGGACAATACTTTTACCACTTTCCCTTCTCAGAAGTCAGACCTGTCCTCAGAATGCTACAAGGTACAGCCCATTTAAGCTCCTGTATAGATGCTCCTTTTTATTAGGCCCCAGTCTCATTCAACACCAGACCAACTTAGACTGTGCCCCAAAAAAAAACTTTGGTGGTCTCTTCACAGGGACGCGCATGAAAATAAGTACTACAAAGAAGAAGCACACAGTGGTATGAGAACAAATAGTAGATGAAACTAATCTTATTTTGGGCAAGGATCAGACAGGCTTCATTGAAAAAGTGACATTTGAGCAATACTTTTAAGGATAAATAAGAAATAACCAGATCAAAAGAGCAGAAGGGGAGGGTATTCCATGCAAATGGATCATGTGGAAAGAAAGGCCTAGAGGTGGAAAAGAACATATATCTTCTGAGAGACCAAAAGGCAGCCTGTGTGACTGGAGGGCAGAGAGTGAAGGAACAAATGGCTCAGGATGTGGCTGAAAAAGGCAAAAGTGATCATTAGCTGTGTTAAGGATTTGATCTAATAATTGCAAGGTTCTAAGCAAGGAGGAAAATGTCCTAATAAGGTCTGCATTAGTAAGAATCACTTTTGCCAATGGATGGAGTACAGATTGAAAGCAGGTAAGGGGAGAAACTGACAGAGGACTCCTTCTCCTGGAGTTGGGAAACCAGGACAGTGAGAACTAAGCTCTGATTTTTTTCTTATCTTGCCCAAATTCTTATCTAAGGGGTCTGGGGAGTCATGCCCTACAAACCACATATTCTCATCAGATGGGTTTTATTTAACCCTATATATTGTGACTTACCTTCCAATTTGACTCCGGCATAACATTATTTGACAAAGAGGAAGATAAAAATATTTTACCCCAAAATATGTTTCTTTGCCATATTTTGAAATGGCCCTGCAAAGCCGTCCTTTGTGGTGAAAATTTGCAGTCTCTATTCACATAGCTAGATCTTCTTCCAGGCCCTCCCAATCCTAAAGAGATTAAATGAGAGTCTAGCACCTTTTAAAGATCTGAACAGGAAGCATTTGTCATCTGTTGTCTCTAATGGCAACCACTATGAGACTTCAAAAGAAACTTGGTCTTCACAATCTTTTTTCTTAACCTGAACATTTCCTTTCTATTGATTGCAGGTCTTTAGACAAACTCAACCAATTGTCAACCAGAAAATGTTTAAATTTACCTATAGCCTGGAAGCATGCCCCCACCCCCCTTTAAATTCTTCTGCCTTTCTGGACCAAACCAATGTATTTCTCAAATGTATTTGATTGCTGTCTCATGTCTCCCTAAAATGTATAAAACCAAGCTGCACCCTGACCACCTTAGGCATATGTTCTCAGGACCTCCCATGGGCTGTGTCACAGGCCATGGGCACTCATATTTGGTTCAGAATAAATCTCTTCAAATATTTTACAGAGTTTGAAACTTTTCATTGATAACAATTGTCCAGATGAGAGATGATGTGGCTTAGGTTGGCAGAAAATAATGAAGACAGGAGTACATAGGAGAAAGATATTCAGGAGGTGCAATCTACAGAGCTGGGAGCAAGGAGAAAGAGGTATCAAGGATGACTCTCAGATTCTGGGCTGAGCAACTAAATAGATGACAGTACACTACTCTGAGATATGCCTTGGAGGAAGGAGAACACTTTGCCTAGCTGGCATATTTACTCCACGTTCCAGCAGAAAAACCTTTTTGACTCAACCACTGTGAGGACTCCGTCCTTGGCCTAGTGATTTGCATCAATTTTAGAGGTAAAGTATCATTCTCATTCAGGAAGGTATCTGAATTGGTCAATGCAAGCTCAAATGACATTCCATGGGAAGACAAATGCCCATGTAGATTACAGACCAAGGGGCTTTTCTTTAAAAATGATATTAATTGGGTGGTTGTAGCATTCATGTTACCACCCATAAGCAACCCACCTCTGTTCAGCCTTTCTGCAGTTGTGCCACCAGGTTTCCCAACCCAACGGCACCTGATTTTCAGCACTGATGCTCATTAATAGAGAGTGCAGAAGGCACCAGTGATGAGCCCAAGTGTTTCTCTAAGCCTCACACAGTCTGTTCAATTTAGAATATCTGCCCTCCATAACTGATCTGGTGATCTGCCAGGCCATCTGAGGGCCCACAGAGGAGAAGGCATAAGAGGTTTCAAAAAAATGGACTGTGCAGAGCTCAATGTTTAACAGCCCAATGACTCTGTGAGACAGTCTATCAAGAACAAGTTGAGCAATCTTTGCCTGAACGGAATGATAGCAGGGCCCTTCAAAGAGGTACTTGTTCCCATAAGGCAAGATAAGATCATTTCCTTTAAGCACTATTTTATTGATGAGTCAAAAAGAGAACTTGACCTGGCCCCAAGCATGGATTTTTACAGCATCAAATTCCTACATACGTAGCATGTCTAAATAAAGAAAATTCTTTTATCCAACAAATATTTATGAGAAAATGGAAAATTAAATGTTCAAGAGTAACTCATGTCTAAGCAACATGGCCATCATTCTGCAGACCTTTCATTAATTACAATAATGCCCCATGGTTTCTAGAGGACTACTCCATGTGAGGCTCTGTCTCCCATCTCTCACTGTCTCCCTCTGTAGCCTCAGGTTGTCAGCCTTTTGAACTCTCTTCTCTGGCTTTCTGGTTTTGATTTACCTCTTGGCTCTTAACTCCAAATGCTTTTATAAAATCAGAGTTCCTCCACAATTTCAAAAGCAAGATTTCCCTATGATCCTCAGCTTCTTAAAGCTCTTCCAGCTAAGCCACACCCAGGAACAAGCTCTGAATAGCTTACCAGTAGCCTTTGAACCTAGCATTATTTTATCTGGTAGTGTGCACAGATATACATAGACATATACATGAGCACTGCTGCTCCCATACACGCTCCTTCCAATCAATCACCTTTCTCACAGGTCACACATGTCAGGCTCATATTCTCCAGGGAAGTAGAACTTGTGGTACCATGCTCTCACCAACTCATCTAACTAGACCCAGATGTGCCTAAGGTACCAGACCATGTATCTTGGGATAAATCTTAGGATGTGAAGAGTCAATCAATCACTTTAGCAGTGATAGCCAAAGATCCCACTACTGCTAATGGTGGGGCAGAAGAGGGAATCTCCTCTGAAGCAGTTCCTGGGCCAGTGACAATGCTAGGACAAGACAGACAATCCTAGTATATGGCAGACAGACCTTAAGGTAACCCCTGATTATTCCCATCTCCTGGTGTTCATGCCTTTGTATAATCTCTTCTCTGAGTATAAATGGTACCAGTGATTTGCTTCAAACCATACAGAATGTAACCTACAGAATGGGAGTCATGGAATGTCATTCCCATGATTACCTTGTTGTATAGGACTCCACCATAGCAGACTAGAAGGAGGGATTCTCCTTTATGGCTTGATGAAGTAAACAGCCATGTTGAGGAAGCCCTTGTGACAAGGAAGGTCAAGTGGCCCCCAGCCCACAGTCAGGAACAAAAGCCAAAGACCTTCAGTCATACAGCCACAAGGAAATTAATTCTGCCATAAAACTGAATAGGATTGGAAATAGTTTCTTCCCCATCCAAGCCTCCAGAAGAAACCTCAGCCCTAGACAACATTTTGATTTCAGCCTTGTGAGACCCTGATCAGAGGGCCCAGTTAAGCTGTGTCCAGACCTTTGACACACAGACACTGTGAGATAATAAATGTGTGTTGTTTTAAGCTGTTAAATGTCTGATAATTTGTTATGCAGTGATAGAAAACTAATACAAAAGGCCTAGAATCAAGGGCTTATGGAAAACAAGGAGTTCAGAATTAGTCAGTCCAGACTGACTTCAGGCTGTGTGGGAGAGGGGACAGGTG